>NC_000011.10:133530681-133839869 GCF_000001405.40 Homo sapiens
CCACTCTGAACTTCTTGGTCAGCCTAAAACAAACAGCTGGGAACATGGTTATGCAGAGCCCATCCCTGCTTTAAAAAGTGCCATCTTCACAAGGTGTTACAAAACATTACAGGCTGGATTACTTGTTTTAGTTGATCCTCTCTTCTTTCTCCCCAGTAAACTTCCATTTTTCTGATTTCACTTTGGCATCTTAGGACTACTCAGGGAATTATATTATTAAAAACAACACTGAAAATATTCCCACAAAACCCTACCAAGTAATACTGAATATAGAAACATAAAACTGTATGTTTTACCTATAAAAAGGCAGGTAAGGTTTTAAAATCTTAGCATTCCTGTCTGTGTATATATGTATGAAAATTTAGGTTTAAGCTAATGTTTAACACAATGCATTTATCTCAATTTGGGGGAAAAAAAGAGATCCTGACTGTGCGACGGTTTGGTATGAAAACCGACACTTTTGCTGCTGCCTAAAACCTTGGCAAGCATAACCTAGCCCCTTCGGCATTGTTTGAAAGATGCCTGCAGGCATTCAGTTGTCTGCTTGCAAAGGACTCCTGTGCAATTATCAAATCTATTAAGATGCCTTCAATTTTGCAACGCTTCTGCTAAGCTCATTTTGGTAGGATTGCAGCATCTTACCTGTGTCACTGCAGATTTGTTTTCCCCAAACAAATAACTGCTGTGAGAGGTGGGATCACATTTAAATCATTAGACAAGGTGGGGAAGGGGCTGGGGAGAATCAGGCAAATCCAAATTTCCAACCTTCCCTCAGCAGGGACATCCCAAATTCTGCCAAGGGAAATTCATATTCCTGACGTAAGGAACAGGAAGGAGATACTGAGAGGATTCCGAATTTCAAGGGCATAATCTGCCCATTTGGTGGAAGGATAAAGAAAGGACGGCAGGCAGTAGAGGGCCTGTGTTACAACAAGAAATGCAGGAGCAGATGAGTGAGCTGAGAAGGAGGGATGGGGCAGGGAAGGAGCTCCAGGGGGAGAGGGTAGGGGAGAGCAGTTCCGAAGGAAGGGAGGGAGGAGGAGAGTGGGGAGAGGTGGAGAGGGAGAGAGAGAGAGAGAGAGAGAGAGAGAAAAGAAACAGAGAGAGAGACAGGGAGGCGCAGAGATCTGGACTGATTCAGAAACAGAGAGAGACCACCACGACTGAGAGAGATAAGAGGGTGCCCCTTCCACCCTGCAGGTCCCAACATAGGCAGCAAGAAGGATTTATGGCTGGGAGTTCAAACCCCTCTTCTCCTACCCCCAGGACCACAGCTGGTTAATGCCAGTTGGTGACTTTCACTGAAACAGCAGTGCCTCACAGCATGGTGCAGATCTCGAACCCAGCTCACTGGATCCCCCGGAACAGAGAGCAAATCCCGTGCTGAAAGCATCTGCGCGCGTGTGAGCGAGTGAGTGTGTGTGTGCGTGCACACAGCAAGCCTACCTCTTTCACTCACATGCATCTCACACTCCCTGTCCTCACCCCTTCCTCCTTGCCTCTCCATCTCCCCACTGCCTCTCCTGCTCTCACGTCGTACAATCACCCCAGGGAGAGAAAACACCCTTCCCCTGTACGGTACCTGGGATGAAGAGCAGGGCAGTTGTCGCCGAGAAGACGACCCAGTAGGCAGGATGGTACATCTCGACGCTGCGGTGCTCTCAGCTGCCGGGCTTGCTACTGCTTCTGCTGCTGCTACCGCTGCTGCCTTCCTCTGTGCTGAATTCTGAGCAGGTTTAAATCCAATGTTTGCAAAGGGAGGGAGAGAGCAGAAGAGAGAGAGAGCGCGCGAGAGATGGGAGCAGGCAGGCAGCGTCTCTGATTTCTTTTCTTGCACACAACTGGTAAGAATCATCAGCACCAATCTGCACAGGGCTCAGAGCAGTCCTCCAAGGCACGCATTGGCTCCACTCTCCTGAGCGACGGAAGGAGACTTTCCTGCTTGGAAGGCTTGACTCCAAGGGGAGTCGAAGCCGGCCCCTCACTCACCCCCTCACCGGAGCACAGCCCTGCGTGTTGCTATCTGTGTGAGTATGTTGATGTGGGGCTCACGTGGACACGTGAACACACACGAGCTCCTTGGTGGGCAGTGGAGAGGGCCTGGCACTGCCAGCAGGGCTCAGGGCACACCAAGAAAGAAAGGTTGCTTGGCAGAAATGTGACTAATGCCCATGCCAGTTCCTTATCATTCTTCCTTCTTCCTAGTCTCCAGGCAGGGATGGAGCAGGAACTGCTACCCACGGGGAGAGCTCAGACATTTAAATCTGCACCCTACCCCTCCATTCGGCCATTAACAGCATTTGGAAGCAGTTGGTTTTCCCAGTAAGGAGATGGGCATGTTACGGTTTTAAACCAATGATGCAGGGAGAATTGGCCAGTTCCCCACAATCAGAGCATTCTGAAACTCTACCAAGGCAAGATGCTATAGAAGCTCAAACAATTGCTATGATTACAGCATAGGCAGGGACAGATTCAGATTAGATCTCAAGGAGGCGGAAACTTGCTGAAGTCATCGGAAATCTTCACAAGGAGAAGGCCACAGAAGGATACCTGTGGCTTCCTTCTGTTTTTTTTTTTTCTGCTTCTCCTTTTCAGGGTCCAGTCTGTCCCTTCCTCTGGAATGGCAGTTTACACCGGCAGTTTACACAGGATGGCAGTATCTCTGGGTGTAAGAAACCTCAGAACTTTCCCCTGCTCTAAAACGGCCTGCTTGCCCTCCCTAACACGTGCTTGTAAGCAGCACACCTTGCTGGCTGAGTGGTGCTGCCACTGAACTATACCCTGAACTTGGAGGGTCTGTGATCAAAATAGCACCAAGTATTAGAGAAGGGACTCAGCAGACGATTTCTGTCCCAGGTGCTCTCCGAAGACCTCAAGTGGCTTGGATTCCTTCCCAGCTCCACGTGTCCACACCTTGAGGTCTGTGAGGGACACTCCACAGGAGGTCTTTCTCCCTTCCTCCTTTGCTGCAATTCCCAAAGTTTTCCCAAGTGACCTACTATGGGCAGGTATTCACCTCTATCACTTTAGTTAATCCTCACCAGCGTCCTTCCTTGTAGGCATTATGACCCCTGAATTTTCAACTGAGGTTGACAGCGATTCAGTGACTTGCCACACAGCTAATGAGTTAAGATAAAAACCCAGGTCTGTCCTGCAAAATCCACACAGTTTTTATAAAGCAGCCAATTGCCAACAAGTTCTTTGGGCCTGACTGAGCGCCTCTCTTTCTATAAAATAAATCATGTTTACTTTTAAAGAAGTAAAACAATTGATTACTCCCCTCCTTATGAACAAGTCAGAAAACTTCAGCAGTAAAAGAGAAAACAGATGATGATTGTATCATCCGCTGACACTTATGAAGTACCTACTTAACATAGTCATTTTTTCAGGGATGAGAATATGAAGAATATGATTTGTTCTCGTCTATAAAGGGCATACAATATAAGTCAGGAGATCAGCCAAAAGTTAGCATTGTGACTTTGCGAATGTACATAAAAATAATAGGACACGTACACACTGTTAGAGTCAAATTTTGTAGACCTCATCACTGCAAACATGTCGTTCACAAGCAAATTGATATGTGAATCCTTCAGGCAATGCTGGAATCCTGCAGAAATCCAGAATTATTACCAGTGGCTGAATACGCTGGAGAATACAACTGGCTTGAAATTGTGGGAGAGACCAGATAGGCCACAGAAATGAGATAGACATCTCATGGAGGGGAAGAGAGCAGACACAGGTAGAAACCCTGCAGGGGGGAGTTAGGGGAGGAGATGGGAGACCAAGAGAGAAAGACCTTGAGTCCTAGACCAGTGATTTAGAAATTTCCCCCTGCTGGGAAAAACAGTTAATTTCTTTTTGAGCAGGGGAGCGCTGTGAATGAGAGGGAGTTAATTTATGGAAATTAATCTGGGTGAAGTGTACAGGAGGGATTGTGGCAAGCACACTTGTTAGTAGGCATGGCCCAAGTTTGATAGATCCTGGAACTGGTGGTAGCAGTAGAAGAGGAAAAGAAGGGGGTTGTATGTGGAACGCAGAAGAGTTAGGAGGACGTAGTGACTGATGGCATTCTACGGATAATAGACATCATGTATTCACCCTCTGCAGGCTAGATTTTTTTTAAAAATATTATCACATTCAATTCCTAGCCGTTACTCTATGAAGGTGTAATTATGCCTTTTTGAGAGATGAAGAAACCGAGACTTAGAAAGGTTAGGTAATTTATCCGAGGTCACACAGCTAGTTAGTGACAGCCAAAATTTAATCCTGGGTTTTTCTGTTTCCAAATAAGCGACTCCCTAGAAGAAATTATCATATTGGGCACCATCATTTTATTGAATATTCACATGCCAATCACTCAGGTATTGCCCTTATAAATCCCTATTTATTTATCACCCACACAGACTAGAGGGAGAGACTGGAGCTCAAAGAGCTTTAATAACATCCCCAACATTGCAGAGCTGCCCGGGTGTGGAGCCCCGGTTCAAGGCCTGCCTTCACCACTGGTGCTCTTAACCACCAGGAGGAGAGAGAAGGAGCAGCACTGGCAGCCTAGGAGGGGACCGAGTCCCAGCGCTGCCTGTGCAGTAGCACCTGAGGACATGGAAGTGCATTCCATGCAGCCCCAACCCCACTCCAGGAAAGAGGGGCACACACTACTAGTCGGTAGCTAGTGGCCAGACAGGAGCAAACTTTCATTAAACTGTCTTGGGCCAATCACAATCCTAGGAACTTCATAAATTTTCTCTGTATTGCTAGCCCATTTCAAAGATAAATAAATAGAACAAGTTACAGAGAGTCTCGAGTCCCTCCTCTAAGACTAATAAGTGGCAAGGAAATTGAGGTCTTTCTTACTCCAGAGTTTACATTCTTTCACCTTTCCCTGTCAACTATATTTTTGTTTTAAAAACACCCATTTATTCTGCCAACATTTTTCCTAGTCCACACACATGCACACACATGAGCATACACACACACACATACCCCAAGTCTTTTAATTAAATTCACATTTAACACACTTCTATGTATAGCAGGAAAAAATTTTTAAAATTTGTATACCTAATATGATCTTCCTTAAGGAAACACATAAATATGTATTTTCACTGATCAATTCTTTTAGGTCTATTATATGATTAAAACATATGTCTCTTTTATTTAAAAAAAGTAGAGGAAGAAATGTATAAATGCATATTTAATCAATAGATGGCACCAACTCTGTAAAGAGATATTACGGTCTACTGGGTCTATTTAAACATCTTTAAAAAATACAAATACAAATAAAAATGCTTCAATGCATATTTACTAGGGGGACTGCTCTCTTCTCTGGGGTAAATAATATGCAATTTTATACCTTCTGTGAATCTTTATTTTCTTCTTCCAAAGCAAACAAAATCATCAAAACTGTATTTAAATAGCAACAATGTGGGGGAACAAACCAACCAACACCAGGCAGTTGTGCAAGGAGACTTGACTGTCACACTTGCACTTCTGACTAGGATTCTTTCTTCTGGAACAGCGGTGTTGGGCTGACATCTTCAAAGGCAGCGGCCAGCTTCCTAGGGCCAGATGGGGAATGGGAATGTTGGATCAGGGGTGAGGTCCCCCTGGGTCCAAGGTGTGCTCCTGCCTGATGCCAGTCCTGCTCCTTCACACCAGCTGTATGACCTTGGGCAAGGATACAGGGACTTCCTCTGACTCATATTGTTTCTTTGTTATACAGAGAACTGCACTGATGAAGAGATTACCTTGTGGTATTTTATGTATCCATTCATTCATGCAATAAATATTTCTTAGATACCTACTCTGGGCCAGGTACAAACCTACTACATGTGATGCAAAGAGATACAATGTAAAGCAAGACAAGACTGTCCTCACCCCTCCAAAATTCAGAGAGCAGTGGGGGAGGAGAACATTGAACCGTGAATTGATTACATTTATGACAAGTGTGTGTAGAAAATATATAGGTCTATGGCAAAGCATGAGATACAGATACACCTGGGGACGGGGAGAGTGTGAGACTGCCCTGAGGACAGGACTTCTAAGCTGGGATCCCAGTAGGAGCTTCCCAGAAGGAGGAAAAGCCCGAGATTGTTCCTGGCAGATGAAAGCAGCAAGTGCAAACCCCGGAAGCAGAGAGTAGACTGTGTGGACACTAACAGCTCTTTAGTGCAATTCACATTCACCCAACCTTTTGCTGAGACAAACTCTGCAGTAAATAGTGTTAAGATGATGGATTGGTGCACTTGGAGCCCAACAATGGAACAGGAAGGATGGATTTTTAGATACTGAAATACTTGTTAGGGTTGGGGGCTGCCTGCAAAAAATAAAAAGCGGAAGATGATAAAACATTACAGATTAAAATCTGACTCTTCCACTTAAGCTTTCAATATTCCAAAATGAACTGGAGCCTCCTGAGCTGTAAGTGATTCCCTGAGAGCAAGTTAAAGACTCTGGAAGGCACATTAACTCCTTTAAACCACAAAGGTGTCATTTAGTTCAAAGGAGCAATGATTTATTAAATGACTGGCTTATGACTAGAAGAGTAAGCCCTTCTGAAGTCCCAGGGACTCTCTTACAATGGGAGTTGTACCTTTGGACTCAGGTCTTAACCTATTTCTGATACTTCTTCGAAATTTGAATATGTTCACAAAATATCTTGGTCAAGCCCAAGAAAGCCTTAACAATAAGTATCACTTATGAAACATGCACTACGTTCCAGTTTCCCTGCAAGGTGGCTAACATGCACCGTGGCTACTCTTCACACCAATCCCTTCCACAAAGTAGACACTGCAACACACACTTCACAGAAATGTCAGCTAGGGTTTCCCCAAGGCTCTGCAGAGCATTGGCAGAGCTGAGATTCACTCAGAGCTGGCTGACTCCAAAGGCCACATGCTTTCCATCCTCCCTCAAAGGTCTCTGATACGCTTACATGAAATCATTACAAGGTTTACTACATGATGTCAGCATCATACTTAAAAAAATTTTTTAAACCTTAAAGTAATATATTACATAGTTTATCAAGTTTTTAGTGTTAACTGCTTAAGATTGAAAACAGCATTCCAAATCCCACTCCGCGGGAGCAACAACTTCCATCTCTTTTAGCTATTTCTTCCGGTATTTGCTTCCTTTCTTTTAAAATTGTGCTTATATTTTTGGGAGGCCGAGGCGGGCAGATCACAAGGTTAAGAGATTGAGACCATCCTGGCCAACATGGTGAAACCCCGTCTCTACTAAAAATACAAAAATTAGCTGGGCATGGTGGCAGGTGCCCGTAGTCCCAGCTACCCGGGGGGCTGAGGCAGGGGAATCACTTGAACGTGGGAGGCAGAGGTTACAGTGAGCTGAGATCGCACCACTGCACTCCAGCCCGGTGAAAGATTGAAAAAAAAAAAAAAGTGCTTATTCTTCCACTTCTTCATTTAACAATTTTTAAAATGATTTACTGACTACCTACCACAGGAGATGAGGATTCAACCTTGTTCCCTGCTAACCTTGCACCTCTCCTCCCTTTTTTTTTTTTTTTTTTCAGATGGAGTTTCACTCTTATCACCCAGGCTGCAGTGCAGTGGCGCAATCTTGGCTCACTGCAACCTCTGCCTCCCGAGTTCAAGAGATTCTCCTGCCTCAGCCTCTTGAGTAGCTGGGATTACAGGCACCTGCCACCACGCCTGGGTAATTTTTGTATTTTTTAGTAGAGATGGGGTTTTGCCATGTTCACCAGGCTTGTCTTGAACTCCTGACCTCAGGTGATCCGCCCGCCTCGGCCTCCCAAAGCGCTGGGATTAGAGACATGAGCCACCGTACCCGGCCCCCTTTTTAAATATAAATAATTTCACAGTGTTTAATTATATCAATATGCAGTTGTTTAATTATATCAATATGCAGTATTGACATTTTTTATTATTGTCTTTCTTATGCAACTGTTTGCTTTTCCTGGAGATAATATTTGCCTTTTTGTTTAATTTGCTTAATTTTTTATAGACCTATCATTGACTCTCCCCAAACTTTCTGCAGAACTCTAAAATTTGTCTCATTATTGTTGAATCAATTGAGTAATCTCTCAATGTCTTGTATTAAAGGCATTCCCCAGAGTCATTCATCCCCCTGAACCTCAGGTGTCATCTGGGACTTCCCTTTACCAAGAGAATACAACAGCCTGTGCTTCTCCCTTGTTTCTGGAGGCAGGTTTTCTTTCCTCTCGGTGTCTTTCCTTGTATTAATGCAACTCATCTTTGTATAGATTGCTGAGAAAGCATACTTAGGTGGTTATCTGCATACTGGAAAATGGCTTTATTCTTACCTCACTCAACATGTATAGCTAGTTAAGCTGCACATAGAATGCTGGGTTGAGAATGAGTATCCACTTCAAATTTTGAAGTCATTTCTCTATGTTCTTCTAAGTTTAAGCATTTTTGTTGAAAAGTCTGATGAATATCAATTTATGTATCTTTGTATGTGAGACAGCTTTATTTTGTCTCAGTAAATACTTAGGGTATTCTCTTTATTCATGGCTTTCCAAAATTTTGTAAAGATCTTTCTTAGGCCAGGTGTGGTGGCTCACACCTGTAATCCCAGCACTTTGGGAGGCCAAGGCGGGCGGATCACGAGGTCAGGAGATCGAGACCATCCCGGCTAAAACGGTGAAACCCAGTCTCTACTAAAAATACAAAAAAATTAGCCGGGCGTGGTGGCGGGTGCCTGTAGTCCCAGCTACTTGGGAGGCTGAGGCAGGAGAATGGCGTGAACCCGGGAGGCGGAGCTTGCAGTGAGCCGAGATGGCGCCACTGCACTCCAGCCTGGGTGACAAAGTGAGACTCCCTCTCAAAAAATAAAAAAAAAAGATCTTTCTTAATGTGGATCTGTTTCCTTTCATTGTGACAGGCACTCAATAAACTCTCTTAGTGTGAAAATGTTCATGTCCTTTAACTCTGGGAATTTTGAATTTTTTTCACATTGTGGCTTCAAAATGTTTCTCTTCTCTATTTTATTTGTTCTTATTTGTGGAGGTCCTATTAAAAGGACATTAGAGTACCTGGATTGGTTTCCATCTATTTTCTCTCTTTTTCATCAAGATGCCCTTGACTTTAATTTCTCCTAGTGAATTTTGTTAATTATACTATCAAACTATTAATTTCAAATGGTCTTCTTTGTTGTCTTTTTTTAAAAAATAGTTCCCTATTCTTGTTTCACGTTCACAATATCTTCTAACATCTCTCTGAGGATATTAATTAAGGCTTCTGAGATTTCCTTTTGCTGCCTGCAAAATCTCCATTTCCTCAGATAACGTATTTTTTTTCCCTCAGTTGTGTTGTCTTTGGCTTTTATGCGGAAAAGCTTCCTCAACTGTCTGGTGATCTTTGGTCTTCCTTTTATATTCAAGAGAAAAGCAACAAAAGACTAACTTGCATTATTGACTGGCAGATCCTTTAAAGATTATCAGGCAAGGAGCTGGCCTTGGGGCCCCTTCCCGCAAAGTGTCAGCAGTTGTAGGTCCTTTTTTTTGTCCTTAAGCCAGACAAATTTCCCCACAGAGGAGCCCTTCATTCTCTTCCCAGGGGAGTAAAATCCTGGCTTCTCTCATTCTAGAAGAAGGCTCAGTGGGTTTCACCATTCAGGATGGAGACTCTCAACCTCTTTGTTTTTAATAGAGGGCCTCAACTCTCTCCTGTGGTTGAGACTGGAGCCTCTCTTCTTCAATTCCTTCCAAAAATTAACTTTCCATTCATGCTATAGTGGGAGGATCAGGGAATTCTGGGGATGAGAAGTGTATGACACAGACTTTCAACCAATCCTTTACTTTCAGCCCTCCCCATTTGTGTCTTCCAAGGTATCCTGTACCTCTCATTCCCAGGCCTGGGTCCAACAGTCTAAGTCTATCTGTCATGTCACCCTGCAGACCCTTAAATGTCCTTTCTTCACTAAATCAGTTGCCACTGATTGTTGTTTTTTTTTTTTTTTTCTGAAGAAAACATCCATCACACCTCCAATTTTTTTTCTATTTTTTGTTTGTCCTTGGGATTTGTACCTTTTTAACCCTTTGTTATCATGTCTGTGAGATTAGCGAAGACACTGGAGATCAGCCCTCCATAACTGACTGCATACAAGTTCATGCACTTAGTAGCCATGAAGCAGGAAAGATGACAGACAGAACTGTGACCACACCTGGAATAGCAAGCTCTGCTTCCAATAGAAAGCAAAGTCCTGCACAAACAGGAGTCACTGAAATATGAGTGACTACTGCTGAAGTGTGCGTCAAACATGCACTTTCATGAAGTCATTTATTTGCTTCACCCCCGTGTGAAGGAGCACAGAAGGAACAAATTAGCCCCACTTCGCAGATAGAAAAATAAGGAGGAACTGAGATGAAAAGATCTGACCCAAATCCTAGCAAATCAAGGATTAAGCCAGGACCGGCATACATATATCCTGATACTTAGGCCTTTCCTACCAGCCAGCCCCGACAATGAATGCTCCTTTCAAACACTGTTGCTGTCACTAATCACATAAGCATTGCCTTAGCTCACACACAGCCCAAACACTGGCTAGATGTGCTGGAGACAGTGCAATAACCAAGCTCGCCTCATCACAAGCCTTCTATTTAGATATGCCTGATCCCACTTTAACTAAGTATTGAAGAAAATGGCACCAGATTTTCACCTTCGTATGCAAGTTTTCCCCCAGAACGTCTCTCAAGCAAGAACTGAAATAGCCTATGTAAGGGGGAAAAAGTCATTAGCCCTTTTCCAAAGTGAAGAGCAGGAATGCGGAAGGACGCCCACCCACAAGTAAGTGTCAGGCAGGGCCAGCACTCCCAGACTCCTGCCCGGAGCGCCACCCTCTGTCTTGTGGCTGACTTTGGTTTTCCCTTTCTCTCTCCTCCCTTTTGCTTTCCCCGCCCATTTCCTGTCCTCCTTTTCTCCCTGTGTGGAGGGGCCTCTCCCTACTCTTCTCTGAATGAAAAGGCTACTCTTCTCTCCTTGACATCTTGTTAGGCTGTGAATACACATCTATTGATTTGCATTTGGTGGAAGAAAAAGAGGGAAGGCGGGGAGGGGGTGAAGAAAAAGAAAAACACACAGTCACACATTCCCTAACTTCATGGCTTCCAGGAGGACATGTTCAAGCAAGGCGGAGAATTTTAACTGCATCTCCTTCTGCCTCCAACCCCTCCAGCCACTCCATCACACCAGCTACTGCCTAGGTTCCACCTAGCCCGGGCCCACGCTCGCTCGGAGGAGGTGGCTGGCACCGAGGGAGCCACTCAGGCTTCCTCCCTCCTGCATGTCTGTGCTCACAGATTGCTGACACTGACCCTTTGTGTGAGGCTACAGTCCAAAATAAGTTTTCTTGCAGGATAGGGGCTCAGGAGAGTCAGGAGACTTTGTTGTTAGCAAAGGCTGGCCCCAGAGACTAAGTGACAATGACTTCCATGGTTGTGCTAGCTGTTTGTGCCAATGTAAAAATAAAGCCCAAGTCATTAAGAAGCATACAACTAGGAATCATACACCTCGGTTACAACTGAGGTTCTAACGCTTTCTAGCCATGAGGTACTTAACTCCACATTCTTCTCTTCCCAGAGACCAACATTTAGTGCACAGGGAATGCACACTTTTTTTTTTAAGGATTTACACCCAAAATTAATTCCAAAGCTGCACAGAGATGCAGGACAAGCTTTTCCTTGTCCCTGGCATCTTTGGGGGCCGGGAGCTAATTCTCTATGTAGCAAAAGTGGCCAAGGAATCAAAGGGTTTATTACTTCAACTCAATATGCATCTTTCTATGGCAAAAACTAAGTCAGCATCTAATCTAGGACCATTTTAGCTTATTTTCAAGTAATATTTACTAAGCATTCAATCAGTAACCATTACTGAGCATCCATTGTGCGCAAAGAGAAGCTGAGTGTGCACAGAAGCTTGAGCCCTGCAGAAGGCAGAGATGGCCCTGATGCAGTGTTCCACGGTCCCTGGAGAAAGGAGGGAGGCAGCCAAATGACCAGCAAAAAAGCCTTTGGAAAGTAGGAATGCCCCTGCACGTGGCCATATCATCGTTGCGGTAGTGGATATGACATTCTCTAGGCACAGCCACATCTGCGTATTTCACGAAGAATGCACTATTAGCCAAAGATAGTGGTGCCATTTAAATGAAATCAGCCTGCACAGTATTTTAAATAATCCCGGTTTTGGTTCAGTCCACATGCGCACCTTTTAAAATGGAAACACTGGACCGAGCAGTAATGACAGAGAAAAAAACAAACTCCAGCTACATGTATTTGGACTGGAAATTGTGGAGAGCTCAAGATTGAAATGAATCTGATTGCCCTCCCAGACTTACCTTACACAAAACCGCAGCACTTATGTGAAGATGCCCTCCTGCAAAATTAGATTCTTCAAGCTTCACTAGGTACCTGTGTTTGACACACTTGCTTCTGTTTTCAATATTTCCTTGAAGGATGTAAGAGCCTCTGAGGCCTCCAAAGTTCAGTTAAACCAAAGACCTGCGAGTTAGGATGTTAACCTAAAGATGCCCCTGCTCAGAAGTCTATACTATTGAACTGCAATTCTCACGAGGGGAAGTGGTGAAGAAAGCCTTTTTGCTCTTTTGCTTTTTTGCTGAGGGGGGGCATGCTGGGTACTCCCTGGAATGAACAATGCTCTCCCAAATCTTTATCCTGCCTGGAACACAGATGCTGATACAAAATGAGAACTCAGAGCCTGAGGAGCAGGTTACCTGGACTTTGTTCTGGTAGAGCTTGGAGCAGGGTTTTGAATGGACTTGTGTTCCTTCTGTTACCTTTAACATAAACTACATGGGTCTCTCATTACTTCCACCACCAACAAAGATTTTGAATTTGCCCGTGGTCCTAGGAACCCTGGAGCAAGGAGGATGATTAAATCAACAAGTTTCAGTGACCCTCGGCCTCCTTTCCAGGCAACTCTCTTGTTGCCTGACATTAATATTTCCAGAGCCTACTTAACTGCATATATTTTTATCCAAAATGTGTGGCTAGAGAAAATAACTTCATTAATATGGTGGCAAAATACTAAAACAAAAGGTCAGGGGGTGACACACACACAAAATCGCCTCTGGACAGTGTCTCCGTGTCCCCAAGAAGCTACACTGAACACCTGAGACCCACTTAGGAACTCACCAACTGTGAGGACCATGCATCTCTTAGGAACTACCTGCCATGACAGCTCAGCCCTGAGACCCACTAAGACAAGAGTCCTGAAAGGTTCCAGCGTGCTCAGAGGAGAGTGTACCCATAGGTTCCACAGCACCATGGGCCTTTATTTACACAGCACCCTTTCCCCAGCACCAACCTAAAGCATTTTTTTTTTTTTTGAGATAGGGCCTCACTCTGTCACCCAGGCTGAAGTGCAGTGGTGCAATTATATCTTATAGCAGCCTCAAAACTCCTGGGTTCAAGCAATGCTCCTGCCTCAGTCTTCAAAAGCATTGGGATTACACGCGTGAGCCACCACATTCGACCCATGACAGCATTTTAAGGTGGAAATTAGCTCATGGAGCCTTTGCCAGGATCTGCAGGTGCCAAGGGTTCGGAGCTGAGGAATACAGAGCCAGAAATGGCAAACAGCGGTAGGTCCAGCCGTGCCAAAGGGCACACTTGTCACTACATCTTCCAGGCCAAGATTTTGGCCATGACATTGGAGCATCAAGAACTCATGGCTCCTGCACTCTGATCTCTGATAGCAAAGAGGAAATATTTCTTCCCTGACACTTTCATTAAGGCTTTAGTAACCTCCCCAACCACCTCCCATGGAAGGAGGCTCACAACCCACATTCACAGCTTTCAGTGTCTATCCTCTGGAACAGCATATGCCAGCAGTGGCAAACTGGCAGCCTGGGAGCTGGATTTGACCCCAGGACACGTATTCTATATCCAGCAGTATTTTTAGATAAAGTATGTTGCCAACAAGTCGTCATCCAGATTTTTAGGTTTTCTTGAAAAATCAGATGACTTAATCAAGCTGATTCTTCATTCCATCTAATAAAAATCGTCTGGAATTCTAGCTGCTCTTCTAGGCAAAGAAGCTCCTCTGTGCTACTGCAGCCCCAGGGCCCACTTCATTCATATATACAACCCACCCTCCCAGGCCTCCCCTGCACCTAGAGTGTAGTGTGTCTCTCTCTCTCTCTCTCTCTCTCTCTCTCTCTCTCTCTCTCTCTCTCTCATATTACTATAAGTTAAAACACTGAGAATCTGAGAATGCTTTTATTCTCACCCAAGAAAACATCACCAGAGACTTAGAAATTATCCAACTTCCTCCCCAAGTAGGAGAAATAGTGAAGAGATCATTTTGCAAGGGCTCAATTTTACCCATCTGGATATCTCAGTGTGTGGCACATGAAGCCTTCATTACATTTCTATAATCAGTTGGAGATAATATGGTCCTCCAGAGAGGGATGTTCATGTTCTCAGAAACCTGGAAGAGCAGGAGTAGGTGAAAAAGTCATGTGTGACCTTCACAGGCACCTACAAGTAGAGGGGCCAGAAAGTGTGGTTTTGGTTCCTCCTCCAAAGCAGGCCAGTGGGCATTAGTAATGGTGGGGGAGGGAGGAGGTCCCTAGGGAGGATCTGCATAATGACACTGAGACCATTTACCAAGACACAAATGCAAACTGAAAGAGTAATATTCTTCAGTGACATATTCAAGCAGGAGAGAAAACTGTTTTAAAAACAACCACCAAAACCTGCTTACCTCGTTTTGCATGATGCTCCCTCGCCCCCTTCTTAAGTACACACTTTGTGGAAGAGACTCACACATTTGCATGACAGTACAAAGAAAAGGCCCTTTACCCACCAGGATGGAGAGAAATGAGAGAGGGAGGGAGTGGGGGGTAGTGAAGCAGCTGGTTCCACAGAAGGAAAGGGAGCAGGACTGAGTACCGATTTTGGCTTTGGGAGAACAAGGCATTCGGAAGCAAGAAGCCATGTTGGTAAGTGAGGCCCCTCCTCCCCATAGAGGCCAGGGAACAGCCCGGAGCACAGGGGCTAATCTGTGTCAAGAGCCCTTGGTTTCCGTGGACCACAGACAGAAACATCAGCTGGTGATGACATACAGGGTATCGCCCGTTCTCTGATCTCAGAGTGAAAAGGGACCACAGCAGGCTCCTGACTCATGCAGGCCCCTCACCCCACCTTGTATGGCCTCCTTCCCCTGTGCAGCCTCTTCCCACAGTGCAGCCTCCTCCCCCTGTGCGGCCTCCTCCCCTGTGTGGCCTCCTCCTTCAGCATGGCCTCCTTCCCCTGTGCAGCCTCCTCCCCCTGTGCAGCCTCCTCCCCCTGTGCAGCCTCCTCCTTCAGCGTGGCCTCCTCCCCTGTGCAGCCTCCTTCCCCTGTGCAGCCTCCTCCCCCTGTGCAGCCTCCTCCTCCTGTGCGGCCTCCTCCCCTGTGCAGCCTCCTCCTTCAGCGTGGCCTCCTCCCGTGTGCAGCCTCCTTCCCCTGTGCAGCCTCCTCCCCCTGTGCAGCCTCCTCCCCCTGTGCAGCCTCCTCCTCCTGTGCGGCCTCCTCCCCTGTGCAGCCTCCTCCTTCAGCGTGGCCTCCTCCCCTGTGCAGCCTCCTCCCCCTGTGTGGCCTCCTCCCTGTGTGGCCTCCTCCCCCTGTGCAGCCTCCTCCTTCAGCGTGGCCTCCTCCCCCTGTGCAGCCTCCTCCTCCTGTGCGGCCTCCTCCCCTGTGCAGCCTCCTCCCCCTGTGCAGCCTCCTCCTTCAGTATGGCCTCCTCCCCCTGTGCAGCTTCCTCCCCCTGTGTGGCCTCCTCCCCCTGTGCAGCTTCCTCCTTCAGTATGGCCTCCTCCCCTTGTGTGGCTTCCTTCCCCTGTGTGGCCTTCTCCTTCAATGTGGCCTCCAGCCCCATGTGCGACCTCCTGCCCCAGTGTGGCCTCTGCCCCCAGTGCGGCCTCCTCCCCCTGTGTGGCCCCCTCCTTCAGTGTGGCCTCCTTCCCCTGTGTGGCCTCCTCGCCCTGTGTAGCCTCCTTCTTCATTGTGGCCTCCTCCCCCTGTGTAGCCTCCTCCCCCTGTACAGCCTCCTCCTTCAATATGGCCTCCTCCCCGTGTGGCCTCCTCCTTCAGTGTGGCCTCTTCCCCATGTGCGACCTCCTGCCCCAGTGCGGCCTCCTCCCCCTGTGTGGCCTCCTCCCCCTGTGCAGCCTCCTCCTTTAGCACAACCTCCTCCCCCTGTGTGGCCTCTGCCCCCAGTGTGGCCTCCTCCCCCTATGTGGCCTCCTGCCCCTGTGCGGCCTCCTCCTTCAGTGTGGCCTCCTACTTCAGTGTGGCCTCCTCCCCCTGTGCAGCCTCCTGCCCCAGTGTGGCCTTCTCCCCCTGTGCAGCCTCGTCCCTCTGTGCAGCCTCCTCCCCCTTGTGCAGCCTCCTCACCTTGTGCGGCCTCCTTCCCTTGTGCAGGCTCCTTACCTTGTGCCACTTTTCTGGAAAAAAGTGTCACAACCTGTGCTATCACCGCCCACTGGGGACACTAGTAAACAGGAAACCTGTGTTGGCTTGAGGATCGTCACTTTTGTTTCTTGCATCTGTGGCCAGGGCCTTCTCAGCACTGCTGTTCTTCACTGCAGCCTCAGTCTCCAGGAGGAATTCAGTAAATATGTATGGAATGAACGTAGAGATGCGTGAATGAATGAATGAACATCAAGGGTCCCTACAAAATCACTTTTGTGGTGTAGGCCACAAGCCATACTCCAACAGGCAGAATTCAGAGAGTGAAGAGACTTTGAGATCAGATAGGCCTGAGTCAGAATCCTGCTGTGTAACCTTAGACAGCTGCCCTCCCCTCTCTGAGTCCCTATTTCCTTACCTGATGAATTAAGATAAGAATGTTCATCCCACAGTGCTGCCATGAGGAGTAAGTGAGAGAAAGTCTGTAAAGCACTCAGCACAGCGCTTAGGAGCTCAATAAAGGGCCACTGTTGTCATTACTGGTCCAGCAACAACCTGACGTATTGATTTCTAGCAAGTCTTATTCTCAAGCGGATCCCGAAGATTCCCACATGGAAGTTTCCTGGATCGCATGCCAGGTGGAAAGGTCTCTACACCCCCACACTGACCTCCAGCTGACTGCTTCTCAGGGTGTCACTTGAGGAAACTCTTCGTCAAACTCTTTCTGCAGCCTGCCCTACCCATACGAAGTTTCCTTCCAGAGTGTGGGCTTGCATGCAACCACACGGAGGGCTCTTCCAACTCCCTGGCCCTGCCGTTAGACTCCTTCCTCCTTGATGTCTTGATTTGCCTTGTCCGCCCGCTCCTGCCTGCATCCCTGCACACCCATGCTCTCTACTCCCTGCGGCATGCCCCAGGGCACTTTATTCTTGGCTCTGGTTCTTGGTCTGGTTTTTCTCAGCCCTCTTCCAGTCTTTAAAAAATCAGAAATATGGAAACTTACATTTGACACAGTCACAAATAACTTTTGTCTCAGTCAAGTGACGAAGACACCCAACATATATGCAATAGGGGGTTAGGCCATTTCACAGATAACTAAGATTTTGATTTCTTCTCTTTCCAGCTCTCAGATAAACAGTCCAGCAATGGATGCTTCCGAGGCAGCAGAGCCTCATGGCAAGCATCCAAACAGACCTGGGTTTGGGATCTGGCTCTGACACTCAGTCCCTCCAGGCAGCACGCCTCGGTGTCTGCTATCTTCAGTCTCCTCATCGATACAATGGGGATAAAGAAAGTAACTACCTCCTCATGCCAGTGTGAGAAAGGATGGCAACATGTGTTAAGAAGCACTGAGAACAGTGTCTGGCATGCAAAAGTATTCAGTTGATGTTAGGCATCACCGTCATCATAAGAGGAGCCAATGGCATTTATTGAGAATATTCTGGTTAGACTCTATACTAGACACTTGAGATACAAGACGGTAACACCAGACAAGGCCTCTGGACCCTGAATTTAAAGTCCACAGGGAAGTAGAGACTTTTGTTAAATAATCATGCACATAGACAGGAATTATCACCGTGACGATTACCCGAAATGGAGGGGCACTGTATTAAGAGAGGAGAAGCGGGAGGCTGAACCTGGTTTAACAGGCCAGGGAAGCCTTCCCTCAGGAGGAGAGATTTCATCTGAGATCTCAGGGATGAATGAAAGTAATTCAGGTTAGGGGGATGCACGTGCGGGAAATGACCAGGGCCCATTTAAGGAACTGAAAGAAGGCCCAGGTGGCCAGGGCTGGTGAGGGTGGAGGAGCAGAGGAAGGCCAAATCCTAGGGAGACCACAGGCTCTGCTGAGCAGCGTTGTCTCCATCCTGACACTGAGGGAGAACTAGTGATGATTTATAAGTTTGGGGAAGGAAGTGTGCATGAGCATTCTGGGTGCAATGTGTAGAATGAATTGGAAAGGAGCAGACATGGATGGGGCGGGGACAGTCGGAAGTGCACTGCATCAGTCCAGGCATGAACAAGAGCAGCTTTGTCTAAAGCACTAGATGATGGCAATGGGCACGGACACCCACTACCGGACTGTAGAGTTTTAGGAAACACAAGCCACAGAATTTGGTGGTGATGGGAACAGGGGCAGCAGAATTTCCAAATCTGACCCCTCGATTCCTGGTTCTGTTTCTGCACAGATGCACGGACATAGTGTCAATGAATGAGAAAGGACACAGTGAACTCAGACCTGGCTGAAGAGTGCAGTCATGGGTTCTGCTGGGGAAGCAGCATCACAACACATCACAACAGCTCATTGCTCTAGAGTCAGACTGCCTGGCCTCCAATCCTGTATCCATTCCCGACAGTCGGTGTGACCTGAAACTCTCCAAGCTTAATTTCCTTAACAATTCCCACCCCCCAACCTCAGAGTTGACATGAAGATCTGAGACCATGGACACGAAGCCATGAGCATAGTGCCTGGCACACAGTAATAACTCAACACAGGCCAAGACTTTGTAAGCTGCGTGGCATAAGCAGCAATTGAAGGAGTCGTCACTCCCTCTCTCCAAGTTTCTTCAGGTTCAGGTAATAGAGACTTTTGCCTTCTCAGGAAAAATATTAAGAAGCTGCTGTCTGTCCTTTGCTTCCCACTGCTCTTCCCCCACAGGAATAAGATTGATTTCTCTAATTAGAGAGATGACAAAGGTCTGACATGTCTGAGTCCTTGTTTCTCCACTAGGCAGGGTTAATGTATTACCAGGCTCTGCTCACACACATTTATTCGTTTTGTGTCTCCCGCCCTGCTCCCTCCATCTGGCCCTCTCTCCCTCTTTCTCGCTGCCTTTCTCCCCTTAAAAGGGCTATCTGGAGTTCATGTGTGTCCTCCTTTCTGTTCCTTCCTCCTCTGGGTGATAAGCCACTGGCAGGCCCTGGCTCTGCAGAGGGAGGCCTACAGCTACAGTTGACAAATTATTTTGCCTGTGGCCAAATGAATGAGATCAACTGGGAGAAAGGAGGCTGTTAAATGAGAAGCTCATTTTGGACTTGAATCAAGACTGCATTCTCCAGTTCAGCCTTACTAGTAATAAGATTGATAGTTTGATGCCTGTTTGACTTGGTGTTTCTCAGCTCTTTCAGAAGCCGGTGGGGAGAGAGAAATGATGAATTGTACTCTTTAAGCTCTACAGTAATTGATGCCAGCCACAATGTCAAAAAATGAGATGATCTTGGGAAACATATACAGGAATAAGGAAACCTAGAACTGAGTCTTATCTTTTCAATGGCTTGACTAAAAAATACTTGCCAGGAATGAGCAGAGAGAAAAGTGGGAGCAGATTAAGAGAGGGTCATGTTACAAAATCCAGGAGAAGAGAGGGCCTTCATGAGGAGGGAGTGATGGACAATGCAGCAACTGGCTACGATGAGTGTTAACTTTCTTCTGTTACCTGATTGTCAGGGAGGGCATTAATGGCCTTAGAAAAAACTCCTTTGTAGCAGTAAGGGAGTAGAAGCTAACCTCCTGTGGGTTGGAAGATGAGTAGAAGGTGAAGAAAGGAGAGAGGACAAACACATAGACAACTTTCCAAGAATACCGGCTATGAAGAGACAGAGAAAGACTGGGGGGCCACTTACCACTCCAGACCCCAACCCAGATCTGTCTCAAGCAGACCCCACACCTCCATTTCACAGCTGGACTGGAAAAGCCGAGCTCTATGAATGTAACCCTCCAACACTCTCTGTTAATCATCGGTTCATAGGAGCGATGCTCATGGGCGTTTTTTTTTCTTTCTGAACTGTGTTGAAACACAATCTCTTACATAAATGGACATCCCAATTCAATTGATTCATTTGACCACGAGGTTCATCCCAATGAACCCTCTACCAGAAAATATGAATTGGGCTGTTGTATCTTCCTGGCAAGAATCATCCATTTATTTTCAGGGATATTATAGTGCCTCGTATATTTCCTGTTACAGTAGGTGTCACAAGGTATAGTAACTATTTCTGCACCTCTCCATAACCATCCCCAGCTGGTAAACTTGTCCTTGTCTCACACAGTAGGAACTCAATAGTGATTGTAAAATAGCTGAGAAACGGGCAGCATCCTTCCCCGGCTTGTGGTGAAATGTTGACAAAATTGGATTTCTGTGTTGGACACAGTTCAGAAGATACTAAGGAGACATGATGACTAAATGCAATATGGTATCCTGGATGGGATCCTGGAATGAAAGAACATTCGTGGGAAAACTAGTGAATGCCCTCAGCACACCCAGCCTAAGGCACGAAACCCTATTTCCTTGTACCCCAGGTTCTTGTTTTTTAGAGAAAGTTGAAAGATATGTAAACCTTTCCTCCGAAGCAGCTCAGCATGAGGACATGGGAAGATGAAAGGATATCCTGGACATTCTTGTGTATCCTCATCAACAAATTAACCTTCCTAGAAAAAAAAAATTAAGAAAAAGGAGTCATCCTTAGTCTTTCGGTCTAGTTTTCCTTCACATGGGTTTGTTTAAATGTAGGAGGAGTTCTGCCTGCAGAATGGATAAGGAACTTGGTAATAACTTATTTCACTTAGTTCCATCTTTAGTATTTTGTCCTCATGGTTGAAGACTTCTTTGGAGAGCATATTTGACAATCATATGACAGTGAAGATTGAATGAAATACCTCTAGATTTGTCTTTTTCTTATAAAGCAATATGGATCTCCCATACCCTTATGCAAATGAAAGTTGCCCAGGAAACTATCTGTATCTACAAAAGAAGAGATGATAGTGACGTCTGCAGCAAGGAGCACACAAGTCAACCAGAGAAGAAGTCAGGATCAGGATACATCTTTAGGTGCTGTTAAAAAGTCGTAAAATGATCTGTGAAATTCTGAGTCTGAATGTGGGATTATATTCAAAAGCGAGTTGAAATAGCTTGCCCTAGCAAAACAATGACAACAATGGCAACAGCAACAACGTTTACTACTTGCTAACCACTTACTATGTGCTGGGCACTGTGCAAAGCACAGCGTGTTCCATCATTCCATCCTCACAACCCTGTTGGATGGTCCTACTCTTATCCTCATTTCACAGGCAAAGACGTACAGGATTAAAAACGTTGAGCAACTTTCCCAAGGCCATTACTGCACTAGGAATAGACATAGCCAGGATTCTCCTGGGTCCGGGGCCCATGCTCTTAGCCACTTCCTCATAGCACATCTGCATCGGTAAGCCTGGGCACATATCATGCAAGTTCTGGAGTGTCCACTGTCACAAGGGCAAGAGGCAAAGAGTGTGTTCTGTATAAGGGTCACAAGTCTTCTCTGTGCACATCGTGGAAGAGGTACCATAAGTTCTGTCTTTCTGCAGCTGCCCCTGGCTGTCCAGAGCTCCCTGGGATGCCTCATCCTCAGAAATTTCCCTGCGAAGAATCCTTTTACCCACCTGTACCTTGACTAACTCCCATAGATTCTGAACCATTCTGGTTTAACATATATTTACTGGACCAGGCCACGCCACCCCAAATCCTTTTTTTGGAAAAAGCTATACATGGAGAATAAATTATCTAATAATGTATCTCAGGCAACATGGTGAGTAGTGGGGATGTGAAGATGATAAGACCTGCTCTTTGATAGCAAATTGATACACTAATTAACATTAATAGCTTAATTGGTAATAACGGCTTAAGGCATTACTGCATCTACTTAAGATGCTATCGTTTTCATGAGACCTCTCAATGCTCAAGCTCAAACGAATAACCCACAGTGTGAATTTCAGCACCCTCAGCAAGTTGGGAGTGGAGTGGACAGCAGGCCAAGAAAAGGGCCACTTCCCAATTCCACAGTCTTAAAAGCATGAAGGAGGGAAGGAGTCAGGGGAGCCTCCTCAGCTCCTCAGACTTTCCTTGTCCGTGGTCTTTCTGTGTAAGAATTCAGAGGGTGCTGAGCGCCACAGCCAGTCCTAGGCTTGTGATAAACCACATACACCTGGAACAGCTCACTCAGAAACATGAGTACATGAGGACTCCGATCCGGCAGTGCTCCACACATTAACATGCATACAAACCCCCAAGGGATCTGGCCAAAATGCGGATCCTGGCTCTGTGGATCTTAGGCAAGGCCTGAGCATCTGCATCCCCAGGGAGCTTCCAGCTGATACTGATGCCGCTGGTTCTGGGAACCACACTCTGAGAAGCAAGGCTCTGGAATGCCTTCCACCATGCCATCATTTCCCAGTGGCCACCCAGGTCTTACTTGGATACCTCCATTGATGGGGAACTTACTGCCCTTTAGGATGGCTTTTTCTTCAGTGCTGTTTCTTCCGTGAAGCTGAAATTTGTTATCCTCAATCACTGAATGTTGTTCTGCCCAAAGATCAATGATTTTCTCACATTTAGATTCCCAATTATCTGTGATAGGCAGGAGCTATGGAAATAAATTCCCTTCAAAGGGTAAATGCAGATACCTACTGATTATTTCAGCCCAGGTGGGGCTGATTCTGCCGCCTTCGACACAGTAAAAGCTGAGTTACAGAGCACTTCACATACCAGGCAGCAGAGCCGGGAACCAGCATCCATGGCCCATTATGACTGTATTGTTCATGAACAATTTAGGGATCTGCAAACTTACTGCTAAACATTATGGTTTCTTCAGTGAGATAAGAAGGGCAATTAGGATGAAAAAAGAAACAAATGCAACTGCTTGGGGAATGTGGATTGTGTATAAGTGTGTATATGAACCCAGATCGATCTGAGCAATGAGCCATTTGGTTTGGTCTGAGGAGATCTGAGCAGCAGAGACCGTGTGGCTGTCTCTTAGTATAACCTTGCTTCTAGACAAGGCTTGAGGGTGTCCTAATTTCACACTTGAACTCCAGTGTCCCAAGGACCTTTTGAGAACTGGTGACATCTCAGACTGTTTCGGCTTTGGATGAAGGTGGAGAACAAGCAATGGGTCAAAACAAAGCAGGCACCATCTGCCAATTCTCCATGTTGCACAGCCCATGCCTGTGTGGGAGCAGCCGGTGTCACGGCTACTGCTGAAGATAAAGAGAAGAACATGTATCTGGAGGTTTGAAATTTTAACAACAGCTTCTTGGTTGTTAATGAATAATAGACACCTGGGAGGGGTCAATGCCACCCACAAAACTGGGGCCTAATATCTGATAGGCTGTCAACGTCCAAGCCATAGCTTGAGTTTCCAAGTCAAACTTCCTTTTCCCCAGATAAAGGAAACACTGGGAAGGAAACAATGGTTAGATTAGCAAGGCCGGCCTCGAGGCTACCGGGAACGAATAGCGCTAGCGCGATAACTCCGCTTTCCTTGGAAAGAAAAGCTTGGAGAGGACAGAGAAGGGGAACCACCCCGCCCCCTCCTCCCAGCACACACTCTCGTCACCACCCTGCACGAAATGGGAACATTTTCAGGCCCCAGTTATGATTTAAATGAAGCACACCGCACCAATATTGTGTGGTGCCATCTGTTATTTTATATTTCACGAAATTTGGCCAGTTTTGAAATATTATAATTATATCTCCTACATTACGTATGCAACGCAGACATTTTCTGAAACATAAATACAGTGTGTGGGAAATGTGACTGTATTTATAGCCCTTGGCTGGTGGGCACCATCAACGGCCTGGCGAGGGCAGCCTGCCAGCACTGCAGGGCCCGGGGGGAAGCACGCCTCCCCCACCCCACCCCATCCTCCAGGGAGCTCCAGCACTCAGAGTGGCCCATGCCCTTTCATCTTCTAAGGAAGGTAACATCAACTGTACTTTAAAATTTTCAAGATCCAGTGTGTCCCCTCCCTCAGACTGCAGCAGCCAGGCACAGGCATATTCAGTGATGGCCAGAGTCAGGGAATGGGCACAGAAGGCGCACGGCCCTGAAGGCAGCTCCCCCACCCCACATGCTCCTTGCAGCAGCGTTACTCAGGAGAGAGAATGGGGCAGGAGGTGGCAGGGTCCTCAGAGTCAAAGCACAGGGAGGTTGGAGAGAGCTGCTGTAGGAGGAGATCTCTGTCCAGGGACAGCCATGCCTCTTAGCCTTAGGCCTTCACTTGCTTCTGCAAAGGAGAATTTAGAGCGTTGTAGCTCATTTTGGCTTAGGTGTCAGGAGGTACAGAAAAAAACGGTCAGACCTAGTCCAAGTCTCCAGTGGGCGTGCTCTGGGATTTCTATATTCAAAGAAAAATCAGTGTTGTTTATTTGAGTGTTTTTTTTTCCCCGAATACTGCCAAGTGCTATGCAATAGCAAAGAGAAGAAAGCAAATGACAAGTATTTGAGTTTCCCTTTCTGTCTCCAAAACAAAGGCATTCTTCAGTGATGAGAGAGCTATTTGATAACCGTGGACGTTTCTGCCACAGTCTTCACGTGCATCTTTAGGAGTTCACACAAACCTTTCTCTCAGAACACTAACTGCTGTTGCTCTGGACAGTCCAGCCAGAGAAGAGCATCGTTGGCACTGCAACTTTTTTTTTAATTATTCGAGTTAGTTGCTAACATTTAAAACTCAAAGATTTCACATAAAACCCAGTTTCTCTTGAAAAACCATGAGAGCTGGCATCATTGGATGTGTATTTCTGCCCAGCAACAATCTGCCTGCTCTGGGAAGCAGCTGCCCCCTTTGGAAGAAAGCGCTCCTCAGTTTCCCCTTTCTCCAGCCTCCTCTGCAGCCCTGCACGCACTCATGTCACCTGACTGGCACTTGTGTTTATGACTTCCTAAAGTAGGTAATTGACTCTTATGAAGAAATATAGACTAGAAAATTAAGGTAACTGTTTTTTTCTTGAGGTAGGGTTGGTGAAGCATTAAAATATGTCCATAAGCCATCTAACAGGAAATTAAAGTGAAATTTACAAGCCTCTCTGTTTTTTTTTCCTTAGAAAAAACTAAAATGAAAAGATAAATCTCCACCACAGCTCTTATTTTAGTGTATTTTAGTTATCTGTTTATTTACCATTCTTCACCAACAGACTGTGAGCAATTTTAGAGCAGCAGCCAATTTAATTTTCCTTTGCACACCAGTGCCTACAAGAGTGTTTGACACATTGTAGACCAAATCTAGGGAAGAAAGGAAAGAAGGGTTAACAAAGCCAAAGTTACTCAGTCTGGCTTTGAGCTGGAATGAATCTCAATGAGTTTTTATCCTCAGTCAGAGAGCCTAGTTCAGAATTCTCCCAATTCTGTAAGGTCCCAAATACAATGGGATACACATCTAGACCAACTCCTAAATGAGACAAGCCTCTCTCTCTCTCTCCACCAGTGAGCTGTGCCCACCCCTAATGGTAGCTGAGGAAGGCATGAGAACACTAAGCCCTGGGCCTCTGGTGAGAGGCAGACACATAGCTCAGGGGCGGTTGCTTCTCCAGCATGAGCATGACGGTTAAACACCAGCAAATCACTGTCCATGATGATCCAACTGTGTCTTCAGTGACAGGAAACAGAGCTTGGAATGAAATATCTCTGACTCCAAGAAGACAGAGAACCATTTGTGAGTAATTTGGTGGGATACTGGATGCTGCTGCTTTCAGGGTGAAGGAACCCCAGAGAGGCCATAAGAAAAGGAAGATCCTTGGGAAGTCTCTGGGCTCCCATGAAACTCCCATTAGAATCCAACAAGCAGTAAGAGAGCACACTGAAAGCCAAAAATTCCTTGAGTCTTATACCCTACCCACCTCAGATACAGCCATGGGAGGAAAACTTGTCAAATTAAATATAATCTATAAAAAAAATCCTGTTACTGAGTATACTGATATATTTTAGCGCTACACAAACTCTGCATCAAGAAAAAAATTACCTCCAGTCTCTTAGATATTTTCCTACTGGAGTTTTCAACAAATGGTATAAGTTTGGTGATCCTCGTGTCCTAACACTGTACGCAGGCACATGTGATGCTAACATCAGAGAGAAAGCAAACACACACACACTCTCTCTCCATCTCCCTTAAAGTTTCCACTCAGTCCTCAGTACCTCTCATCTGGATTTCTGTAGTCTGCAGGCTGACGAGGATTCCTGACTCCAATCTTTCCCCTCTTCAAAGATATTTCCATCCTGCCTCTAGATTGGACCTTTTCAAAACCTCAATCATCACTCTTCCACTTGAAACTATTTCCTGTTTCCCAGGGCCTGACATTCCTATGGATCCACCAAAATATTTATGCCTAGTATGTGCCAGGCATCAAGGGTAAAAGCTCAAATTCTTTAGCCTGGCACATAAAGCCTTCTGTTGTCTGCCCCTTGTCTACCTCCTCAGCAGTATCTCTCAATTCTCCCCTGCTTTGCTTTCTACACTCCTGCCCAAACCAGACTACTTGGGCATTCCATGGTCACCGTTGCCTCTGAGTCTCCACACATGCTGTCCCTGTAGCTAGAATGGGCTTAACCTCTTTGTCTACCTCTTCCTACTTATCAGTCAAGGCCTCTTATTCTTAGGCCTCTTGACTATTGCCCTTTGGGCTCGTATGTGGCAAATGATGTCAACTCATCTCGAACTTTTTCTGCACCTAAAGCCAAGTCAATACCTAACTCTGGCCTCCCGGTGAGCTTGCCTACCATAAGAAGAGCAACTCCATCACAGGCTTAGAGTGATCAATGAACAAGAGGACAGACTCATTTTTTAAGACAGCCTTCTATTTTTCATAAACCATTGAGCTGACCCAATCAAAGAAACTGTCACGCCTATCACTTCCCATCCCCCACCAATCACCCCAACGTCCAAACACCAAACTCTGACCTCCTCACTCAGCTGAACTAAGAAATGCTTCCTGGTCTTAGCTCGATTGTTCCCTGACACTCTAAAGTAGCAGGCACCCCAACCTTATTACTGTTCAGTCACTCATCCTGTTTTGCTTTCCTCCACAGTGTTTATGAGTTCCAGACATAATATATATATAATATATTTGTCTATGGTCTGCCTTCCCCACTAAGATAAAAGTAAATACTTTGTCTTATTTACTGTGCAGCTGCAGTGTCTAGAACTGGGCTTGGCACATAGTAGATGCTCAATGAATATCTGTTGAATGAATGAATATAAGCACAAGGAGAGGCACTGACAATTTGATGAAGCCACTATGAACAGGAACTGTCTCTGCTGACATGTGTAGTATTCTTGCTATAATAAGAATCCTTTTCTGTAAGAATAATAAATCTACTGTCATTTAACTGATTTAAATGACAGGTGGTTAGGATGGTTATTTATGCTTTCAGCACAAACTTCTTAGGAAGGAGAAAACCACAGAGTCTACAGAGAAGAGATTCAGTCAAAAGCTAAGACCTAAGTCAGTCCACAAACCTCATTTTAGGGAGCCTCTCATGATACCCCTCCTGGAAGATCCCCTCTCTTTGTGGAAACACCTCTAGAAATCACATGGTAAGTTCACTGTGCTTTCTCTCACCTTCCCTCCCAATGGCCGAAAGTTGCTTGAGGGAGTGTGGCTCTCTTCTCCATACTGTCAGCCAGCACCTTGCACAGGTATCTGATGCATAGTAAGTGCACGGGAGTGAAATAGCATCAAGTGTGAGCCCAGGATGGCACAATAGAAAGAACACCAGACTCAGAAGACTTGCATTTATGTCTTCTATGTCATTTTTTTTTTTTGAGATGTAGTCTCGCTCTGTTGCCTAGGCTGGAGTGCAGTGGCACGATCTTGGCTTACTGCAACCTCTGTCTCCTAGGTTCAAGCAATTATCCTACCTCAGCCTCCCAAGTAGCTGGGATTACAGGCACCAACAACCATGCCCAGCCAATTTTTGCATTTTTAGTAGAGACAGAATTTCGCCATGCTGGCCAGGCTGGTCTCGAACCCCTGACCTCAGGTGATCCAATGCCTCGGCCTCCCAAAGTTCTGGGATTAGAGGCATGAGCCACCGTGCCTGGCCAGAACTTCGGTTCTTAAAAGAGTGAAACAAAACATAGAGACAGTTGAGATCAGTCATGGAGGGAGCAATTCAATGAAGACTCTAGGGAATCAGTCTCAAGTGCCCAGGGCTGGCAACCCTGCAGAGCTCTATGGTGGGCACAGGCCATAGTGCTGCTGGTGGTGGGACCTACTGTGGTCTCAGCTTCCTCATCCCCCTTTGTCCGTGCCTTGTGCTTCAGCCTTCCTGTTGATTCTGTGTGCTGCCGGATATCCTTACCATAAACCCCTATATTGCTTAGACTAGTGAGAGTTGATTTCTATTGCTTGGAACCAAGAACTCTGACCAGTACATTCAACTTGTCTGGATCTCAATTTACCCTAGTGACACACAGGGACAACAACTCTCACTTCGTGATTTGATGTGAGAGTTAAATGATGTGTTCACAGAAGGCCCTACAACAATGGGAAACACATAGTAAACATTCAGTAAGTATGAATGTCCTTCCCACATCCTTAAAAATGCTCTGAAACCAACCAACGAGAGGAAATGGGTTACAGCAGTTGCATCGATGCAGGTTTTCCCAGAGGGGTTTTGCTTGAATGTTTGCGAGAAGTAAAACAATGTTTACCAATCTGCCGGCAGTACAGGCTTAATTAGTGTTTGCAAACTGCTTGACATTCTTGAAAGAAAGGTGCCACCCAAGCACAGGCCATTATCATAATCAACTGGTGGCACACATGCCTGAAACGAGAAATGCAAAACTACCAAGGATGGGAATGGACTGCATGGAGGCCCAGGCGACAGTAATGTCTCTTTTGTAAAAAAAAAAAAAAAAAAAAAAAAAAAAAAAAAGCCATATTGACATATCATTCACTTACCATATGATACACTTTATTAAAGGGTACAATTCAAGGGTGTATAGTGTGTTCACAGGTAAGTAGGTAAGTGCAAGCACTGCTGTCAACTTTAGAACATTTTCGTCACCACAAAGAGAAACCCTATACCTTTTAGCTATAACCTCTGTACTTCCCAATCTCCCCATCCCTAAGCAACCACTAATCTACTTTCCATCTCAATACATTAGGCATAGTTTTAAATAGTTCATATGGAATCATAATGGAATCATGTAATATGGTCTGTTGTGATTGGCTTCTTTCCCTTAGTTGATGTTTTTGAGGTTCATCCGTGTTTCAGTATGTATCAGTATATCATATCTTTCTGTGGCCAAATAGTATCCCACCCCATACCATGCACTGTATGAATACACCACACTGTGTGTATCCGTCCATCCGTTGTTGGACATTTGGATGATCTCCACCTCTTTGCTATTTGCATGGCTTTGCTCCTGCCATGAACGTTCATATACAAGTTTTTGTTTCAACACATGTTTTTAATTCTTTTGGGTGCATACGTAGGCGTGGAATTGCTGGGTCTTATGGTACGTTTAACTTTTTAAGGAACCACCAGACTGTTTTCTGCAGCAGCGGCGCCAGGTTACAGTCCCACCAGACTAATGTCTTTTTGATCTCATAAAGATGTTGGCACTTCCTGATATTTATAAATATTCATGCTAGAACCCTTTAAGACATTTTTTTCATTATTCAGAAAATTGTACACAGTTTCTGCCTTCACACGTCTGCCCACTATGTCCTTTGCTGCCAAAGCGTATCCAGCTTCTCTCCAGTCAGACGTGCACCACACCTCTGTTGCTGTGTTGGATTTCAAAATTCAGCAGTCCTACCCCCTTCCACTCTAAGCCGTGCTGCAGACTTTATGACTAACTAGCTACGTAGCCATCTCTAAGTCAGCCAGCGTTACACCCCGTCTCACACTCTTCTCATATATTTAGTTTCATTGCTCTGAGAGTAAATGAAGAAATAATAATCACGTGTTTTCTCTTATTTGGTCCTAACTAGTTCGTATGTGTACAAACCCCTGATCTGAAGCTTAACTTTTTAACATGTATGATGGAAAAAAAATCATAATTTTGCACATTCACCACTTGAAAAGATAGTATGCTTAATCATAAACAAATAATTACAGGAATGTTTCATCTGACCATGGAGTGTTTTTAAATGTATCGAACTTGCAATCTTTCACAGGGCAGGATGCCCCAGGTCCCCCTAAAGCCTTCCAGCTTCCCACTTTCTTTCACCCAGCCTAATTCACACATTTATATTTCCTGCCTGAATTCTGTGGGCTTTTGAATTTGCATTCCCCTGTATAAGGGATCCCTGAGAAAGGGTTTTAGTTTCTTTTATCTTTTTCTTTCTTTTTTTTTTTTTTTTTTTTTTGAGGCAGAGTCTCACTCTGTAGCCCAGGCTGGAGTACAATGGTGCAATCTCAACTCACTGAAACCTCCACCTCCCGAGTTCAAGCGATTCTCATGCCTCAGCCTCCCGAGTAGCTGGGATGACAGACATGCACCTGGCCAATTTTTGTATTTTTAGTAGAGATGGGGTTTCACCATGTCGGCCAGGCTGGTCTCAAACTCCCAACCTCAGGTGATCTGCCCACCTCGGCCTCCCAAAGTGTGGGGATTACAGGCATGAGCCACCACTCCCTGCCTGGGTTTCAGTTCTTATGAGAACATAATATATCCAAGCCTCACCATACTTGAAGCACATTTTACATGTTAATTACAAATTCTCTGTTAGGGAAATGGTGAGTGAATTGGCAACGCCACATGGCATCCAGTCGGACATACATTTAAGGCTTTAGTTTCATGTCCACTAGCTGCGTGATCTCAGGAAGTTACTTAACAGCTTTGGCTATGAGTTTCCTCATCTGTAATACTGGGATAATAATAGTGACCCCACTGGGTTCTTATGATGATGAACTGAAATAGAGATCAGTAAAAACTATTACTATTTTTAGTACCTTTCTTTCTCTAAGGATCTTTATTTGCTGGGACACAGCCATGTATGTTTGAATGCAATGTGTTTTCATTTGGGAAAAATTTGAAGTAACAGCACTGAATCCTTGCTAAACAATAAAATACTCCTCCTCTCGTGTCATGACACTTCGCCTCTCCATGTGTCTGTTTCTCTTCCATTGTAATACCTGACATATATTCACATTGCACCGAATGTCAGTGGTCGGCTGACTGGAATGGTGGTGAGAGGAAAGAGAAGCTAGAGGTGCCAGTGGTATCCTTGACATGCCCAGCAGCGGCCCCTCCTGTGTCAACCCAGGCACTGGGACGGGCCCTGAGTGCTCCTGCCAATTGCATCCGTTGAGATGAAAATTATTATTTATTTCAGGGCCCGGTATCAACACTTCTCTGCAAATAAGAGACAGGCTGATCCTCTGCACCAGCAGGTAGCAATCCCCAACAGCTCCTGCTTCAATTGGACTTTTTTTCCCCACTGCATTTCTTTCTTTAAAATGTATTTTAGAATTCAGATGTTCCATTAATTCATACTGGTCTTTACCACAACTGGTAGATGTTTGGATATTTTCATTATTTAAAAGTGCTTGGAATGTTTTTAAATCATAGAATTGAAATGCAATATTCTCAACTAGTAGTAAGAGTAAAAAAATAATGATAATTATGTTTATTTTGCCTAAGATCTGTAACAGGTTTGTGACAGGAGAACTCACATTGCTTGTCTTAATATCGAAAGCAGGCTCCCCCTACCCCCACCTTCAGGGTTCTCTCCCCAGTGCAGAGCACAGGACTTCATCACCCCTTGGGGCAGACGGGCTTCTTGGCACAGCTAGTGAGGAGGAATAGCTGAAAGAAGTTAAAGACATCATTTCCTACCAGGGAAAATGCTAAGCTTCCATTTCCTGAGATAAATCATGTCTATCTAAGTGTAGAAATTCATTTTTTGACAGATAGATGATGAGCCTTGAGACATGCAAACCACACACATAACAGGTGGACTCCAGTTGCTTCACTGAGTTTGAATTCTGTGAAAGAGCTGAGGAAACCTTGGCTCAAGTGTGGTTCTACCTTCTCCATGAAGCATCCAGAAGGAGACAGGCTCCCCAAAGGAGGAAATAAAATCAGACTAATATCGCATGATGTGAGTCTTCTGGTTTGGTTTTTCTCCTTCCAATGTCTTATTTTGTAATGGTTGACCATCCAGGTTAAATTTCCTAAAAGCTTATTTTCATACATCTACTTCTTCACTAAAACACCTTCAGCGGCCCTCCAGTAACGCTTTAGTCTTACTTTAAAGGCACTCCGGAATCAATCCACAATTTACGTCCCTGACTTATCCCATTATACTCCGATCCGAGCTCTCTGGCATCTGGTCAGGCCACAGTAGCACCCATTTTTATTCATCACGTTGTGTCTGGAAAGTGACCTGGTCTCCTACTTGCTTTCCTTCCAGCTCGGCCCTTGCACCGTCTTCTCTGACTGCCCAGCCACCTACCCTCCATGGTCTCCAGCATCTCTGAAAGTATTATCTGTGCTTATCACTTACAGCCTGAAATATGCCATGTTTTTTCAAGAAGACCATAAGAACCTTAAAAATGAGGTCTACGTTGCCCTATTTTTATTCTTAGCAACTAATATGGTTCCCTGTGCTTTGGAGAAAAAAATGCCAGTAATGTTTTTGAGAAGAATACCAACGCAGAAAATTGCTTTCCTGAGGTTCTATAGAGTCTTCTCCTTGTAGAGACCAGATAATTCCCTACCTTCTCCCTAAGCCTCTTCTCAGCTGCTACAGCCAAGAAGCTTCTGGCCTTCTCTCCCTTCCCCACAGAAAGGATGTGGGTTGGAGATGGATTCAAACAAAGGAATCAATAGCTGTCATGTAGATGATGCTCCCAGGAGATGGGGCCATGCCAAATCCAGTTTTCCTTTCAATGCACTTGGCTCGAGCCACACACCTGGTGGTCACGGCCCATCCGAGAAGCAACCAATTCAAGCAGAGGACCGGCTTTCTGAGAGGGGAACTTGGCAAACCCAAGTTGCCACGGTAACCAGGCTCCCAGCTTCAACATTTTCTACTTATGTTTTGTAGTTTAGGGTTTATGTTTTGAAGAGTTTTTTTTTCCTCTTCCTTTTAACCTCCAAATCTGTGAGAAAATGTCTGCCGGGGGAATTAAGAGAACACACTGCATCTAACTGACTAGGAGCTATGGGGACATAAAGGACTCTGAGACTGAAAAAATAACACATAGGACTTGGAATCCAAGCAACAGGATATTAGAGCTGTGGGTTGCAGGTGGGTGTCCAGCCCTCCTGTGTGGCCTCCTTTTTTATTCAACCCATTTTTTTATATGTCATAATGACCACATTCCATTTTTTAAAGCATCAAAAAATCTTACATTTCTTGGGTCTGGTAGTATTTTTAAGAGAAATAGGGCTCAAAACATGTTCAAAAGGGCTATTTGCCATGCAGTTAGTCCCAAATTCTCTCATCCCGTTTTCCTGCCAGCGGGGAAATATCATCACTCACTCAATATATCAACTGAACTGACCTATGGGGATAATTCTTGGAGACAGGAAAAAAGATAATGCCCAAGAGGACCCGAGGACCAAGGAGCATTTGTGGGAAGGCTGAATGCTGATTCCAACCCATCACTTTGCAGTTGGTAGCTCCAGTTCTAAATGGCTAGTTGAGGCACCCGTGAAAGAGAGAATGACAAAGCTGGAGGTGCAGATGCAATCCCCCCTGCTACTGTTTTGTCCTAAGTTTCTGTGCCAGAATGGTAGGTTTGGCAGATTTAAAGTTGTAATGAAAATGGAGTACCCTAACTTTGCCAATTACAGAAAGAATGCTGCTTATCTCTCCTGTTAGCTGCTAAGATGCCTTAAGGGTATAGATGAGAGACACAGACGGAAGAAGAGAAGAGTTATTAAATTTTGAACCCGACACAGGGAAAAATTAGAGATAAACAGATGAGAAATAGAACATCTTAGATCTCGGCTAAGAGATCACGTGGATGAGATCATCAGTAACTTTAAGCTACATAAAACAGCAAACTCAATACTCAGACTCATATAGGTTACATATAATGAATTTTGCACATAATATATATTATACATATATTACATTTTTACATATAACTGTATATATAATTTTAACACATGCTGTCATGTATTGACGTAGTTTTCAATATGCAATTTCCAGTAAACTACACAGATGAAGACTTCAAAAACTGTTTTTCTTCTGACGTATAGCTGCACATGTATGGCATGCATCATTTCCAGAGGACATGATAATCATCTATCAGTTTTAAGAGCTAAACTGAGCCCATGGAGATAATTAGCTCAGGCACACAATGATAAACATGTCAAGATGGGAGATGCATTTCTTTCCTTAAACAAGAAATGGCAATATGATGGAAAACATGGTTCCACAGTGGGTGGACAACATGCCTGTAATCAATCTTCCATAATAAATTATCTCTTAATTTAAGCTAATCTGTATTGGCCAGAAAATATCTGGTGATAGGATCATAAATTTGGGAATGAAGTTCTAGACTTTGAAATAAGCCTACAGGTCTCAAGGGTTCTCAGGTCAGCTCTTCTATTCTTGGGTAAGTCCCCTCTTACTCCACCATCATCTACCATCATCATCGTCATCTCAGGTTTCATGCTATATTTAACAAAGTTTGAAAACATTATCTCAGATTTTTATCTACAGATGCATTTCAACACCTCACAGCCATTATTAAGTCACGGCATTTCTCCCGACGGCTTCTTTAAATCCACTGCTGCTACAAAAACAACATTTTTTTCCAATTGTTTTTTTCTTCTGTGAAGAAGGGAGGCAATAAGTATTTGGAAATTTGGGGCCAAGAGGAATAGTAACTGTGTAGCGTGCAAATGACTAGATGCCTACAAATCTCTTTTTTGGTGATAAATCCCATTAGTTTTAAGACAAATCATCAATTTTATATTAGATTTCTTTGGAGGCAAAATAAAATTTAAACTCATATTGAAAGACACATTTACATTTCAGAACCATTAAAATGGGAGGCATAATTAATGTTTACCTTAGAACTAGAAATATATTGTTTTGTTTGGTTTCATTTAATTGTTTTGTCATGAAACTAACTGTGTAATGGCCATTTAGCATACGAAAACCAGGGCTTATTTCTGGGTTAATTTAATACCAGGAGAAACTTCACATATACTCCTAAATATTACAATAGTGTGCTCTCAGTCTTGGTGTCACATGGCTAAAGAAAAACTCAGACTAAGTAGAAAATGAATGACAGTGGCTCAGGACCTCTCAGGTAGATGATATCCCAAGGCTGAGGATTCCCCTAGATTTGTTTTCCTCTTCCATGCACTTAGTTTTTGATTGTTAGGCATTCATCAATTCAAAATGGAATGTGAGATTGCCACTTCTAAATAAGACACATTAACTAGTAGTAGACTAGCCCTATCACCTTAAATAACCATAGAAATGGAATAAAATACATAGAGCAATTTTTTTTTTCAAGCAATGGACCACAGGCAGTCCCAGACTGCAATCTCTGAGAGAAGGTAAATGCAGGAGGTGAGCCCTACGATTTCCTCAGGTCTCTATCTGTGGATAATTTCCTGACCTTAGCACCATAAGTTGGAGTCCAGTGATATCACAGTAGCCCTACTGAGCTAAAGACACAGAATTCAGAGTTTATAGGAACCAAAGAGGTTAGGATGTGCAAGGCAAAGAACCAGAGAGGAGAAAGCTGCACATTTGGGGGGTTGGGAGAAGGGCATGAGTTTACATAGGGGTTTCTCACACATCTGTGGCCAAAGGCTAGGTTGCATGTGCGCAGGGTTAAACTGGACAAAGCTTACCAGAGAGTAAATAACTGTAGGTTGACAATAGAAGCAGTTATCAAAGGTAAAGTAGTTCTGGGGACATTGGAAGTCTTGGCCCACCTGAGTGGAGAAACTCCATTAACATTGTGTTAACTCCCCAGAAATCCAGCTAAGATATCAGAGAGGTCATGCCCTAGGAGGAAGGAACAAGCCTTAGGAAGGACCAAGTCTAAAAGCAAGCACTGACAAAGTCCTCAGAGGAGAAAGAGTTTGGCAGTTGAGTATTACTAAGTTAGAATGCCTTTGGAAATACCTTGGGATTTCGACAAATTATTCCAATAAAGCATAAATTCAAGTCTATATAAATTCAAAGACATTAGTCAATAATTAAACTACCTGTAGAATAAAAATTATCACTTTTCAAAGAAAGATTACAGAAATGAGTCTCCTTTTTTATTCAACCCATTTTTTTATATGTCATAATGAGCACATCCCATTTTATTATAATGTACCACCAACAATGTCCACTAAACTATAAAAAATTACTGGATATACAAAAAAAAATAGGAAACTATGACCCATAGTCAAGAAAAGAAGCTAGTTAGTGGAATCGTACCCTCAGATGATCTGGATGTTGGCTTCAGCAGGCAAAAATTTTAAAGCAGAATTTATAAATATGCTCAAAGAATTTCTAAAAATTCAAGAATATGGTCAAAATGAGAAAATGTATGGAGACTTTCAGCAGAGAAAAGTTATTTTCAAAAAAGAATCACAGGAAAGTTCTAGAAGGAAAAAATACAATAGTTAAAATTTTTAAACTCATTGGACAAACTTAACAGCAGATTGGAGGTGACAGAAAATTCAGTAAACTTGAGAAATTATCAATACACAAACTGAATTTTAAGAAGAAGGGAAAATGTTTGAAGCAAAATGAATGAGCCCCAGGGATCCATGGACCACATTTAAACAGTCTAACACACAGATCATAGGTGTGCAGAGAAGAGAATGAAATGGGGCAGAAAAATATTTTAAAAATGCAATAGCTGAATACTTGCCAAATTTGATGTAAAATAACAACAAACCTAAGTGGGACAAATACAAGGAGAACCATGGTAGGCACATTAGAGGAAAACTACTAAACCCCAAAGAGAAAAATCTCGAAACCGCTGACAGCAGTGGGGAGCAGGGGACATATTACACATAGGGAAACAGCAGTGAGGATTGTCAGATTTATATTTGACTCACAGAAACAGCAGAAGCCAGAAAACAATAGAACATCTTTAAAGCACTGAAAGAAAATCAACTTTCAACCTAGAGCTCTACTTGTAGTGAAAATATCCTTTAAAACAGAGGGTGAAATACAGACATATTTAGGTAAATTAAAGCTGAAAAAGTGTTTCACCGACAGACATATGAGATAAGGAGTGCTGAGGAATGACACTTGGTTCTCTAAGGAGGCAAGGAGCACAACAGAAAGGATGAATGAGGAAACATGAAACACTATGGCTTTTTTCCTTCTCAGTTTTCTTCCAAAAAACCCTTCTCACTACAGGTAGTCCTCACTTTGTATGATAGTATGGGATCATAAAAATGACTGAACACATTGAAGTTATGTGTTAAAAAGTGATTTCAATAATCAATGGGAAAATTATGATAGCTCCATGACCTTTAAAAATTTTCATTAAAATCCTCTTTTACTATGGGTTATATAAATGTATAAGAAAATAAAGAATTAGTAAAAATTAATATGTATTTGTTATACTGTAATTTAAAACTAGAAACATTGAGAATGAAGGGTTTTCTTTGTAAAAACAGATGATCAAGAGGAGTTTGAGAAGTCCTTGCCTTCTGCTCTTTACATAACTTATGATACCGAGTGAGCAGCTTTTCTATGTCTTGGAACATTGTTATACTCTTAAATTTTGAATCAGTTTTCAACATTTCTTCCTGTGTGTGTTCAATGTCATGACGTAAGTCTGAGAGTTCTTTTATGCAGTTGTGGTTTTTATTATTTAGTGGCATTACTTCTGAGACACCATCCTCCATTTTCCTCCCAGCCACTTTCTTCATTTATGCTGGTAAGTTTGCCTTCACTAAGCTGCTCTGGTTGAACATCTAGAGCCTCGTGAATGCTGGCAGTCTCAGCATCCCCACAGTCAGGTATTTCTCCTGTAACTCCACTGATGTTCTAGGCAAATTTTGCGTCTATCATTAGCCCTTTTCATTTCTTTCCTGCACTTTGATCTTTGATGGTCAATTTCTTCAGTTGAGTATCCATTTTTGTGAAATGTTCTGTGGGTTTGTCACTGGAAGGCAAAGAGGTGACACACCCACATGTTTTGCTGTCTGTGCAAAAACTAAATAACAGATGCAGAGTGACATATTCACAATAGATTTTGAAAGAAGTGACAAGATTGCTTACTGATCGTGATGTGCATCTGTCACTTAGGTTGTGATTTGTGGACTGAAGAGCTCACAGCAAAGTTTATATCTTGTAAAATTAGTCACAGTTAACACACTGTGCTAACTAAAATATAAATCGTGCTGTTGGAGGACCAGTATTAATTAAACAAATGCAATAACTGGAATTTGTGCATATCAAAACTGTGCAAAGCAAAGACTACCTCTACCTAAAGCAAATATAATGTGGGGTAGGTTTCTAACATGCATAATTTTAAAATGTTAACATAATAGCACAACATTGGTGGGTGGGTAAAATGGAATCATACCACTATATAGCCATTACAGTTGTGAAATAATACAGTAAGGAGAAATACATGAAGTGGTGTGTGTTACAATATTGACTCTGATTAAATTTTAATTGAAATTTTAGTTGAAATAATTCTAGAATACCAGGGACTTGTAAGAAATAATTCAGAGAGATCGTATGCACTCTTTACCCATTTGCCCCAACAGTAACATATTACAAACCTATAGTACCACATCATAACCAGAATACTGACATTGATCTAATCCATAGATCTGACTCAGATTTCCCCAGTTTTATTTGTACTTAATTATGTGTGTGTATTTAAGTTCTGTATAATTCTATCACAGGTGTAAGTTCTTGTTCCACCACGGCAGTCAGGATGCAGAGCCGTTCTACAGCCACAAGGATCCCTCCTGCTGCCCTTTTAAAGCCACACCCAGCTCCCTCCCCATTCTCTAATCTTTAGCAACCAGTACTCTATTTTCCATTTTTAAAATTTTGTCATAAAAAATTACATAAATGTAGTTATACAATAGGTAACCTTTGGGGATTTTTTAAAATCGGAATAATCCTCTGGAAATTCACGCAAGCAGTTGCATGTATCAGTAGTTTGTGCGTTTTTATTGTTGTGTAGTATTCTGTGGTGTGGACGTACCACAGATTGTTTAACACATCATCCATTGAGGCACATCTTGGTTGCTTCCAATTTGAGGTTACTACAAACAAAGCTGCTATGAGCATCTGTTTACATGTTTTTATGTGAGCATAAATTTTAATTTCTTTGGCATTTAGAATTTAAAAATGCGTATTATTATCCCCAGAACAGTAAAAAAAAAAAATACAAAGAATTATTTCTATGAGCTAGTTGAGGAAATAAATTGGAATAATATAAAATATTTCAGTAATCTAAAAGAAGACGGAAAGAAAAACAGAAAGCACAAATTGGAAAATGGTAAATTTAAACCCAATCATATGAATTATTACATTCAATGTAAATAGGTTTGAAGTAACACTAAGAGACTCGTTGTATAATCGGATTGACAAGAATCAGCTATCATGCAATATCAAACCTTACTACAAGTTTTAAGAATGTAGATAATAGCAAGACATGCAAAGCATGGAGACAGAGGGAGATGGCCAGCAACAACCTCATGTCCTCTCTTCCACATCAGGACATGTGCCCTCTCAGAGCTGACGCAGAAAATTCCCAGGTGACGCATGCCACCACTTACACAAAGGGAGTTCATTTGCTCATGAGTCATCTCTATTTTACATTCCAGTATTGTCTAGTAATTACCTAGATGACACAAACATTATCTAGCCAAAAACACAAATAGACTCCAGGTTTGTTTGACATAAATAATAATAGACAAACTAGGTATATATCCTCTTAAAAGCATTCCATAGATGAGAACTCATACACTGCTAATAACCATCAGGAGGTCCAGTTACCATGTTTATATATCATGTGATTTTAACTGATTATTTCTCCTGCAGGCATCCCTAATTGAAACAAACCATTTGTTTTGAAGACTTCCTTTCCCCTTCAAATGATGATGACTTTATTAAAATCAATTTACCATACATGTACAGATCTATTTTGGGACTCTTCATTCTTTTCCTTGGTCTCTAAGTGGTTTGGCCACTTATAAGTCACTTAACCTTTCTGAGACTCAGAGTCCTAATACATAACATAGCAATAACAATACGTAATTGATTGAATTATGTTGATGATTAATTGGGAAGTGCCTGGTATGTAAAAATATTCAGTAATTGATAGTTATGGTAAACATATTTTCTGAATGCAAATTAAGCTATAAAAACTAAAAAAAAGATTGTGTTTTCTCCCCTATTTGAGACTGTAAATACGGAAAATCATAGAAAAACATAATAAAATCACTTTAGTAATAAATCACCTTATGAAAATATAATTTCAAACAATGAGATAACCTATACCTCCACAAAAATCCTGAACATATTGTTGTTATAGAAATATGCAGCATATGAAATGTATATGCAGGTATATGAGGAAACTTCAAAAAGTTCATGGAAAAAAGTGAATTAAAAGATTAAAAATTAAAATGTAAACTTTATTTCTCAACATAATCTCCCTCGAGTTCAAGACACTTCTGTAAGTGATGGTGCCAGCCAATTAGTCCATTCCTAAAGAACTGAGTGTCCCGGGAATTTAATCATGTCAATGCAGTCTTTTTTACATTATTAACTGAAGAAAAATGGGAGTCTTTTAAAGATTTTTTAATATTAAGAAACTCAAAGTCATAGGGAGCCAAATCATGACTGTAAGGTGGATGCCTAATAATTTTCCATCAAAACTCTTACAAAATTGTCCTTGCTTGATGGCAGGAATGAGCAGGAGCGTTGTTGTAGTGAAGAAGGACTTTCTTGTGAAGCTTTCCCAGGACTTTTTCTGCTAAAGCTTTGGCTTTCTCAAAACACTCTCATAATAAACAGATGTTACCATTCTTTGACCCTCCAGAAATTCAACAAACAAAATGGCTTGAGCATCCCAAAAAAAACTTTTTCCAAGACCTTTGCTTTTGACTAATCTGCTTCTGCTGTGACTGGAGCGCTTCCACATCTTGGTAGCCATTGCTCTGATCGTGCATGGTCTTCAGGATTATACTGGGAAAGCCATGTTTCATCTCCTGTTAAAATTCTTCAAATAAATGATTCAGGATTTTGATCCCATTTGTTTAAAATTCTCATCGATACCTCTGCTCTTGTCTGCAGCTGACCTGAATACAATGGGTTTGTCATCCATCAGGTGGAAAGTTTGCTCAACTTTAATTTTTCAGTCAGAATTGTATAAGCTGAACCAATTGAGTTGCCTATGGTGTTGGCAATTGTTTCTGCTGTGAGTCGTCAGTTCTCTTCAATGAGGGCATAAACAAGATAAATTTTTTCCTCAAAAATTGATCTGGATGATCTGCCATTGTGGACTTTCATCTTCAACATTATCTCATCCCTTCTTAAAATGAGTTATCAATTTGTAAACTGCTGGATTTTTAGGGCATTATTACCATAAAGTTTTTATAAAGCATCAATAATTTTACTATTCTTCCACCCAAGCTTCACCATAAATATGATGTTTCTCCTTGCTTCAATTTTAGCAGAATTCATGTTGCTCTGATAGGGAACATTTTCAAACTGATGCCTTACCTTTCTTAGTGCCTCAAACTAGTTCCTCTTTAGTCATGTTATAACAAGTTAGTACAAGTTTATATTGGTACAAGAAAAATTTCTGAAATATGTGCATAGTTTTTTTATACTATGTATTTTCCATGAACTATTTGAAGACCCCTGCTGTGCTTTCCATGTGTTTCCTAAAGCTCAGTCGTATGTCTGAAAGCTGAATACCTACCCACTGCCAGCCAATCATCAACCTTTGACTGGCAAATCCCTATTAATCCTACCAAGCTCATGTGTCACCTCCTCTAGAAAGCCTTCCCTGCCTCTTCTCCCTAGTAGTGCCTGTTTATGCCTATTCATGGCTGTATTGCAGAATGTACCACCTTACAAGTATCTGTGTATACTTTTTTCACATTAGACATTGGAGTCCTTCAGAGTAGGGACAGTGTCTTCCTACCTTTCTCTTCTTTCTTTCTTTCCTTCTTTTCTTCTTTTTTTTTTTTTTTTTTTTTTTTTGCTAATCCTTTCCATGTATCCTCCCAAACACATGTGTCTTTCCCACAGTAGGTACTTCATGTAGATGCTTAATAGCTTCACCTATCTTCCTCTATGCTGCCTCTTATCTATAGATAAACTTTTAAGTGACTATGTACACATCTTCCAGCTACATTACTCAACTGTAAACATTTCAATCCCATCCAGATGTCAAAACGCAGCTGATTTTTCTGAATGCAGGGATTCCCTCTGGGAACTAGGGCTTTGGAACAGTGAAGCATATCCTAGCAATGAGGCATGGAAGAGGCACCTGGAACCCATTAGCAAAGGATAAGCTGCCATTCCTAACATCTAACTGGGGGCTTTCATCCTGTACAACTTATAATTGATCAAACTTTGGGAGCTGTAGATAGTACACAAAGTATATTTTTGCTGATTTTGATTTATCTTTAGTCCATACAAGCTGTTTCTCATCATTGCTTAGGGAACCAACTGAAATCTAATTTCACCACGAAAAGAGATTTGACCTCACCAGGTTAATCACTACAGCTGACCCAATTTGAATCAAGATTGAGTTCAGAGTCAGGAACACCAACATCAACCTAACCAAGTGCTAACTTAGGACAGGTTACTAGGGTATGATTGAAAACAATATATCTGATAACTAGAAGAAAGTAAATGGTTTAATATGAGCAGGTTAAGTACATGAGAGTTCTGAATCCAGTTCTCAAGCCAAAGTCAGGTATCCAAGATATTAGAATCAAGTTATCAACTAATGTCAGAAGCAACAAAACCAGTTGGGAAGGCCATAAGAATATGGTCAATGTCTTATGCATCCTTTACATTTTCCTTCTTCAACTCTTAGCACTTTCCTTAGACATTAGTAGGAGGAAAAACAAAACAAAACAAAACAAAAGCCTTTAGAGCAATCAACTTTAAAAGTTTCAATAATTAAGGCATTAGACCTAAGCACTCGGAGAACAATTTGGTTTTCTTTACCCTGTAGAATAGTAGGAAGCAGCTTCTTGTCTATAATAAAGCACAATTTATCCCTGGATTATTTCTGATAGTACTAGCTGCTATGACAAATCCCAAATCTCAGTGGAATTTATTTCTCACTCACACAAAGTGGCAAACACATGTCCCTGGTCCACTTGAGACTCTTTTTCATATGGTGAGTCAGGGACTTAGTTTCCTATTTGCTGTGGCTCCTCTGCTTCCCAATCCATAACCTCCACAGCCTCCGCTCTCATCCACACCAAGCCAGATCGGGAACAAATATGGAGGACTGAGCATCAGATTCTTTTTTCAATGAAGCTGGCCTGAAAGTGGCAGAAATCACTTCCACTCATACTCTATTGGCCAGAACTCAGTTACCTGGCTGGCCTTAACTGAAAAGGAAATGAGGAAATACAGTCTTAGCTGGGAAGAGAGAATCAGGTAGCAGACTCTGCTGTAATCACCTTTTGCACTTTTTTTTTTTTTTTCTCAGAGGGATAAGGAGGTGGGAGAAAAGATTCTAACTTAAGATTATTAAATCTGAGTTTAATTCATCACGTCCAGTTTATTTGTCCTCAAAAAAATGTTACATTACCTTGGACTAATGCTTTGGTGATTTGATAATATTCCAGCTGAGCAATCTAGGTACCCAGAATTAGAATCACCCCCTTCACCTGTTGTTTATAGGTCAGCAACCAAAGTTCCCCATGTTTCTACTCATTTGTTCTTTCATCCAAACATTACATATTTATTCAGCATCTACTCCATGGAAAGCACTATGCAGGAGAGACAGGAGACAGCAAGACCTCTCCCAGGAAGTAGTGTGATTTAGCAGAAGCTCTATGTTTCATCCAACTGTTACACTCTAGTCTTAGCAGCCAAGCCAGGTTCCAGCTCACCTTATATTCAGGGCTAGGTCCTAACCAAAAAGAAAGACTTCCCCCTAAGCAGTACACCCATGTGTGTCTGAATGTCCAGGGCTGCCCTGTGATCCCTGCTATTCTTCTGGTCTTGGCTCCTGTCCCCACCCCACCCCCACTCCTTTCCATGTGTCTTTCTGCATATTCACATCTTGCTTATTTGGTCACACCATCTCTAAATTGTGCTCTCTGTGAATAAAGTTGCCTCTCTCAGGATGACCGAAATACAAAGCCCTGTGTCAAAACATGCACAAAACAATGCTGAAAAAGTTTTTGTACTATAAAAGTTGTGGATTGCAGTGTCTGTTTCTTCTACAAGAAAATGGTGAAAGTAGGGTGAAGAGACAGTAAGGAGTGAGGAGAATGCCTCACTGTGGATTCCCCACCAGCTACTCCTCCGGTCACTGAACCCTTCTTCTCCCCACTAGAATTGTTGGCTTGGCTGCTGAGGGAGGTCTTGGGGCTCAAAGGGGCTTGACAACCATCTTTGGGATGAAAGCAAAAGGCCCTTAGATGGAACCAGACCCATGCCTTCTTGTCCCTGCTCCCTGGGTCACTGGAGGGTGTGTAAGTGGGGAAGCTCCACAGCAAGGGAAACAACTGGAGACCCCAGTCACAGACGAGTTTATCTTGCATCTTCTTTGTCGTTTAGATTCCTAGTCATCCCTGAGTCTGTGTTTGAAGGGGCACATAAATATGGACATGTTTTGGGAAAATGCAAAAATGAATTAATGAGTGACTCTATCGGCCTGAACTCACATCCTGGACACTCAGGGTCTGAGACACCACGTCTGTGCTGGCCTTGAGGAGTAGACGGCACCGGCAAGTCTGAAGGTGTTACAAAGAGATTTCAAGGTTTATCTGTGTCCAAGAGGCACGCAAGAGGCTGGCCCCAGGATGCTGGGCAGAGAAGGGGAATTCGAGAATAAAGACGAGAAACAGGGGCTTGGGTCGCTGCGCGTGGCAGGCAGCCTCAGGGAGGCGGTGGTTCAGAGATTCGGAGCTGCCTGTCACTTCTTGAATTTAGCAGAGCACCTGAGCTGGTTCACAGGTGGGAGAGAAGACTGAGAAAGCTTCCTCCCTAAAAACCGTCTGTGAGATCTACGTCCGAGTCAGGAAAGGGGAAGCGATTTCTTTTTTTTTTTTTTTTTCTACACAGAGAAATTGAAACACTGTTATTTTGTAGCTCCTGATAGCAATCTCATTCAGCAAGTCTAACTACAGGCCTACCAGTGCTTTTTATTTTTGTTAAGTATTTAAATAGGTGCCAACATGCATATTTCATTCTGCATTTCATCATGGCTCCACTACCTCATCCGTGTTCCGCAGCTCCTCCTGCTCTTTCCCCTCGCCACCCTGGACACGCGAGTGCTAAGTTCGCAGCTGGGGGAGACAGGCACTGCTGAAAATGAAAGTGGTCCCGTCGAGGCAACGGGAAAGAGCAGCTCTTGGTTTCTTGGGGCTCGGTAGCATGACAACACAAGGGTAAACGTTTCGAAAGGCGGACCTTCTGAGTGGTGTGTGCTGGAAGACACTGAAGATGGAGAAAAAAACCTCAGCGGGCAAATGGCGGGACAGCTGGACACCATGGACCGCGGCACTTGGCGAGCGGAGGAGAGGGAGAAGGAGCGCCCCTAGGAGGCGCCAGCGAGCTGAGTCCTAGAACCAGGAAGGAGCAGTTTCCTGTGTCTAGGAAGGGCTGCTTCCGCTGACTGGACAGAAGCGTTGTTTTGAAAGACCCAATTAAAGAGAAGTTAGTGATGGTATCAAGTCAAGGTCACAGTGGGGAGCTATCAAAGATGTACCAGTAGGAAATGAGGAATCACTGAAGGGTTTTGACTTTTTAGAAAGGCAATTTGGAACCTGCTGCAATGATGCAGGTCTGAGTAATCAAGGGTTTGGAATGATGGCAATTAGAACAGAAACTGTATGTTGAAAGACTTCGTTCGATGGTGTTTCCTGATTCAATACACGAAATAAAGGAAAGAGAAAAGCAAAAGTAACCCAGAACTACAGGCTGCATGATTTACAAATGCAGTGCTATTTATAAACATAGAGAAGACTAGGTTGGGTGCAGTGGCTCACGCCTGTAATCCCAGCAGTTTGGGAAGCCGAGGCGGGTGGATCACGAGGACAGGAGCTCGAGACCAGCCTGGCCGACATAGTGAAACCCCGTCTCTACTAAAAATACAAAAAATTAGCCAGGCGTGGTGGTGGGTGCCTGTAATCCCAGCTACTTGGGAGGCTGAGGCAGGAGAATCGCTTGAACCCAGGAGGCGGAGCTTGCAGTGAGCCAAGAGCACACCATTGCACTTCAGCCCGGACGACAGTGCAAGACTCCCTCAAAAAAAAAAAAAAAGTAGAGAAAACTGAGGGGAGAACTTACTTGAGAAGGAAGACAGGGTCGTGGAAGACATCTGAAGTTTAAGGTCACAGCATTATACACAGGTGGAGATGTCTTTGAAGCAATTGGTGAAGTAGATCTTACATTTGTAAAAGGAGTTGAAATGTAGACCTCAACCGGAAAAAGTCATCAAGCCAAGGACACGGTGAAAATGGGGGCAGAACTGGTTCAGGAAAAGAAGAAATTTAAAAGAAGAGTGTGGCAAAAATAAAAACACAAACAAAAGCCACAAAGGCGGTTAAAAGACAAGTGATATCCAGGGAAAGTTATTGCATCATATATAAAAGACAAAGGATTGGTGTCCAAACTATGTAAATAATTTTTAAAAGAATAAGAAAAAAAGACAAATTACCTAATCAAAATTATCCAAGGATATAATAAATAGAAAACTTCATAGAAAAGAAAATACAAATGGCTCAAGAACACATGAAAGAATACTTGGCCTCTCCAGAATTGGGGGCCCAGGATGATGTGATGCTGTGCAGAGTTGGGGCCAGTTCTGAATGCCTGTGCCACTCCTGAGGAGCTGTGAAATCTTTACCAAGTTATTAAACCTCTTTCATGACCCGTAAAATGAGAATGATAGCAACAGAAACTCCCTGAAAGCCTTGTGGTGAAGATTAAATAAGTTAATATATGTAAACTGCTTAGAACAGTGGCTGGCACAGAATAAGTACTAAGTAATTGTAAGCTATTATTAACAATAGAGCAATACAAATTAAAGTAACAATCAAATATAATTTTTCACCCACAGATTGTCAAAATTTTGAAGTATGAGAATATCAAGTGTTGACAAGGATTCGGGTGAAATGAAACTCTTATAAACTGCAAGTAGGAATGCAAATTGGTACATCCACTTTGGAGAAAAAAATGTCATATTTTATAAAATTGAAAATATGCCTCATTTAAGACCCAACAATCCTACCTCTGAGTATATGCCTTACAGAAACTCTTGCATATGTGCACCAGAAAACATGTCCAAAGTTGTTGACTGAAGCATATTTTTTGTTATTGTTAAGAGGAAAACATTGGAAAGAATATAAAATGTCTATATGTAGTGGAATATATTGTAAAAATAATTCAATATATTTAATGACAGAATACTGTACAGCAGTTAAAAGAAATAAACCAGACCTCTCTAAATATAGCAGATGGCCAGCAACAAACACTAGGGACAGTATGAGGCCTATGTATCATTTATGATGTTATGTACTTAAAACCATAAACATGAACCGCAATGCTTGCTTCTAGGGAGAACCAGAAGGGAACAGGAAGAGGGATGTTGGTTGAAGGCAACTTTCATTTTCTCTGTAGTCTTTTATTTCTTCAAAAAGCAAAAAGAATACTAGATACAAAGGAGACAAAATGCTAACAGTTGTTGATTTTGGATGGCAAAAATATTCATGTAAGTTATATTCTTTGTACTTTTTATATTTTTAAATTTTGAAAAAATTTAAAATGCTGTCTGAACAGATGTTCTGGGTGTTATCTAAAATACTTCGTAAGAAAAAGAAGAAAAGCAATGAAAAAGAGTGCAGAGAATTGGGCCTTGAAAACAGTGTGCTCAGGGAGAGGAGGTAGTGGGGCCCTGGCCGGGGAATGGGAAGTCCGTAGCAAGAACCGAGGCCCTGGAGACCACAAAACCCAGGGAGGAGACTGTGCGGGAAGGAGGGGTTTCAGCTGGGCCATGTACCCTGAGGGATTGCTCTAGAGGGGCGAAAGAAGAACGCGCCCAGGCTCATGAGGCAGAGTCCACTGTCCTGCAAGAGAGAAGCCTCATTGAAGGGCGCAAGGATGGAAAAACGTCGGGAGTGGGGGTAGTAAGAGTACCAGGCATCAGTCCACGATTCAGGGAAGCAGAGGCAAAACAGCCTTGGAGGGTGAAACGTCTAGGTGGGGTCGGGGCGGGGTTGGTTCAGACCCCCAAACCTGCGCTGTTGATGGAATCAGGGGAACAGGCGGTGGAGGAGGCCCGAGTCCCCTCTGGAAGCTGGGAAGGCCGGGAGGGCAGTCCCTTCAGAGGGCAGGGCTGAATCTCGGCCACGCCAGGGCCCCAGGGCAAGCGCACACCTGAGGAGACCCCAGACCCGGCCACCCCCACGCTGGCATGCCTCCCCGTGCCCCTGCTGTGCTCGGGGAGGACTAGAGAATGAGCCTGTGTCTAGGCCAGGCTTACTACAGCCACCCGCGAGGAGAGCTGGCAGCCGTCCCCAGGGTGGGGGCTGCGCAGCAGATGCACTGTTTCTCATTAAGTGACTTGCATATGGAGTGAAGACACCTCTCCCCTCGCCCACCCTGGCTCCCGGCCCTCACGTGCTCTGCGGGCTGCCAGCTTCCCCGGCTCCACGCACACCGCCAGCGCCGCCCAGGCACCGGGCCTGCAGCAGGAGGAGGCCGCGGTGCAGGGGCAGAGCCCAGCAGAGGCGGCAGCAGAGCAGAGGCAGGGGCCGTCCTTCCCTCCTGGAGATCGCAGATCTCTCTCAGATGTGACGGGAACAGTCACAGACAAGGGGACTCATTATTTTCGTGTTCACTGCTCAGTGATCTGGGCTCCCACCTGGAATCCTCCAGGGAGGCAGCCCTTAGCCAGCAGGAAGGAGGGAGGAGGGCGGGGAAGGAAAGAGGAATTACAGCCCTGCTCAAGGACAAAGCACCTCCTGAGCGCTTTGCAGACCCACTGCCCCCCTCCCTTGGGTTTCATGTTTTCAAGGAAGACCCTGGGTTCCCAAGGGAAAGCACAAAGCCGCTCCCATTCTTTGCTCACCTCTGTATCAGGACAGGATTGAGACTTACATTAAAGCCTTAAGTACTGAATAGATTAGGGTAGCCCCTTGGTCTAAGATTGAACATAAACATGACACTTAATCATAAAAAATTGCCATGTGTATTAAACTCGAAATGGCTTTTTCTTTCTGATTTTGTGAACTGCAAAATTTTGGAGACAGCTATCAAAGCTCAATTTTCCTTCCTGCATGTGGCCTGCACACATTCTGGGTCTACATGAATTAAGTAATCCTGATACAGGTATGAACGCATGCACATTTATGCACACAAAGTCTCACGTATACACAGGAACCAAACATATGCAGAGACATAAAACTTGCTTACTTCTGTCTCTGTTCTCCCTTCCCATCAGTTAAGATGAAACCCTGCCTTCCCCAAGGATATCTTCCAAATGTCCTTCTCCAAGAACCCTCTGACAAACCCCACTGTGGTAAAACTTCCCTGATTAGATGTCAAGAACCAGATTCCAACTTTCACTTCCTATGTCTGAAACTTTGGGCAAATATCTGAATGTCCCTGAGCTTCAGTTTTCCTTTCACTCCGTTAGCATAGGGTTAAAACTAGCAAAGAGTAGAAAACTATTGAGCAAGTTCAATGAGGTAACAAATGTCTTAGTCCTGCTTGACCTGGGTCCTCCAGAAACACAGATGCCCAGATGGAATTTGGTTAGAAAGAGACTGATTGGAGGAAACACCCAGGAGGAAAACTGGGTCACCAAAGGAGACAGCAGTGGGGGAGGAGGAGCCTTCAGGCCTGAGAAGAAGGAATGGAGGGAGGGAATGAAGCACGGCGGCCAACTGCAATGAGGTGCTAAGGAGCTCCAGCCAGGCCAAGGAGAGGCTTTTGGTCCCAGCTACCTGCCAGAGGGGCTGATGCTTAAGGTGGATAAGCAAGGACTCGTTGCCTTGGGACACTTTCTTAGGACAAGGACCTCGCAATGTGGCTGACTCGCTGCTGGGTGGCACTTTGAAGCCTAGGAAAGCCATGGCCTACTCTTGGTAAAGTGGAAATGCCTGAGTCGTGATTGTGGGTAGGTAGAAGAAGGAGTAAAGAAGTCATAGGAGGAGACATTCTGGAGTGAATGTGAGGCTAGCAGAGCCACAGAGATTTGTGTTCCATAGGAGGGATCTAGGACACACCGCCCACTAAGGCCACTAGGAATGCACTAGATTGGCATCAACAAGAGGTTCCGCGATGGCTCACCTCTGCAGGTCAAGGCCCAAGGTAGGAGGATCACGACCTGGGCTGGTTAATTCTGAGGATGATGGGGACCGGGCAATAGTGGCTGCAGGCTGGAAAGGTCAGAGGGCCAACCCAGAGGCCTTGACTGGCAGGGAGCCATGGAAATGGTGCATAGATTATAGAGTGCCTAGGGGCAAAATAGATGGGCCACCAACAGCATGCTGCTTAACACTTACAACAAAAGCAGCAAGGTAGGAACAGAGGAGCAGGAGGCTGAGGGTAGGAACACCAAAATAGCCACACCTCCTGGCCCAGTTCCTACATCTGAGTCCATTCCAGATTGGAAAACCACTGATGGAAGAGCTGTCTGGGCTGCTAGGAGACAGGACTCTGCAATGCCATGGCAGGTATAGACTGTGATGATTTCCCAAGTCCTTTCCCCAAAATCTATGACCCTATGGTTATGACTGTGTATACTGGAGAAAGAGAAATATGCCTTTGGAGTGGGAATTTATGGGGGCCAGGTAACAACTGGAGTTGTGGCTAAGGTCTGGCTCACATTGGCCCATGGGGTCCACAGATCCATCTGAAGACCATTTCCCAGGCACAGAGTGTATAATTGGAATTCATATGCTTGGCGGTTTGTTCCAGCCCACTCTTAATAGCACCTGTGTTAATTTGGGTGCTGCAACGATGGGATTAGACACAGAAAACACTTATGGGTGAATGGCTGTGAAGGAAAACGAGGAAGAAAATGAAGGAGGCCAGGAGGCTTGTCAAACCCGGATGTACGTCAGATCACTCTGAAGGAGAAAGGGGAGAAAAGGAAGGGAAGAAGATCATAGACTGTATGGGAACCCTAGGACACTTTTGGCAGGGCAAACAGTGAATCCTTGGCCAGTCACACGTCTAAAAAGCCCTGCCTCCTCCAGAGCCAGACCCGCACGGGTTTCCTGCTGCGCTTACTTCTCGGCTAGAAGCAGCTGTGGACATCACGGCCTGGGCACAAGAGTGGTAACTGGGCTTCCAGACACAGCAGCTGGGATTGGCAACCCCCACCATCCTTACCTGTGGCAAGAGATCTTCCATGCTTACCACAGGTACCCACATGACAGGTTTATACAAGGACAAGAGCCTTTCTTCCCTCTTTCCCTGGAGTCTGTACAGTCATCTTTTGCATTTGGCTAGATTAGGTTAATTTTTACATTCTTTGGCACACATTTGGAATCCAATAATTCTGCCAACATTCATTGAGTACTTACTAAGTGCCAAGTTGTGTGCTAAGCACTCACAGTGAAAAAGAGTTAAAATATGTTCCTGATCATATGGAGTTTGCAATCTAGCCGAAGGAAACAAACATGTAAACAAAAAAGGACAAGGGGGTGTTAAATGCCTGTGACAATTTTTCAGGGCAGAGTGGAGGCAAGGGGAGAGGTGTTTCTCACATATGGTTTGTGGAGAAATGCCAAGAAAAGGCTTTATCACTGACAATACTGACACTGAGCAAAGTCTGGAAAGGTGAGCAGGCATTCCCTGAGCAGCTCAGCAGGGACGCCGTGGGCCTGAGGATTAGGGCGCAGTCTGAGGCACTGGGATGCCATGAACAACGTAGCACGCTGTGCACACTGCAAGTAATCGAGGAATTCCAGGAGGGAGGCAGTAAGATGCAAGACTGACCTCAAGGCCAGATGGTGGATGCAGATTATGTGGGCCTCACTAAAGGGCACGCATCTTATCTGGAGACTGGGAGGAATTACTGACACTTCAAAGGCAACACCATGACCAAATTTGCATTGTTAAGACAAAGAAACAAAAACACCCTGATATTTGGGCAGAGGATGGATGATCAGGAAGAAGACAGATTCAGAAAGGCCATTCTGATAATTCAGGAGAGAAAAGGATGATGGTCTGCTACAGTCTGCATGGCAGTGGAGACAGAGATACAAAGGTGGATAGAAGATGTAACGATGGAATGATCTGTTGGATTGGGGGCACACCAGAGTACATTTCAGCTGTGCTACCTGGGTGCATGGCAGTGCACAGACAGAAGTAGGGAGTGGGCACAGGGAGGAGGTCATTTTGGGGAATGCTGAGTTTAAAGAGCCTTTGGCTTATCAAATTTGAATTATCCATCCCATAGTCAGTTGGCTGAAAAAGCATGAAAGATAAGAGTAAGGTCTGCACTAAATAGGAAAATGGCAATGCTTTCCAATTATTTAACAAATATCTGAGTGTCTTCTATGTGTCAAGCAGAGTGCTGGGTATGAAAGAAAAAGAGGGTGAGCAGGATACTCCAGCAGAAAAGAGAGGCTCAAGCAATTGCAACAACTGTGTATAAGTGCCCTGAGAGCAGAAGTCCTGGAGTCAGGGAAGCCTTCCAGAGGAAAGGTGCATTTAAGCCGAGACCTCAATGCTTATTGGAGTTAGCCAGGAGAAAGAGGAATTGGGAGAGAAATGGGGAAATGTTGCAGGCTCAGGGACTAGGAATGATCAAGAGAATTGAGAGTGCACATATGATCTCTAGAGCATCTTCTCATCATCCATCATTCAGGGGTAAGGGAACCTGGTGGGGAGGGGAGAAGTGAGCCGTGTTTTTTGCCTGCAGGAGGATTCTGTGGGGGCAACTCCCCTCACCTCAAGGAAACTCTTTTTTCAATAGCTTCCCTTCCTGCCATCAACTCATTATCTCTGTACGTCACTCTTATTTAGTAGGGTTTGTGTGAACCTCAGATGGAATGAGCTCTGAAAGAGTTGCTTCCTCAGTGTGACAAAGCTCATGGGCCAAAGATCAAAGGACACTCAAGCAGCTGAGAGGCAAATGCACCATGTCCCTGGAGCTGCAATCCTCCACAGCCAGGGATCTGCCTGGCAGGTGTACAATCTGTTCCTTCAAGGGGTGCACCTGGCATTGGCATAGCACCTGCGATCCACAAGCACTGTTCACATCCTCTGTCATCTCAGGAGAAAAAAAATGAGCCTCATCCTAAGCAGAAGAGGAATTTGGGTATTCTGGGTTCAAATCCCATGCTTTTTTTCACTACATTAGAGGAGGTAGTGAAGAGCGAGGCCTCTTGGGCCAGACAGCATTCAAGTCCTGGGTAAAATATCTGCTGCAGTCTGTTCCCTCATCAGTAAAACTAGATGAATAACAGTACCAAGATCACAAGGTGGTTCTAAGTATTTAAAAGGTTAATAGAAGAAAGGTGCCCATACAAGAGGCTAGCATTTAGCAAGCGTTTAATTAAAGTAGCTTTAATAACCAGGAATGTGATTCGAATCTTTGGAGCCCTCAGAAACACACATCCTCAGGCACCATCCCCAGAAATCCTGATTAAATAGATCCTGATGCAGTTTAGGAATCTGAATTTTTACAGAGCTCTCCCCAGGGATTTAAGTACTCATTCCAGGTGAAGGATTGCCATTCTTCTCCAAAAAAAAAAAAAAAGATACAGGAGGTTGAGTTCAAAGAAACAACTTCCACCTGGAGATACAGACATTGTTTCATCAGAACTTACATCCAGTGGGATCATCTCAGATCTCATTTTTTTTTTTTGTTTAGGGTCAATAACTAAGTTCATGGGACACTATGAAGTGGGAGTTAGCTGACTGTGCTGGCCACTGTCTTCCCTTTCCTTGCCATTCTCCACATTTTCTCTGTTCTGAATGTAGAGTTTTATTTGGCAGCTCTGCAAGCAGCTCATGGTCAATGGAGAGTCCCAGCAGTGAGAGCCTTGCATGTGGAGGCTGAGGCTGCCCTCAGCTTCAACCTCCTTGCATCTACAATGAGATTGTGGAAGAGAAGGGTGGTGGCCCTGCTGAACAGGATTTCATAAGAGCTGTTTAGCCCAAAAGTATCTGGCCCGGCTTGGGGTTAGTGGCAAGGAAAAATAAAGGATAACCCTAGGGTATTCAACCAAACAACCACAGCTCATGAACACTTTACAGAAAGAGCCAGTGCTCTCAGGTAAGAAAAGTGAGGCCAGCTGATTCATTCATTTATTTAACCAATATTTGTAGAACACTGACCTTGTGAAAATGATTATACTGTCTTGGGAATAAAGAGGTGAAGAATAAAAATGTTTCTCCCTCCTGAAGCTTTCACACTAGAGAAAGAGAAGAAAATGTCTGTATTAATATTTTAGTGGCAATTGAGCTAATTTTTCTGAAGAAAAATGATAGAGTGTATGTCAATGAAAGTAATGCTAGCTGCTATAACAAATAACCCCCAGATCTCAATGGTTCAATCATGTACCATCCATCTAGTGTTCTTCAGTGGTCTTCTACACAGTAATTGCAAGGCCCACCCTCTTCTACTTTGTGGCTCAGTTATTTCCTAGGGCCCCCTCAGAATACTGTACATTTACCTAGCCAATGGGAGAGAGAGAAAAAAAATTAATTGCAGGACCATGTGCATTCACCTAGCCAATGGGAGAGAGAGAGAAAAATTAATTGCAGGACCATGTGCATTGTTTTTAGGGCCAGGGTTGAAATTAGTGTACTTGCTTCCTTCTGTATCCCATTGGCAAGAACTGAATCAAATCAAAAGAGAGGCTGAAAAATCAAGAGTATCCCATGAATATGGATGAGTATCAACAGTTTCTGCCACAAACATGTAAAGGTAAAATAAAAGTAGGGAGGTGAGACAGGGTGTTTCATATGACTGGATGTGACTGAGCAAGTCTGACTGTGGAGAAAAAAATAAGAAAATGAATACACTCTTTCCAGATACCCTAACCTGCCTGAAAAAAATTACTTTCTCCTTCTTATTTTGATTGAGAAATAAGCCATTCATAAGCAGAACTTCCAGGACTTTTTGATAAACAGAAACCTCTTTCATCCCTAGGATAGAAAATTGTCAGTTATTAGTAATAGACCTTGGAAGCCAATAATATCCTTCTAAGACAGACCCATTGTGATGCCAGCTGTCTGTGGGTGACTGCAGCATGCTTGAACACCCAAGGGTACTCCAGTGGGGCCCAAGCATCTCTTTGGCTAAGTCTTGGAATTCCAGAGACAGTGATCAGGAATATCCAAATCTCTACCGGTCATATAAAGTGCCATTTAAGGGAGCAAGAATTTCAGAGAAAGTAATCAGAGAAAAATAATGGAATGAAGGAGAATTAAGAGAAAAATCTTGAGGAAAAAAAGTTTTCCGCAGCTGGGCCCCAACTCTGAAAAGAAGTGAGGTCAAGAGGAAGCCAGCTAATTCTATAAGTTATACAAATACTGTTGGGTGCTGGGGTGGTTCCTATTCTGAATGAAGACAACAGATGTTGGCATTCAACAATTTTGAAGAAACTCCACTGCTGCCATGTTTCTTGTTACCACTTCAAAAATGAACCCAAATGCTGAAGTTGGACACACTGCTGCTGCTAAGTTCTAGCAGCAAAAGTATTTCCTAGGCGTCTGCCCATTTTACCTGCCCTGAGTAGGGATACCCTGAGAGGAGTGATGCTGCAGGCCTGTCCTTCCTTTATTACTTCCTCAGCCCATAGTCCAGGTCTTCCTAGTCTCTCAAAGACAACAATGGTAATGACCACAACAACAATCATGATGGTGGTGAGGATGGTGACAAGGATGGTGATGATGGTAATAGTGATGATGATCATGATGATAATGAAGAGGATAATGGTAATGATAACAATAGTGATGGTGATGATGGTGACAAGAATGGCTGTGATGATGACCATGGGATAATGTTGGTGATGGTAATGATGATGAGGTGACAAAGATGGCAACAAGGACGGTAATGATAATGATAATGATGATGATGGTGATGAAGATAGTGATGATGACGATGGTGATGATGATGATGTGATGATGATGATGGTGGTAATGGTAATGATAATGATGGTGAAGTGTTGATGGTGATGATGATGGTGGTAATGGTAATGATAGTGATGGTGAAGTGTTGATGGTGGTGATGATGGTGATGATGATGAGGAGGAGGATGCTAGCGATTATGATAATAATGATGGTTGTGATGATGATGATAGTGGTGATGGTAATGATAATGATGGTGAAGTTGCTGATGACGGTGATGATGATGGTGATAAGAATAATGGTAATAATAATGATGGTGGCGATGATGGTGATGATGAGGATGAGGATGATGGTAATGATGATGACAATGATGGTTGTGATGATAACAATGGTGATGATGTTGGTGGTAATAGTAATGATAGTAATGGTGATAGTGTTGATGATGACAAGGATGATAGTAATGATAATGAGGGTGGTGATGATGGTGAGCGTGATGATTATGATGGTGGTGATAATTGCGGTGGTGGTGGTGAAGATGATGACAGTAATGATAAGGTAATGTTTGTAGCTTGTCAGTACTCTTTGTCAGGCACCGTACTACGCACTTATCATTTATCTCATTTCATCCTTCAAAGAGCCCAGTGACAGGTGCTACTATAATCTCCACTTTATACATAGGAAGAAATTAAAGCTCAGCAAGTAAGTAATATGCCCAAGGAACACTTAGCAGGTGGCAGAGTCTGGATTACAAAATTTGGGTCTTTCTGGCTCCAACCCCAGCTCTTCACCACTACGTGAGACAGCTTCTGAGGTGGCTCCTCCTAGCCTCCTGGCCTCCCTTGCTCACTTGCTCAGGCCCTGGATCCCTGACCTCCATTATTGTGTCACTTTGGTGATGGGTTCCAGGATCTTGGGACCAACAGAAGAGAGAGGGAAACAAAGTTCCCCATCCTCCAATCCCAATTTCTTAGGCAAAGGAGCAATCCTAAAAGTTGACACCCTTGGAAGACAGGAGGCTGACAGCCTATCTGCATTGGGACACAATTGTTCCTGCAGGGTTTATCAGCCACAGGGTGCCTGCAAGGAGATGTAAAACATGGGGGTTTGTTTCTAGAGAGAAAGCTGCTGCTAAAAGGCTGTTAGATACTTTATCTGAAAGGCCCGGAGCAGGGATTTCTGGGACAAGGTCTACTGGGCCAAATCTATTCAGATAATCTCTTCAATATTCTCCCAGTCCCACACACCTAACTTCTTATCTTCTCAAACACTCTTCAGAGGCCCCCTTTTTGCCTTGATCCTCTCCTACAGTCCAGCTATAATATATGGACAGCTCTTAATGACAAAGTTACCTATACAGGTCATGAGATCCAGCCTTCTGATGCACATGGTGGGGGACTCAAGCTGCCTTGAGTCACTGAGAGTCATCCCTCAGCCCTGAAAGTTGGAGTGCAGAACTAGGATGAATCACAATTCTATCCAAGGTGACGCTGAAGTTGGAGAAAAGGGCAAGTTACTTTCCAGACCAAATATGTAATCATAAAGTATTAGGCCCAAGAAAATCTACAGAGGCTAAGGCAGCCCCCTACCTTGTCACTTAAAGGAATTGTGACTCAGAGTGAGTAAATGACTTTCCCAAGTTCACAGACATTCAATTTTACCTAAGCAACCTGCCCACTAGACTAAATCCAATTTGTCCTTCAGACTAAACTGAAGGGCCATGTCCTCTGCTTCTCCGACACCTCCAACCTCTGGCTAACTGAGATCCCTCCTCCATCGTATTGCACCACTCCATCATCATGGATGTACTTACCAGTATCCTTCATGAATCCAACCTCCCTTTAACCAGGAACCATTCATTTTTCTCCTCCACTTTCCTTGCATCTGGACCTGAACCTGATACTCAGTGAGAATTTTTTTTTAAAAACTGGTATCATTAAAACTTTTTTTTATTATTATACTTTAAGTTCTAGGGTACATGTGCACAACGTGCAGGTTTGTTACATACGTATACATGTGCCATATTGGTGTGCTGCACCCATTAACTCATCATTTACATTAGGTATATCTCCTAATGCTAATCCCTCACCCCTCCCCCAACCCCATGACAGGCCCCGGTGTGTGATGTTCCCCTTCCTGTGTCCAAGTGTTCTCATTAAAACTTTCAAACCAGGTCTTCCAACTCCCCCTTCAATTTTCTCCCCAATATGATGAGGGGCCTGTCCACCCTGAGATAGAAATTTCATGTATCAGGGAGAGGAGATAGGGCCGGGGATGTCCCCCTCATGCACTGGCTCACACTGAGCCAAAGGCTGGTGTGGGAGAGGGGAAGATATTCAAATGTCCACATCTCCATTTTTAGCACTTTACTTAAAATGTGATTAAAATGGACTTTCTTGCTGGTGCCTCTGCTCTCTTCATCCTCTGGTGTCCAGCATCATCCAGGGAAGAGAGGATGTCCCTCTGGTGGAGCTGCAAGAACAGGGGTGTGGTTATCTGGTCACATCTCACCCCCATACTCAAGTATGTACAAGCTACTGTTCAAAGTAGAAAGAGAGCAGATTAGATCAGCAACTCTGAATTTCTTCTGCTACCATGTAGGAATATAAGGAAGGCCAACAGTCATTTTCAGAGCAGCTGGGCAGAGAAAGGATAGACACAGGGGAGGACAGCTCACACCTGTCTGACACCTACTGTGTACCATTTCCCGTCCAGTGTTTTCATATGTTATCTGAATAAATATTGGCAAGGTTTGGAGGTATTATCTCCATTCTATGAATAAGGAAATCAAGGTTAGTAACTGGTCTGTGGACACACAGCCAATAAGTGGCTATGTCTCAGTTAGAACCCAGGACAGTCTGTTAACACTGCCCTTGCTTTTTGCACAATTTTGTGCTGGAAACTGAAGACTTTCTCCATGCTTGTAGTCACCTAGTATTTCCATGCCTTCCTGTAGGTCACCCTCTGCACCACCAGCCTTATTCCTGCTCTTCTCACAATCTCAAGAGAGCTGCTTTCTGCACAGGAGACTGAAAAGTTGCACACTTGACTATTTGGCAGCTTTGTTAGGACTCAGAAAAAAACATGTTACCAGATGAGTAGGTTGCAAAAATTTTTTTCTGCCATTCTGTAGGTTGCCTGTTCACTCTGATGGTAGTTTCTTTTGCTGTGCAGAAGCTCTTTAGTTTAATTAGATCCCATTTGTCAATTTTGGCTTCTGTTGCCATTGCTTTTGGTGTTTTAGACATGAAGTCCTTGCCCATGCCTATGTCCTGAATGGTATTGCCATCTGACAAAGGGCTAATATCCAGAATCAACAATGAACTCAAACAAATTTACAAGAAAAAAACAACTCCATCAAAAAGTGTGTGAAGGATATGAACAGACACTTCTCAAAAGAAGACATTTATGCAGCCAAAAAACACATGAAAAAATACTCGTCATCACTGGCCATCAGAGAAATGCAAATCAAAACCACAATGAGATACCATCTCACACCAGTTAGAATGGCAAACATTAAAAAGTCAGGTAACAACAGGTGCTCGAGAGGATGTGGAGAAATAGGAACACTTTTACATTGTTGGTGGGACTGTAAACTAGTTCAACCATTGTGGAAGTCAGTGTGGTGATTCCTCAGGGATCTTGAACTAGAAATACCATTTGACCCAGCCATGCTATTACTGGGTATATACCCAAAGGATTATAAATCATGCTGCTGTAAAGACACAAGCACACGTATGTTTATTGCGGCACTACTCACAATAGCAAAGACTTGGAACCAACCCAAATGTCCAAAAATGATAGACTGGATTAAGAAAATGTGGCACATATACACCATGGAATACTATGCAGCCACAAATAATGATGAGTTCACGTCCTTTGTAGGGACATGGATGAAGCTGGAAACCATCATTCTCAGCAAACTATGGCAAGGACAAAAAACCAAACACCACATGTTCTCACTCATAGGTGGGAATTGAACAATGAGAACACATGGACACAGGAAGGGGAACATCACACACCACACACCGGGGACTGTTGTGGGGTGGGGGAAGGGATAGCATTAGGAGATATACCTAATGCTAAATGATGAGTTAATGGGTGCAGCACACCAACATGGCACATGTATACATATGTAACAAAGCTGCACGTTGTACACATGTACCCTAAAACTTAAAGCATAATAATAATAAAAATTTTAAAAAAAAAGAAAAAACGTGTTACCTAAAACAGCAGCTTAACCTGGATGAGTATATGCAGAGGAAGAAGACAGAGGCACTGGCCCCAAGCCACCAAATCCAAGGTGGCCTTCTACCCCACCATCCTCATTCCATCGACTTCCCACAAAACAACCCTGGACCCTGACCACATACAGGGTAACAACATCAGAATTTCTTCTTTAGGAAAAAACATGCATTATGTTGTCTTTCCTCAGGATCATCTCATGATGCCTTTTATAGTCTTTGCACAAATCAGCTATTCCATGAGCTGGGCCAGGTAGGATGCTGTTGTGAGTGGCCTTCTTTCAGGATACACAGCAGAGTGTGTACATCCTCATTCTGGAGTGTGCACAGGATGACACTGAGTCTCCTGCATAAAGTTGCCAGAATAAAGTGTTTGGTGTGTGGCAATGCAGCTACGCTGGGGGCACTCAGGTATTACATGCTACGACTTTTAGATACAATTTGGAAGATCTGTTCATGTTCCCAATGTCAAGTGGAAAGAATGGCCCAGGCAAGTGAGAAGACTTCCTTGGAGACAAACCTATCCTATGTGGAGCTGCAAGCCACCGTGGAGTTGTTCCAGCGTCGGCAGGTGTCAAGCTTACCTCCCCTTGCTTGGGTACTCTGTCACTTCACCACTGTCTAAAAAGCAGGTATACTGGGTTTCTATAAAAAGCAATGACTGTTTCACTCTATAGCCGTTTATGGCATTAAACTTGGGGCTCTTCCAAACCTGCACAAGATTCTCACTATGGCTCTAAACAGCAGCCAATGTAACCATAGAACTAATGAGGGCTACAGCCCATAAGTCACGGGGGAGGTAGGCAGGTTTGGTAAGTTATGCACTCAGAGCAGTTCTATTATCCCAGTGCAACCCATTACAGCATCATTAGCAAGAAAATAACATTCAAGGTATTAATACTTGTAATAATTCCACTAATAAACCTGTTTTCCAAGATGAAAAATCCCTCCATGGATCATTTTAAAAGTGCTACTTGGCCAGAGTTTGCTGATGCCATGAATAAAGAATCCTAAATGCTTCTAGTCCTAAATATCCTACCCTGAGCCACACCCACCTGCAAAAGCTTTTCTTTTTTCCCACATGAATTTGTTGTCCTCCAGAAACCGAGTCTCCTTTAAGTTTACAGCTATTATTTTTGAAATTTCCCAAGTATATATAACCTTTTTCCATTTGAAACAACTTCATTAAAGAAGTAGATTTTGCTTAAGGGATATGGCTTTCAGATTTTCTTTAACAAAATCATCATCTTAGCTTATGGTTTCAGGGAAGACAAATGATTATTTAGATTGAACTCTCAGGCACTGAGGGAGGACTCAGATCATATCGTACAGATATAAACACCACAGCCCCTGTCCTTAAGTCACTTACAATCTAGTGAGGGGGACAGTGCCTTAGAAACTCCAGTCCAATCTAGTAATTACCATGGAGATGTTTACACAGAGCCTGGAGAACATAACTCTGCACTGGGGGAAAGGTAACTAGAGAAGGACTCCTCGAAGAGGGTAATACAAAAGCTAAGTTTTTCTCTTTTTTTCCTGTTTATTTTACATTGAAAGAGTTAACTTTATTGAGGCATACTGGACATAAAATAAACATAATATACTTAAGATGCACACTTTGATATGTTTTGACATAATTGTATACCCATGAAACCATCGCCACAATCGGAATAATGAACATATTCATTAGCCCCAAGCTTTCTCTTGCCTCTTTGTAATGTCTTCTTCACCCCCTTATTTTCCCCTCCTCCTCAGGCAAACTATGACCTGCTTTCTGTCACTAAATATTACTTTACGTTTCCTAGAATTTTATATAAATGGAATCATATAGTACATACTCTTTTTTATCTGCCTCCATTCATTGGCAAAATTATTTTGAAATTCATACCCGTGTTGTAGTGTGAGTCATTCTGTAGTTCATTCCTGTTTATCACTAGTCATCTTCCATTGTATGAATCTACATGAATTTATTCATTCACTGGAAGATGGACATTTGGTGTTGTTTCCAGTTTTGGCTACTACAAACAAAGTTACATGAATATTTATGCAAAAGTCTCTGTATAAATATATGCTTTTATTTTTCTTGAGTAACTGCCTATGAGTAGAATGGCTGGATCATATGGTAGGCATATGTTTAATTTTTTTAAGAAACTGCCAAGCTATTTTTCAAAATGGCTGCACCGTTTTATATTCCCAGCAGCAATGTATAAGAGTTCCAGTCGTTCTACATCCTTGCCAACACTTGATATGGTCAGTCTTTCTCATTTAGGCCATTCTAATAAAAGTGTAGTGTTATCTCATTGTGGTGTGAATTTGTATTTTTCTTTTGACTAACAATGTTGAACAACTTTTCATGTGTTTATTTGCCATTTATATATATTCATTGATGAAGCATCTGTTCAAATCTTGTGGCCATTTTCCCATAGTTTTCTTTCTTATTATTAAGTTTTGAGAGTCCTTTATAAAATATGAATACAAGTCCTTTATTAGATATATGATTTGTAAATATCTTTTCCTAGTCTAAAGATTTTCTTTTTACTTGGAACTGAGTTTTGAAAGACAATTAAGTGTGGAATTTTGGCGGAAGTTGTGCCAAGAGGAAATAACACAAAAGAAAGAGATGAAAGTGTGGAAGAGCCTGGTGAGTTCTAAAAAGTACAGGTAGTTCTGAGTTGCTTGAATGTAGAGTCTGAGAGAGAGTGGCAAAGAATGGAGCTGGAGGAGTCATTATCTTAAAAGTGATAGGGAGCCAGTGAGGAATTTTAAACTGGGGAAAGGCATAGTCAGCTCTGCAATTTAGAAAGGTCATTAATGTAGTAACATGGAGAGAATAGGGAGCTAAGAATTGGGAGACTATTTGAGAAAGACAATAGAGACCTGAAACAAGTGCGAATTATTATCTCTAGGCAAGGGAAGAGGACCTCTAAAAAAATACTAAGGGAGCTAGAACGTGTTGAGGCAGGATTACAGGCAGTCACATAAAGGAAAAAGATGTGCCTTGTCCACACGCAGAGCAGCAGTGCTGAATGTCAAGTCAGTAGGATACCTGGCTTGAAACGCATTTTCCTAATTTGGTGATGGATTTCTATTGACCTATCACAAGCAGACCCAAATTTAAGAAATGGCTTGCATTAGTTGGGCTCTCCAGAGAAACAGAGTCGATAGGATGAAGGATAGATTAATTGATGGTTAGACTAGATAGATAGATAGATAGATAATGATAAAGGGGACACTTATTATAGGAATTGGCTCACAGAATTATGGAATTTGAGAAGTCCCATAATATGCTATCTGAAAGCTGGAGAACAAGGAAAGCTGGTGGGATAATTCAGTCCAAGTCTGAAGGCCTGAGAGAGGGGGGCGTTGTGGAGGAGGGTGTTGGGCAAGTATAAGTCCAAGACACAGAAAGCCCAAGAGTCAAGAGTTCGGATGTCCAAGAACAAGAGGAGATGAATGTCCTAGCTCCAGAAGAAAGAAAGATCACTCTTCCTCCTCTTTTTGTTTTATTAGGACCCTCGATGGATTGAATAATGCCTGACCACAGTGGGCATCATTGGTAAAGGAAAATCTCTTTTACTCAGTCTACTGATTCAAATGCTAGTCTCTTCCAGAGACATCCTCACAAACATACCCAGAAACAATGTTTCACCCGCTATCTGGGCTTCCCTTAGCCCAGTAAAGTTGACAAATAAATTAACCATGACACTGCTTAACATGACTGCAAGGATCCAGGCTCTATTCTAAGCCTTCATATACATGCTATTTTGTCTAACCCTCACAACAATCCAGAGAGGAAAGGGTTGGTCCTAGGATATTGATTTCACAAATGAGAAAAGGATCAGAAAAATCAAGTGGCTTGTCCAAATTTCCAGTGCTAGTAAGTAGCAATACTGAGATTCTTGATCCAAGTTCAGACTTTTTCATGGCAACCTTCTGCATCTGCAATGAACCAGCTAGAGTTAGTTAGGACACCTGAGGCTTAAGGGAGAGGCCAACTGAACTATACAATGACAAACTGCAAGTTTTTGACCTCCTTAACATCTATCCCCAAAGGCATCATCAGAAGGATGATGGCCATCTGTTCCCCACACTCACTTGAAGCTCAACAGGAGAAAATTGGCTTAAAGTAGAGCTGTAAGAATGACTGTCATGCATTATTAATAAAACAAGCCTTTGCATGAAGGGTATGGGGCACTAGAACAAATTTCTAATAAAATGTCTAACATTATTGAATTTTCCCTCCAAGTGCTAGAAGCTTCACATAGAATATTTCATTGCATTCTTGCAATAGCCTTATGGGGTGGGTACTATTATTGTGCCCCATTTGCAAATAAAGACCTCAAGTCCTGGAGGGTAATAAAACTTACCCAAGGTCACACAGTTAGTGAGTGGCAGCACTAGAATTTGAATCTGTGTCTGTCTGACTCCAGTCGTGCAACACTTACTGCCTCCGGGCAGACCCATGGTATTCCAGAAGATGTGTAAGGCAAGGCAGACACCGAGGCAGGGCAGTCTAGAAAATTACCCTTTTGGGGTGAAAACTCTGATGCCCCTGCCACAGCCTAGGTGGTTCTAAAACAAACCCATGATCCTGAGAAGACCTGCCTCCATCAACAATGATGGTCCCAGGGCAGACGTCTGAGGGACAGACAAATGGTACTTTCCAGGAAGAGAACAGAAGTCAATGGCAGCCTCCTCCTGGAGATGAAAATGAGATCCTCCCAATCTCATTAGGTTCAGAAAACTCCTTACCAGCGTCGGGCCATCAGAAGCCCCTTTCCCCGCTCCCCTGCCTTCCCCCTCACAGCGTTCCCTCTTGGCGTGTCTTGGCACTGCCATAGTATACTGGGCATGAGCAGCGTCTTCGCGAGTCCTCACCTCCCCAGCGCTCCCGAGAACCTCCACGCATGTTAGCTAGTCTGTCTCTGCCCTGGCCGACCTCACTCGGTGCTATGGGACACTGGCTCCCCAAGCTTAGTGAGGAGGCAGCCCCCACTCTGAGCAGGAGCTGCAGAGTTCATCCGGCTTCCCTGTTTAGCTCTTTTCCGTTTCTCTTCCTTCATTAGGTGCCTCCCTTCCTCCGTGCCTTCTGTCTTCCCTTCGGTTTCTAATAGTGATCGAGTATAAACTGTTCGGTCTGGCCTGGGCCAAGTGCTGGGGTCCACTGGGGAGTAAGCCAGACTCAATCCCCTTCTCTGGAAGCTTGCCGTCAGTTACAGAGATGGAATTAAGCAAACAATCCCGTGATGACTAAAATTACAGCAGTGATGAGTGCTCCAAAGCTATGAAGGGGACATCCTGGGAGTGGGAGAACATACAACGAAACACTGGGCGGGAAAGAGCAGAGGGTTTGCTAAGAAAAATGACATTTAAATTGAAATCTCAAGGGCAAGAGGAAATGCATCAGGAGAAGGAGAGGCTGGGAGAGGGGTCTGGAGAAGGGGGAGCTGCAAAGGTGGGCAGGATCTAAACTCGGAGAAGATTCTGCAGTTTACCTAGATGAACTTGTAAAGAAGCAATATGTTTGTTTGTGATGGAGTCTTGCTCTGTCACTCAGGCTGGAGTGCAGTGGCGTGATCTCGGCTCACTGCAACCTCCGCTTCCTGGGTTCAAGCGATTCTCCTGCCTCAGCCTCCTGAGTAGCTGGGATTACAGGTGCCCACCCCCACATCCGGCTAATTTTTGTATTTTTAGTAGAGACGGAGTTTCACCATGTTGGCCAGGCTGGTCTCGAACTCCTGATCTCAGGTGATCCGCCCCCGCCTTGGCCTCCGAAAGTGCTGGGATTACAGGCGTGAGCCACTACACCTGGCAGGGATATGTTTTTGAGGATTTCAAGGCAAGATTTGCATTTTTAAATGCCCTCTTTGAAGTTAGGAATACAGATTTGGAGAAAGGGGCTACAGGAGAATCAGTTCAGAAGGTTATTATTGTTATTCAGGAAGAAAAAGGATGATGAAGATGTTCCGGATGATGAAGGAGGAAGACAGCAGCTTACATTCAAGTAGCAGTATCAGAGCTGGAGAGAAGTAGAGATATTTAGGTGGTAGATCACAGAACTTGGCAATTGACCAGAGTGAGGGCAAGAGAGAGGGAGGTGTCAGAGATAATTCTCAGGTTTCTGGCAAGAGCAACTCTTCCTCCTCCACATCTCCCCAATATGCCATCTCCTTCTCTTTTCCCAGCTCATCAAAGAAATAGAGTGCAGGCTATCCAGAGGATAGAATATTGCAGCATTAATGCTATTTTTGCACCGTGAAACCTGGAGGTAAAAATCTCTCTACTTGTTATATAAGAAGTGGTAAATGTCACGAGATAGGTTTGCTCCAACTCTAGGGCTTCCAACTTGTTTCCGATTAATCCAACACCTGTGTTTGGCTCTAAAAGGCTGCTGGGGTAGGAATCACATTGCTTCAGCCAACTTGCTGGACTGTCTCCTCTAGAGAAACATAAATTCTTGTGTGGCAAGAAATAATCCTGCAGAATTTATCCTGAATTTTAGGTAGAAAAAGTTTGTATTGACTTCTGTTTGAATGTTTCTATCTTTTTTCTCTAAATTAAGATAAAATCCACATGCCATATAATTCACCCATTTAAATTATATAATTCAGTCATTTTCAGGGTGTTCACAGAGTGGTTTAACCATCACCACAAACAATTTTGGGATATATTAGTCACCCCAAAAAGAAAATTCATGTTCATTAAAAGTCATTTTCTATTTATCTCCAATCCCTCCCTTCCTCAACTCCAGGCAGACACTAAAACACCCTCTGCTCCTATATATTTGCATATTATGGATGTTTTGTACAAATAGAATAATACAGTATGCAGTCTTTTGTGTCTGGTTTCTTTCACTTAGCCTAATGTTTTCAAAGTTCATCTTTTTGCTGCTCATATCAGTATATTATTTGTTTTTATGGACAAATAGTATTCCATTGAATAGCTACGCCATATTTATCTATTCATCAGTTGATGGATACTTAGATTTTTTCCACTTTGGGGTTATTATGAATAATGTTGCTATGAACATTTTGTACAAGTTTTTGTTTGGACATATGTCTTCATTTTCCTTGAGTATCTACCTAGGAGTTGGAATTGCTGGGTGTTTGAAGGCAATTCCATCTTAGAGGCAAAGATCATACCAGCTTTTAATTCATGTGCCTTTGTATAAAATGTGCTAGACATATCTTCAGAAGGAAGATAAAAAAGTACTGTTAGAGAGTCTGCAGTTTTAAGGACTGAAAGAATGTGCCTATAAATATGCTTTCTTGCAAATACATATGTTAGTTACAGCCATAATGCTGAAGGAAGGTTTAAGGAAGCAACATGTAAATACATGCTAATTAGTGTAGTGTGAACTAAGAATGTGAGTGTAAAGGTAAGAGATTAGTAAGAAGGCCTGGGATTGAGATAAATCAGGGTCTTGAATGTTCCATTGAGTTCACTTCCATCATTACTTACTAACTCAGTGCTCTGAAAGAGCTAATGCAACTTCAACCATCCCCTACATTTGCAGGTCAGAGTGAGAATAGGGGAAAACCTAGTCTAGCTGTTTAAATGCAACCACGTTCTTAAGGTCATCACATACATTCTGCCAACAGTTTTTGGCAGAACACATATCATTAGGCAAACAGTGACCCTATGTCCACCAAGTACACTGCAGGAAGGCCACCTGAGCACAACAAGAGGGAAAAAAATGCAGCCTAGAGGGAAGGGATAACCAAAGAACAAGCTCAGAGGCAGAAAACATCTAAATGACAAAAGAGGTTACTCCCCTCCAAGGGAGAACGGGCTGGACAATACACATAGGGGAAGACCTCTGGCCCCTCGGTGTTGGTGCAAGAAGAATACCAGCAGAGAATGCCACAAAATGATGGCACTCTTACATCAGCAGCACCAGGGCAGGAAGAAAAGACTCCCATCAAAATGAGAATGCCTGGGCTGCAGACCCTCCAGGGCCACTGAGACTGGAACATGTATCCATGATCACTCAGCTGGGCGAAGTTTGGCATGCAACATCCTGAAATGTGGAGTGAAGACCAGGAATTTGCAGAGCCCCACAGCTCCTGCTTCTCATTAATGATGGGCACTTCTGGCTCTAAGATACAAGTTTGGAAGGTTTTGCAGGGGAATGGGGGAAACCCCTAATTTTCACTGGTTGTCATTAATTATCTTGCAGGATCAAACATCCAAGCTTGGCCATTTCTTTTCCACGCACAGAAAGGCCCAGCAGGAATCTAGGTGGTCTATCCTGAGTTTTTGCTCTACTCCCATATCCATTCTCCTGCTTTTGCTCCATATTTGATGTACCTACTTAAAATTAAAATTTGACACTGGGTTCAGAACTGAAGGCTTTTAAGCTCCCCTTTCTGGGACTGTAATATAGACATATAGAAATATATAGAAAGCCAGGAACAGTATAGTGAAGTTCTTCAAATCTCAGAACAGGGGCTGGAATCCAGACACCAGGCCCCATCAGAAACACAAGTGTTCAGATACGATCAAAGACAATACTCTGCGGTCAGTTACCTGTTTAGTCTTCAAGTTCAAAGACAATATCCTGCGGTCAGTTACCTGTTTAGTCTTCGAGTTCTCGATCTCCTCAAGCAAACAAGGATGAGCTAGTCGCCTTATATCAGGATGGGCTGCAAAGTTGGTTCAGACCTCCTCAGGCTTGCCAGGGAACTAAGAGGGGGCTTGGCACTAGAAACAAACAGAACCAAGGTGCTTCCAGTTTCCCAGCCCTCCTTGCCACACCCATCTTGCAGAAGCAGGGTCCTGGCAGATTTGTTGGGTTTTGAGCCACTTGTTGAGTATTGACAGAACCAGGCCGGCTAACAAGAGGATGAGCCCTCAGAGCCTTCTAGTGTTTGGGGAAATCAACAAGAGAAGACTCTGACACTCTACAGCTCTCAGGTGCTTTTTCTCCCACTTTGCCTGCCACTTTTTCACCTTCCTTCAAGGTACTGTCCCTCAGTAAAGCCATTGGCTTCTTTCCCATGTTTTGAATCACCACAGGTTGTTTTGCAGCAAATGGATGGAGGAAGGAGGAAAAAAATCTGTTACCAGCTCAAGTACATTTTGCTCTGTTAATCAGCATTTAAAAAATTATCTTTTTCATTCCTTAGAGAAGTTGGCAGAGGTTCCCAACTGTTTTGAGAAAATGTAACCACCAGACCATCTGGGGCTGACATTTTCAACATGGCAGTCAGGGGAGCTCATCTCACGCGCTCTGTGGCTGATAGAGAATGCAGCTTCTGCAGGATCCCCCAGGCCAGGTGGTGGTATACGGAAGCCTCTTGCATACAGGCTCACTTAGAATCGCGCCCTCTGCCCTACAGCTTTTCTAAGGCCTCTTCCCCAGCTCCCCCCATGCCAGAGATGCAGGCTTTCAGAGACTGTATCTTGTAATATTAGTAATAAATGTTGACTCTGAGAATATAAAAATGCCCTCCAAGTTTGAAGATCCACTCTTGTTAAATAAAACTTACGACCACAAGAGACAAAGATGAAAGTACATATATATGTTTACATGTGAAGCAAGAGTGATTGTTTAGCTAACAAGACTGGGGAACGAAGATTTCTTAATAACTAGGTCAGCCAAGGGCAGTTAAGGGAATTGTACAGAACAGCATAGAATCATTGGTGAGTCCCTCCAGGCCTCCTAAACACTTGCAGAGCCAAAGTCCACCTAATAGCTATTACTGCTGCTGAAGTCGGCTATCCCAGTGCTACAGATCTCATCCTTATTAACCACAGAACAGTCCTCACGGGTGCCAGCTGGCCCATGTCAAGACACAGATGACTGACCACCTCCCTTAATTACTTTCCCGGCAAACCACCCCACCTTTTACTCATTTAGGTTCACACCGCATACTTCACAAAGATAAACATAAAGAAAGTCCTTGCTTTTTGGGAAATGTGGCTGGTTAGAGGCAAGGACATTCTTTATGTTTATCTTTGCCACTAACCATCATCTTTCTCACCTAATATTAATGCAATTGGGACCAAAACTAGATGATCCCTGAGAAAACCCCCTAGGAAAAGTATGTGAGCTCAATCCTGCAATCGCTCTCCACCAAAGTTCTTGTTCATCAGCCATTGGCCACTATGATATAAGAAAAAGCCAGGATAAATCAAAATAAACTACAATGGATGTATCACTTCTGTGCGTTTCCATGCTGAGGTGGTAAAGGCTTTGCTCTAGGGTAGTAATTGCCGTGTATAATTAGAAGGCAATTATGTTCAAAACACACTTAGGGAAGCTGGGATTCCCTGTGCCCAGCACTGTGCCAGGGGTAGGAATACTGAGACAAGCAATTCGCCATCTAGGCAAGAGAGCCAAAGCATCACTGTGATGAATGCCTTCGGAGAAGGAAGCCTGTGCAGCTGAGACCAGATGACTTTCCATAATAGGTGAGGCCCTGGCTGGCTTTTAAAGGAAGAGTAGGAGTTACTTGGACTAAGACACATAGGAAGAGAGAGGCAAGCAGAGGGAAGACCATGTGGATGCCTCGGAGGTGCTAAACAGCTTCAACTTCAAGTATTTAGGAAGAGCTAATGAAAAGAGTGTATGTGGAAGACTGGTGGGAAAGGAAGTCAGGGATGCCAACGGGACCATTTTGGGAAGGGCTTTGTGCCCTAAAAGCTGAGGCATTGAATAGTGTCTACTGTGGCACTGCATACTTAAAGTGATAGCCAGCATTGAGAGATTCTTCTGCATCAGAACCCTAAGCTCAGACTTGTCGTTAGAAAAGACAAGTCTTTTCTACATGATGCCTGTAATTACATGATTACATGTTTACATGATGCCTGTAATCCCAGCAATTTGGGAGGCTGAGGCAGGTGGATTGCTTGAGCCCAGAAGCTCAAGCCCAGCCTAGACAACATGGTGAGACCCTCATCTCTACAGAAAAATACAAAAATTAGTTGGGCATGGAGGTGCACACCTGTGGTCCCAGCTACTCCAGAGGCTGAGGCAGGAGGATCAGCTGAGCCCAGGGAAGTTGAGTCTGCAGTGAGCTGTGATTGTGCCACTGCAATCCACCCTGGGTGACAAAGGGAGACCTTGTCTCAAAAAGAAAGAAAGAAAGATCACAAGGAGATGAGATTCCAGCACACAGAACATCCATGATGAGGTTCCAAGGAGAAGGCAGTGCTACAATCAAACAGACCTGGGTTAATCCTCTCCTCACCCCAGCCCGTGGAAACCACTTCTCTGCCTCCTGTCCTATAGTTTGTCTTTTCCAGAATGTCCTACAACTGGAATAATAGAGTCATTGGCTTTTTGAGTCTGGCTTCTTTCACTTAGCGTAATGCATCAGACGTCCAGCCACGTAGTTGCAGGTGTCAGTCGTCTTATTGCTGAGTAGCATTCTTCTGGGTGGGTGCAACACAGCTTATTTATTCATTCCCTGGCTGAAGGACATTGGGGTTCTTTCCACATTATTGGAGATTATGAATAAAGCTGCTATAAACATTCACATACAGGTTTTATATACACGTAGCTTTCTTTAACTCAGGCAAATACCTAGGAGTGGGATTGCTGGGTTGCATGGTAAATGTATGTTTAAGTTTATAAAAATTGCCAAACTCATTGCCAAGGTGACTGTACTATATTGTATTTCCACCCCAAATGTACCAGAGTTCCAGTTGCTCTACCTCATTGCCATCACAGCAAAGTAAGAAGCATGCAGTCTTATCTCACTATGCGTTTGATTTGCATTTTCCTAATGACTGATGATGTTGAGTATTGACTATCTTTTGACTGAAAACATTGGTTGGCACATAATGGGTGCTCTGTACATACTTGCTGCATAAATAAATCAATGTCACCATTATCATCCCCTTTACCATCATCATTTCTGCAAGAAGAGATGAGAGACTGCGCCAACGCAGTGACAATCGTACAGAAGAAACATTAAGGAGAAAGAAGTGAATGGTCTTGGTGATTAATGTAAGGGTGAATAAGACTCATCTGCAATGACTCTCTGGCTTCTGAATTGAGTGGTCTGGTAGGTGTGATGCCAGTCAGTGAGACAGGGAGTACAAGAGGAGGAGCAGGGGGTGGAGGGGAAGAGGCCAATCCCAGTTTTGAACATGGTAAGCCTGAGATAACCATGGGACAATCAAGTGGACAGTACTGGAGGCCAGGAGCTGGGCTTTTTCTTGTTCATGACTGTGCTCTGAGCACCTACAGATTTAGGAATGAACAGCACATCTTATTTGTCTTATATCCTTTCGCATTTTCCACAATATCCCTGAAACTTCAGCCATAGATAAGGATGTGCCTTTCAGAAGATTCACTTCCCCAGGTTCACAATGTTAATGAGTAATTTGCCAGGACTTGAACTTGTACTCGCCAAGGGCCATTTTTAGCACTTAGGAGGAATTGGGAAAACATGGCAATTACACACAGGAGCCCTTTCTGGGCAGATGACACTTCCTGCAGCTGCTATGATGCTGGGCTGGATCACACGGTTTGCCAAGTGGAACCCAGGGTGGATTTCAGCTTGTCCTCACCCCTTCAGACAAGCATCCTTGTACAGGCACAACCACGCATGTAGACCTTGCCTCTGATACCAACACCTGTGCTGCTCAACCACCTCATGCTGCTTCCAATTCCACTGGTCAGTGAACATAAGCCATGGTATTTAAAACCAAGCCTCACTTACATATTAATACAGGCTATTAACTATACTGAAGGAAACTGCAACTTACAAACTTCCCCAGGAATAAGTATGTCAACTCTAAGTTATGTATGTCCCACTTTTGGGTGTTGTATAGTCATTATCAATTTCATAATGTCTTTCAAGTGCAAAAATAACAAGCATGTTGAATATAGTACTAAGAAGAGGCAGTGGCCACAATGAAATAAAATTTAAATTTACGCCGATGTATGGGTATCCATTATCTATAAATATCACATGGATGTTACATGCAACAACGTCTACAGATACAGGAGTTTTTGTATCTGCATATATAACTTAATATGATTTATCATATCTTTAATAAATCTGTATATAAAGCCAAATTTTATAATAGGGCAAGAGGTCTTGTCAGTCTTTCATTTCCCTGCCCACCTTACCTTCTCACTCCCTCACATTAAGAGGAAAGGCAGTTCACATAGGATATCTCACCTCCATGTCAACTGCTTCCTCTCTCAGTGCAGGGAGTGAGTCCGGGGGGTGGCTGAAGAGGAGATCAACTATAGATCTGTCTTCAAGAGAGGGCTTTACACCCCCACACCAACAAACCCTGACCCAAGGTAGCGATGGGTCAACAGCAAAAAATTCCAAGGGCTGGAAAATTCAGAGCACCTGTCCTGGTTTTTGAGATGCCAATAGTTCCTGTATGAAAGCTGATTTGTATGTGGAAGACAGAATCGTCAAATAATAATAGCTACTGTATAGCACCTGTGTGTACCATGCACTGTCCTAAAAGCATTATACACATTAAGTCACTTAATCTTCACAACAAAACTGAGTTTTATATTATTAGTAACCCCATTTCACAGATAAGCAAACTGAGGCACAGAGAGCTAAAGATCACAAAGAGCTAGCAAATGTCAGAATCCGTATTCAAACCAGAGTCCACACAATCAGCCACTACACCATTCTGCCACTCAGGAGAAGGTGTTTGTGTCCACATATGTGCATTTGCTGACAAGTACTTTGATGGGTTTTTATAAAATCATAACTGAGGAAGTTGGAAAGATCTATGAAGAACAAATCCTGCCCCCTCACTGTGCCTGGAAGAAAGAGGGGGAAAATCTCCATTTCATCTGCCGCATGCAAGAGAAACTTGTGATGTTGAATATCAAAGTTGGCCCTTACACAAGGCTGAATACTTCAAGGAATAAAATGAGGGCCATCCTCCAGTCAGACAGAACAGACACAAGTGCAAATTCCAGTGGCCTCCACGACAAAGAGAAAATTAACTCACCCACTACCAGCCTGCTGCTCCTTGACCAGGGACCCACTGGAGTCAGGGGGTGCAGAGACATCATCCTTGAGTGCCCACCTTTGACACATGCCAGCCTGGACTTGAGCACTTTCTGGATTCAAGGACCAGCCCTTTTGTGCGGTCCTTCCCTCCCTTTCTCTTTCATCAGGATGTCTGGCTGTTGCAACCCCTAACACATGAAGGGACGTCCTAGGCTTTTTAAATACAACATAGCAAATGGACCTCCTTCTTGGGATACAGAAAAATAAAATCTCATCAGCAAGAGGCCCTTCTTTTGACAACATGGATCCTGTAGCTGCTTAGACACAATCCAGCAGCCTTTCCTTTAGCCCTTCATGCTGAGTGGATGATTCAGTCACTGGGCTACTCCCCTCTGGGTTAGCAACTCCTCGACCAAGACAGACACTCCCTGCAGGCAACTGATCTGCAGTCCAGTGGCTGCAGTGCTTGGCAAATGGCCTTACGCTCATTGCAGGGCCCAAACACAGATGATTGCTCTGAGGTAGAAGGGCAGGAAACAGGCCTCCAAAACAACCCTTAGTCTCCCCTTTGCTCACACCCTCAGGCCTAGATGAGGTACCCAGCTGGGGCTGGGGCAAGGGATTCCTGCACCTGCTCCCTCCTGGGTCACTCCCCAGCCAGCAATTCCAGGCTGTGCTGAGAAGAGCTGTGCAACCCAAAGACTTGAGGGACTGGGAACTGCAGAGTCTGTGTCTGATGAGTGCTCTCTTTCCAGGGTGTAGCATCAGAAATCAACCCTTTCCCCAAGGGTCTTTCCTATCCGACTTCTTGCATCCAATTAAAACTCTATGAAAGCCAGCCTGCTGTTAGGACACACTCAAAAAAAAAAAAACTAACTCAACAGCCCTCAAGTGGCAAAGGTATAATTCCCATTTCTGTCAAAATGCCAGACAAGTGGGTCAGGACCTGGGATGTCTGATTCTTTCACAGCCACTGCACTCTAATGATGCATGAAGCCCAGGGAAAGGGAGGACGCAGAAAGAGAGAATAAAGGCACAGAAAAAAGGGTCTTCCCAAGGAGGTGGGTCATCAGCCATGATACTACCAAAACTGACCAATCCGTCATCTGTCTCCAGGCGGAACCCCTTATCACAGAGTAAATAACACTGAAGGGATCTGCATGATTCTGAAGACAGTCCCAGAATGAAGAGCCTTTGGGAACCCATGTGGGGTTTCTCAAAGGGTATTCTTACATCTGTTCCACTTCAGTAGGAGTTGCAGCCACCCAGAAGTTCTGCTGCCTACCATTTATAAGCTTTAATTGCTTTTGTAGCCCACTTCAACCCTGGGATGTAGAGTGAAGAAGCAACCTGACCTGAATATCCACAGGGCTAGCAATTTGAGAAAATGATAGCTGGATTGTGTCCAGGATAGGTTTTCTTTACCTGTTCACTGTTCCCCATCCCTAAGACACCCTGTGGGACAGTTTACAGCATGTCAACTCATTTAATGCTGCATAAAGAAGCCCATGAAATGCTGACACCCCATTAAAGCCTATACAGCAACTCATATCTGCAGCTCCTTTATTTCTTCCAGATGCCACGTCAAACATGAACTCAACCAACCTCTCTGCAAGGCAAGCCCCACCCTATCTTCCTCCAGCAGGAGGTAGGAGGTTGGTAAAGAATGCCAAGTGCAGAGAGGTACAGGATGAAGGAAGCCGAGAAACCAAGGCAAACTGACCATAAATAAGTTACAAGTGACCCTGTGTCCACGTGTATACACTGAATCAGGATCTTCTGGTGCTTGAAAAGCAACAGTCTTGAGAAGGACAGTCCCTGTGCACAGAGCCATGATTTATAAGGCCCTGGGTCTCACTGACCAACCAGACATTCCCCTGACCTACTCTTTCCCCGTTTTCTGCAAAATAGGGATAACAATGTGATAGGATGCAAGTCAGAGCAAGGCCGTTCATAAGTCTACCATTCTTTACTTAGCACTAAAACTCTAGAAATGTGTATTGCCTGCCTGCTCCACTGAATTACTTCCCATCTAAGCACTTTTCCCCATAGAAAAGGCTGTTTAAAATTCACCTCTCCTATCATGTCATGCAGTTTTTACTTAGACCAGACGAAGAGGTGTCTCTGCATCCACAGCTTCCCACAGAGGGTCTTTAGCACCCCCGACTTAGCAGCAGCATCCTTCAATCCTTGTCTCTCAGGATGCTTTATGGGGATAAATGACCGTGTTAACAGAGACAAATAACAACAGAGAGAGAGAGGTAAATGAAGACGTATGAGGCTGAGATATGAAAGAAGATGGGGAGTCAATGAGGTAGAAATATACAAGAAGACGATCACAGGTGGCAGGAATGACCAGCAAGGTTCTGACCTCAGCAAGAGGATTCCATCCCCGGAGAGTGATCAAGTTATCTCTGAGGGGTGGAAGAACCAAATGTTAGAATATTACTTCTCTCTGTCCTGCAGTGCAAGATGTTGATACAGTGGAATGATCATGGGCGTTGGCAACAGACAAGCCGACATTTAAATCTGAGTCCCACCCCTTGCCAGCCATGACCAAGTCCCCCTGCCACTCGTGCCCTGTGCTTCTAGAGCAACCATGGTGGTCTCAGGATGCTGGAGAGAGAGCTGGTTCACAGCAGGTGAGGCCAGTTCCCACATTTATGTCTTTCTCCTTAGTGTGGGTCCCAAGGACAAGAAGCTAAATGAAATGGCAGTGCTAAAAGACAAAAGATACAGGGCAAATGGCAAATCCACCTGTTTCACCTTCTCTCTTGATTCCACTTCACCTGCTGACTTCTTCCCTATGTACTGGTTTTCCCTTTCACTTCATCACATCACAATGCTGCCACATTTCCTTTCCCTCTTTCTCACCTCCTCAGAGTCTTCTTTTTCCCTTATTTTGCACACATTATGATTTGTGGTGGCCTGCCACCAAAATGGCCCCCACCTAGTATTCACGAGCTTGTGTAGCACTCTCCCCTCCCACAAGGAATAGGGCTGAACCATGCAAGCCAACAGGATATTGCAAAAATGACAGCAAGTGACTTCTGATGCTAGGTCACAAAAGCTGTGAGGCTTCTACTATGCTCTCTCCAGACCCCCCAAGCTGGGGGAATTCTGCCCATGTGGTGTGAGGGCACTCATGAAGCAGCACTATGGTGGGGTCCTTGTCACAAGAATCTAAGGCCTCCAATCAACAGCTGATGTGAGGAAGTCATCTTGGAAATGCATCTCCACTCTCAATCAAGCCTTCAGGTGATGGCCTACAGCCTGACTGCACCCTCCTGGAGAGACTCCAAGGCAGGACCAACCAGCTAAGTCACTCCTGGATTCCTAACTCACAGAAACTGCAGGAGATCAAGGCACATTGTTTTATGTCATCAAGTTGGAGGCGATTTGTTACACAGAAATAGATAACTAATACTATCTTCCCTTATATGTTTCAGCCTCTTACCACTGTGCCCTGTTGGTTTGCTGGCTGTGCCAGGATGCCAAGTTTGTATCTTTATCTCTGGGACAGATTTTTCAGAACTTGTACTGTGATTTCCATTGACTGAACGCTTTTCTTTCTGATTCAGTGTAAATATTCCACAAAGACCAGATTTCTTTTCTGCAAATAGGCTCATTCCAGAAGCTCCCTACATTTGATTAATGCTGTGCTACATAGTTTCTTAGGGATTTTCGTATTCAGTGTCTACTTCAACCTTTATCATAATTTTGTAGGATAGCAAGGGAAAAACATCAGCCACATTTTACAAATGAAGTAATTGAGATCCAATGCATTTAACTGATTTGCACAAAGACACAGTTATTATATTTAATGAAAAAACTAGAATTGGAAACCTGGTGTCTTTCCACTGTTCTATCTGCCCCTTCAACATAGGCAAATCAAATATCCATTGATCCTAGCTTTATGGCTAGACATCTAAGCAATGCAACATGGATTCAACTGTCATAGATTTTATAAAGGTGAAACACTTATAAATATGTCCATATGAAAAATAAAATGCTACCAGTTGTTCTAGTTATCTTCTGCTATATACCAAAACACCTCCAAACTTACTGCCTTAAAGCAACAAAGTCTCTCCCCTAAAACAACTTCTGTGGTTCGGTGGGCTTAGTTTAGTAGTTCTCACTTGGGGTCCTATATAACATTGCAGTTGCATTGTGGCTGAGACTAGAGTCAGCTGAACACGTCTTCACTCATACGTCTGTTGCAAGGGCTGGGGTGGCTTGACATGCTAGGATTTGGTTGAGCCTATCTCTCTGTTTTCATGCAGCCTCTCCATGTGGCTCAGTTTTGCTTCTTTACATTAAGGTGGTCTTAGAGTAATCAGACTTACTCGGTAACTGAATTCTTCTATGCATTCTAAGTCTTCTAATAGCCTTGCACAGAAGCTGCAAGTCTTCTTATGATCTAACCATATGACATTCCAGGTCTTGCATCATAAGATCCACTTCCACCACACTCTGTTGGTTAAGCAAGTTAGGAAGGCCAGTACAAACTTAAGGGAAGAGTAGAAACAGACCCCATTTCATTGGGAGTAATGCACACAGGAAAGAAAGGAAAAGATGGGGGCTGTCTTAGACGCAAACTATCAAGTCCGCCCTTGGCTCCAACAACGTATGAGCCTCCCTCATGTAAAACACATTGACCCTTTCCTCTGGCCAATAAAGTTTCATCCCATGACAGTAACAGCTCAACATCCAGGAGCTTATTTTCTAGGTTAGGTCTAGACACAAATGAGCCTCCTTCGGTATTGATCCTTAGGTGTGGCTTCTTGAGGACAGTTTCATGTGATCTGAAGACCTGTGAAATAAAGACAGCCATCTGCCCACTTGCCCACCCCAAACCTACAACAGTGAGACTTTCATGAGATAACCACTATATATATTACTGTTTCCAAGAGGGAGAAATAAATGATACCTAACAGTCATGGTTTCATAGCAGTCCTGAAATTATGTTGGGCAAATGTTTCTAGTTCCTTGGTTAAGGCCCCATTCTGCTTCCAGAAAATAATTCCTCATTCTTTCCTCTGAGCTCTTGGTTCCATCCTCTCAATATTCTTTTATTTTCTGTAAGAAATGGCTCTTGTTTTAAACTGAGCATTCTCTTTGGTTTCTTCCTGCTCATGGAAGTTTGAAGGTCTACAGGCCCCTTTCTATACTTTCTCTTTTCCTTTTAGTCCACGCTGATGTAATTCCTTTAAAAATTTTGTGAGCTTCCTATACATCAAGTTATAATCTATTCACTGAGACAAAAGCTATGGTCTTTATTTTTCTTACAGAGATAGCCCCCTTTTCTTTTTATTCATTGACCTCTGTCCAAATACTGTGAAATAGTGTTTTAAAGATACCTAAACGCTTTTTGTCTAGTTTAAAGAGTCACAAAATATGCTCTTAAGATTCTTTTCTAGTAAAGAAAGTCTAAGAGGCACAGATTTCATATTTTAGAAGTCCTATTAGGCACATCCTTAACTATTTATGAGATCCAAACAAAAGGTCTTATAACTTTAAGACTTTTACTCTGAAGCTATTCTTTACTCATAGTGGCCTGGATTTTATCTTTTCCCCGAGAGCATTTCTTGTTTGAGAATCTTTTGCTGCAAGAGCCAGGGAGAGAAATAATTTTATTTTTAAAGCCATTAAACCAGAGTTCATTTACATTTCCTCTAAATTCTGCTTGAAATCTAAATGGTTCCTTCAGAAGTTCATCTCTACTTATATTTTATAACAGGCAGCTACAAAAAAAGCCAGTTGGCACCTTTTACCTTCTGCCTGCAAATCTTTCTGGCCAGACCTACAAGTTCATTTGATATTCTTTCTCTTTCCACATTATCACAGGCAAGAGTGCCATCAGAATTTCCCCCGCATACCACAAGTGCTCCCTTTTCTCTAAGCTCCAGCAGCATTTTCATCTCCGTCTTTCAAGCCCTCACCAGCAGTCTCTTGAGGGCCTTCCAAATTTCATTGGTGAATCCTTGTGGATATTTCAGCTTCCACTCATTGCTTAGTCCAAAAACAAATGCCACATGCTTTAAGTTTATAGTATAGCAGCACCTCACTTTGAGGCACCAAAATTCTGTTCTAGTTATTGATTTCTTCTTGCAAAATAATTTCAAAACTTAGTGGCTTAAAACAGCAGTACATTATTCCTCCTCACAGTTCTTGGAGCTGATGGCTTCATCTGGGCAGTTGTCATGTGGTAGACCTCTCATATTGCTGCAGTCAGGTGGCAGCTGAAGCTGGAGCCAGCAAAAAGTCTCTCATTCCTGTACTTGGCACAGATGCCTGGAATAGCTAGGGGTTGGATGGGTATCTCTCTCTCATGTAGCTTTTCTAAATGGCTATATTGGGCTTCCTCAGATCATGGCAGTCTCAAGGTCATTATACTTCTCACTTGGTGGCTGGCTTCCCCCAGAATGATCACACTCTAAGAGGCCTTGACAAACAACCACACCAGAGCATCCCACGCTTTCTCAGTTCACAGCATCCTTAGTGCCTCAGGATCTTTTCACAAGATCCCTAGGCCAAAACAAACAATACAAAATAAAACAAAAGTTTTCACTTCTAATAACCTGGAAAAAATGCACGAATTGCAAGAAGTTTATTTTATTCTTAAATAGTTACTTACTAACAGCAGACATACCCCTGTTGGGTACTATACAACTTCTACTTTGGAATCAGCATGGGTATCATGACATGCATTTCCTGTTTCACAGTGAGTTTTGTGCAATACTTGTTTTATTATCACATAAACCACCAAAAACTGATCCTTGCAAAGATATGAAATCATTAAAATGAATGTCACATGTTGTTGATACCGCATTTTCTTGAACTAGTCATTTTTGCAATGTCTGATGTCCACATGTTTTCCTCAAAAATTGAAAATAACTCATGATGTCCCCTTGTGAGTTTCCTAGAATACCTCAGTGTGCATCAGCACAGGGTTTGGAAGCCACTCTATTACACTGATTGAATCCTGAAATTAAATGAGGAATTTGAAAAAATAGTTTTTGTTGGGTCCCATTTTTAACTTCCCATTCTCATCCACCCAGTGGTGGCTAGGCAAACAATACTATAGAGTTGGCTCTATTTGACCAACATCAGGAAGGTGTTAGAAGAATCAGAGAAAGCTTGGATCCCTCTCCAGATGTCACTATGTGCACATGACTTAGACCCAGCATTAACATCTTACATCTTTGAACTTTTATAGCCAGGTTCTTCACAGAATGCCTAAGTAAATAATAGGTTATGAATAAAAATGCGGATACAAACACCAGTCTGAGAAAACAAAGAGGGAGTGCCCATGGAAATTGCACTTGTTTGCTAGGACTGCTGTAACAAAATATCACTGACTGGCTGGCTTAACTTCTCACAGTTCTGGAGGTTGGAATTCCAAGATCCAGGCGAGACAGTAGGACTGGTTTCTCCTGAGGCCTCTCTCTCTTTGACTTGGAGCTGGCTGCCTTCTCCCTGTGTCCTCATGTGGCCCTTCCTCTGCACACAGGTATCCCTGACACCAGACATATTGGATTAGGCCCCCACACTTATGAACACACTTAACCTTAATTACCTCTTCAAATGCCCTATCTCCAAATACAGTCATATTGAGCGTTAGGACTTCCATGTTTTAATTTTGGGAAGGACAAAATTTAGCCTATAAAAAGAACATATTAGAAGAGATGCCCATGCCATTCTCTTAAGAGATCTTTCTCTTGAAGCATAAGTTTTAAATTTTTTATGAATTGGATCCTGGAGGTCCTTGACCCCCAGGAATTGCATGCAAAAATATCATGTGTAAGCACTTTTCTGGGTAGATGATCTGTGTTTGTTTTTCTAACCTCTGTATGCACCCTGGAAAGATTTTTCAAAGATTCCAAGTCCCATACTCCGAGGTTCTGATTTAATTCATGTTGGGTGGGCATCAGGCATAAATATTTTGGTAACATTCACCATTTGATTCTAATATGCAGCCAGTATTGAGAATCGTTGGTCTGAAGTCTTTCTATTTAAATTGCAGTTAAAGACCAGCATGAGCATCACCTGGAAACTTACTAGAAATGCTGAATCTCAATCCTCACCCAGACCTACAGATTCTTCATTTTTTGTCTTTTTGTTTTTGTTGTTGTTTGTTTATTTTTTAAGACATGGTCTCATTTTGTTGCACAGGCTAGAGTGCAGTGGCCAATCATGGCTCACTGCAGTCTTGACTCCTGGGCCCAAGGAATTCTTCTGTCTCAGCCTCCCCAATAGCTGGAGCTACAGGCACATGCCACAATGTCCAGCTAATTTTTCAATTTTTATTTTGTAGAGACAGGGTCTGCCTATGTTGCCCAGGCCAGTCTTGAACTCCTGGCCTCAAGCAGTCCTCCTGCCTTGACCTCCAAAAGTGCTGGGATTACAAGCATCAGCCACTACACCTAGCCAAAATCTTCATTTTAGTACGATCCAAGGGTAGTTTGTATGATATATCCATTAAAGTTTGAGATACACTTATCTATAATTTTCCTCAAATCATGAAATGAAACTGACCACAAAATTTTCAAAACCACTGAGAAAATTTTTTCAATGTGTGATCTAGAATAGCTTACACGGCAGTTCTAATTATTTTGTTTGTTTACACTATTTTAAAGAAAAGTTCGGCCGGGCACAGTGGCTCACGCCTGTAATCCCAGCACTTTGGGAGGCTGAGGCGGGTGGATCACGAGGTCAGGAGATCGAGACCATGATGAAACCCCGTCTCTACTAAAAATACAAAAAAAAAATTAGCCGGGTGTGGTGGCGGGCGCCTGTAGTCCCAGGTACTCGGGAGGCTGAGGCAGGAGAATGGCGTGAACCCGGGAGGCGGAGCTTGCAGTGAGCCGAGATGGCGCCACCGCACTCCAGCCTGGGCAACAGAGCGAGATTCCATCTCAAAAAAAAAAAAAGAAAGAAAGAAAAGGTCGTTTCTGGACCAATTACAGATAATTAATCTGAGAAATAACTGCACAATGAATTACATCCTGGCTGAACCCACAAATGACCTATTACTCATCTCTGTCGTAACCGTTAAGGGTAATTACCCAACTATCAACCTCAGTTAGTCTACATAGCATTTACCTTCAAAGATTCAGATAGTTCTTAGTAGAGAAGACAGTAGCTCAGTTGTGTTAATACTGAAAAAATAGAAAGGCCAAAAGAAAAGAAGAATAGGGAAGGATGGGAAAAAATGAGAGGGTGAGAAGCCAAATACCATGTGACTTCTAATTTCACTTCTAATATCTAAAACTTTCAGTTCATAATCCTTGACCTCCACCAAAACACCTCTCATGACTCCTATGGTTATTTTTAATAAATAAAAATGGAGCTGGGTCAGGAATAAGGAGCAGGAACAAGAAGGAACTCCTGCAAAGAGGAATAAATTACCAGAAAAAATTACTCTGGATAAGTTACTGGATGAATTTCACTGAATACATTACTGTGTAATGATGAAATTATGTAATGATGACTCAATGAGAATCACATAATTTTCTGCCTTTTTAGAAATTAATTACAAAACTTAATCCATTCACCAAGTCTGCAAATTTGAATGTATATTTTAAAACTATTATAAACTTTTTCTGTGGCACTAAATGTGGAATAGTTTTAGTTGAGCTTTATATATCTGGAGAAACCAAGAAACATTTACTCTTCCAGGTCACCTTCTCCACCCAATCGCTCCTTTAGAGGGTCCCCTTTTCATTCTTGCTTTCCATGTAGCCACCATCCTCATTACAACCCATGGACATTGGTCCTAGACTAGCAGTAGAAGGTCCTTGGGATTTGAATTGAGCCAAATCCCTGCCTTTCAGAGCTTGTGATCAAGCAGAAATACCAGATAGACCAGAAATAATAGTAAATAAATAAGTGAACAGCTTTAATAGCTGAATACATAGACAATACAATACTTTGGATATCAAAATACTCCCTTCATTATAAATTTTACTAATTATTCATGTTAAAATTTTTGCCTTACAGTTGTTCATCTCCAACCACCAACATAGTCAGTAAATATTAATTCTTAAGTCAAATATGCCTTTTTATAAGACCACCCAAAATATTTGCATTTGCTGCCATCAGTATTTGAATAAGAATAATATAAATTTAACCAATAATTATTTATTGAGTGCATAATGTGAGCCAATAACTATTTTAATTTTGTGTTTATATGTTTCACCTTTTTACATTCTTTTATTTTCAAACTTTCTGTAATGTTATATTTGAGGCATGTTTCTTACAATTAGAATATATCCAGTCTGACAATCTTAGTATTTTCCTTGAAATATTTAGTCCATTTACATTAAATGTAATTACCAAAAGTTGTGAATTCCTATTTACTAGGTTACTGCTAATTTCTACTTGACTGGTCTGCTTCATGTTTGTTTTATTCCTCTCTTTTCTTGACTTTTTTTCTGATTAATCATTTTTTAAATTTCTCTTTCCTCCTCTATTAGCTTATTAGTTATACTTCTTTTGGAAGGTATCCTAGAAATTATTTAATACAATGTTAATTTTTAAAGAATTACATCCTAAAAAAGATTATTAGCTTTATGCTGCCTTTCAATGCTAGAACACTATAATATTTTAAATCTAGTATCTCTGTTCCCAAATTTTTTTTAATTAACATGTATTTCAGTTCTACATTATTTTAAACCCACAAAACAAGAAATTATTATTATTGTCTTATACAGGTAATATTCATTTATATCTGTCTACATATTAATCCTTTCTATTGCTCCTTATTCTTGTATTGACCTGCTTATATCTGGGTTTATTTCTCTTCTGTCTGAAGAAATATTTGTTAATTATTTTAGTGTACATTTAGTGGTAACAAGTTTTTTAAATTTTGTATGTCTGCAAATGTTCTCAGTTTTTTAAGGATAAATTTACTAGATATAAAGGATTATTTGGGGGGTTGTTATTTCAACATATTAAAAATGCCATTCTATTGCTTTCTACCTTCTGTTGTTTCTGTTGAAAAGTCTGTTGAATAACTTTTCTTATTGTTTTCTTAAAAGTAATGTAGACTTTTTTAGTTTTTGATTTTCTGTAGTTTTACTATGATGTGCCTGGGTTTCTTTATATTTATCTTGCTTTACATTTATCCTAATAGAGATTCTTGAGTTTGTGGTTTGCTGCCTTTTATCAGTTTCAAAAAATTACCAAACATTCAATTTTTTGTTCAAACCCATTCCAGTTCTCTTCTACTTCTGGGGCTACATTTACATTATTTTGGATTTTTTTTTACTGTATCCAATATTTTTTCTAATTTATTTTATATATTTTTATATTTTTTCCTCTTTGTGCCTCAGTCTGTATACTTTCCATTGACCTGTATTACTCTCTTCTGCTATCTGAAATCTAATGTTAAACCTATATGAGTTCTTCATTTCAGCTATTGTATTTTTTAGTTCCAGAATTTACATTTGGTTTTTCAGTCATTTTATATTAAAGCTTCTTATGTTGAAGTAACAACTACTTCTTATTCTGAAGTAGTTTAAGATTCACAAGAAGTTGCAAAAATAGCACAGTTCTTATATACGTGATGATAATGTCTTACATTATCAAAGTACATTATCAAAACAAGCAATAATGTTGCCGTATTGCTACAATACTACTATCTGTAAAGTAAAGAACTTATTCAGATTGTGTGAGTGTTTTTTATAAAATTTTATTATGTGTAGATTTGAGTACACTATACCATTTGATTTTAAAAGCATAAATTCCAAATCTCTCTTGAAATTCTATTTTTGTTCCTCTTTATTTTCTTGAATATTTGTTGTTTTGTTGTTGTTGTTGTTGTTGTTTTGAAACAGGGTTTCACTTTGTCACCTAGGCTGGAGTACAGTGGTGCAATATTGGCTCCCTGCAACCTCCGCCTCCTGGGTTCAAGTGATTCTCCCACTTCCGCCTCGTGAGTAACAAGGACTACAGCCTCCTGAGTAACTACGAACTCCTAACCTCAAGTCATCCACCCGCCTCTGCCTCCCAAAATGCTAAGATTACAGGCATGAGCCACCACACCCAGCCTATTTTAATCACAGCTGTTTTTCAGTTTTTTGCTGATAAAGACCTAGAGGTGATTTGGATATTAGAATTAGCTATAGTCTGTTTTTCCACTTCTTGGTTTTCAGTCTCATTGCTTGTCATGTTTGGCAATTTTTTTTACTGACTGCATCACACCCATAATAACAACATATAGCAGCCCCAAATGATATTATATTCCTCCAGAGAGAGTTGGCCCCTTCTTCTGCTGAGCGGAGAATGTGGAACTGGGACCTTAACAACACCACATCGAGGAAGGAGCACAGCTTTGGTAAGGCTCTATCTACCACTGGCTTCCCCTTTGAGTTACACAAGAGAGCCTGGGGTTTTCACGAGGTACCGCTCACATTGGTGGGTTCTTAATTCTGATTCTAGCTTTCTTATTATTATAAGACTACTACAGTCTGTGTATTGTTTTTCAAAGACTTTATGCTAAGGTTCTTAGCTTCCTGTCTCTGCAATCTCAGACTTTGGTAGATGTCTTGAGCAAACACTGCACAAATTTTGGCTCAATTCTCCAGCCTACCCTTCTGACCAGGATCCTAGCCCCTCAAATCTCTAACTTTTGTCTCTCTAGTTCCTACAAGATTGCCAAAAGTTCTTCTCATTTCTGGGCATTTTAGCAGTGGTCCTCTGCCTGAAACCCTGTCTGAATTCTCAGTCCCTTGTTTTAAGTTCAGAATCAGAAAACACTACCTCATCTCCCAGAAAAGATCTGTGGAATATCACATTACACCCCTGAGGATTCCCCTTTGAGGGTATTTTGGACCTCTAGTCCTCAATGCCTCAGTCTTCAAATCGAGTTTTTTACTTGAAATGTCTAGTTGTCTAGTTGTTCTCAAAGAGATCACTGGTCTGCTACAGTCTAATCTAATATAGTCAGAATCTGGAAATATAGAACTCCCTGACTGTAGGTCTTACATTTCAATAGGTGTTAGGTCAAGAAAGGCAACAACAAACAACAAACAAAAAAATAAACAAGATAATTTCACAGAATGTTAAATGCTATGATGGAAATAAACAGAATGACATGAAAACTCTGAGGTAGCCAACTGCCTTCCGTTTCACATCTGAGGATTCACAAAGTGACTGAGGGAAAATCTCTGTGAAAAATAGCTCCCATTGTCCCCATTTTGTAGATAAGAACATCCTAATCTTTGGGGTACCATTGTTCTTCACTCTCCAGCAGTCATGCCAGGCTGGGGAACCCTCAGGTAATGAGATAACGATGGCACTAAATCTGACCCAAATCATTAGGGATTATGCACCTCAGCACAGACGCCCCTTCCTAACCCAAATCAGAAAAGAGAGAAAATCTTCCAGGACTTCCCCATTATACACATTTAGCGCCTGCTAGGAAAGACGCCACTGGAGGGCACTTTGGTAAATGGAGCTTCCTAGGTCTGTCTTCAGCAATTGCGGGAACCATCATTCTGAGGCCTGCTCAGCTGCCATAATTCACGGGTCTCCCTAATGCAGATGGGTTGGGAATGCTGGACCCTGGAAATAAGCTTTCCCCACCACTGCACTTCACTCAGCTCTCGGCCTTACATCATTTCCAAAGCATTAAGCAGCCTGCAACGCGAGAATCCTGCCGCTGGTGACATCTGTAACATCTGACATCATTTAGAAGACACTGCAAGGGTAAAAGAGTACTTTTTTGATCAGGGACATAAATAATTCTGAGGAAGAAATTAGGTTAAAAGGCTTTTATTTCCCCAAATGGATTTGCAGAATTTGGCCTCCCAGCCAGGTTCCTGTGAGGAGATGGGTTTTGGGGAGCCGAGGAGGTAACTGTGAGCAGTTGACACTCAGCCACTAGGCGCTCCCAGGAATAGGGGACACAATGGGAGCTCCAGGCGGCATGAATGCCCTGTTCATCTCTTGAGAAGGGGAGAGGTAGGGTGTAGCTTAATCATACCCTTGTGTGCCCTCGGTGTTCATAGAAGATGGAAGGGGGCAGCTACTGGGTGTCTGTTCGGGAGGGAAAGCCCCCTTTTTCTCAGAGACGTTCACCAAGATCTTGGGAAATGATTGTCTTCTGCCAAGAGGCGCCCAGATGATCTTCTCCACATCAGCCTGGCTTGGCAGGATTGAGAAAAACTATGCATATATAATCTGTTTTGCCTTCCCAAACTTAGCATCCACACTAGGACAAGAAAAGGAATCAAGAGTCTCAGCTTCTCCCTAAAACTTGCCAGAACTGCTGCCAGGCCTTCACAACAGCAGGAACTCCCATTCCATCTCACCTCTGGCTCTTAGCACAGGGTGGCGCTGAGTGTTTGCATTCCATGGTAATCTCCCAAGGATTTCCAGATCTGCTGCCTGAGGCTGCCTGGATCTAGAGATGACGGGGGTTGCATGAGGACCTAGGGATTTTAAGAGGGGCTTCCTGCAAACAACAGAACAGAACATAATCTTGGGCCCCACACCCACAAACCAGTCTCAGCTATACAAATTGAGCATGAGCTGCAACACAGAGAAGGCTTTTAAAAGGAACAACACCTTCCAACATCTTTAATGCCATTCCCATCTCAGCATGAGCAGCATGCAAACTGGATCAAGTGTCAGAATTCTAGAATGCTGGTTCTGGAAAAAAGGAGCCTTAAGCTTAAAAAATCATGGAGGAATTGTTCATTGTATAGGTGAGAATGCTGTTTTTTCAGATCACATAGCTGATTAATGACAGGAACTTAAACTATATCAACATTGAGAGCATAAGGATTTGTTCATCACGGCACCTTCAATGTCTAGCAAGAACCAGCATGTAGTGGGTGCCTACTATGGTCTAGAGACTGTATTAAGTCCCATACAGGATACAGAGACAAGTACAATACAGTCCCAGCCAATGAGGAACACACCACCTAGTGGGAGACATGAACACATAACCGAAAAGTACAAAGCAACATTGTTAATGCCTTTATAAATAAATAAACAAGGTGCCTAGCAGAGAATCCAGAGGAAATAATAAATAATACTTCCTGTGGCCTTCTAATAATTAAACACCTGATATACCAGAATGAGCACTAAGAATAAACTAATCATGAATAAGATGCAATCCTGCCCTTAAAAAAAGCTTACTGTCTAGTGCAATATGCAAAGAGGTATTTCCAACACATTGTAATGAATGGTGACATGAGTGATATGGGTAGTTTTTAGAGCACATGGGAGGGCATGAGGCCCAGGCTAGGAGGAGGTCAGGAAAAGATTTCCAGGGGATATGACATGAAAGTTGAAATGAACAGTGAGTAGAATGTATCCAGGTGACAGTAAAGGAGAAAGGAGGAAGGGCATAGCCATCCTAGGAAGAAGGAAGTACATAGTTAAATGTTAACGTATTTAATCTGGAGCACAAATCTTTAAGGGAAATGATAGTAAGAGACTTTCAAGGAAAAGGGAGCTCTAACTGTAAGCCTGACTTTAGCCGTAAGATGCTTAGTAGTTTGTCCAGTCTTAAGAACAGTGGAAACCCACTGAAAATTTTTAAACAAGGGAATAAAATGGTCAGGCTTTTCTTTATATCCTCTAAACATGGACGAGGGAAGTGCAAACAGGACACAATGGAAGGCAGGGATTTCCATTCGGATGTTGTTAGAATCGTTCAGATAAAAAAAAAATAATGTATATGAACTCTAGAAAAATCTGTCTGAATCTTTAAGATCCTAATTCTACAATTAAAATTTTGACCAAAAATGATAGTGGCCTGAAAAAAAAAATGTTATGGGGGGTATAGCTGCAAAGGTAGTAAGGGATATTAAGAGATTTTGGTTGCAGAATCTGATCATTGATGAAATGTGGGAGATGAAGAATAGGAGGGAGTCAAAGCCAGGCTTCCAGCTTGGGCAACTGAATATGCTGGTTACTGTCGCCGGAGAAGACCAGGAGGAGCAAAGTGGGAGGGGTTGAGGTGTCCTAGAAGATGGCATTAAGGTTGGGTCTAGAGGTTAATTGGAGGTTTTCAGACAGAGGAGGAAACAACATACTTGCTATGAGACAATGAGTCCACATGAGACTATGGCTAAAATCCCTAACATTCCCCTTCAGCCCCCATGAAGAAACAGACAAAAAGAAAGATAGAGAAAGTGAAAGATTAATTAAGTTCATTACTGGGAAAAAATCATCCTGGGAAATGTCTGGTAACTATTTCTTTAGAATGTAACTCTCCTTGGTCTACTCGAGACATAGCAGATGAAGGTAGAAGACAGGTTGGGGGTGGACAACAATTATCAGAAAAGGCATGAACACACAGAGGACGTTCCCACCATTATTATTGTCCTGGGAGAGTCGTCCTGCAGATCCATTCCCAGCTGCCTTCAATGTAAAGTAAAGAAAGGAAAAAGAGTGAGGGAGAGTCTGGCAAATCCGATAAAGATGGATGGAGGGGATTGAGACAAAGGCACCTGCCGGCATTGTGTCAGCTCCAACTCACCAGCTCAAAAACAAACTCATTCATTATCCACCAGCCTGGGCTGAAATAGCCCCGGTGTAAACACTCCCACACACCCAGCTCTCAATGAGACAAACAGCCTGGAAGTGTACATGCCATGGGCTCTCGCTGCTAATGGAATGCACAACCAGCTCTGTCGTGGCCAAGAACGATTTCTCTGCCAAAGGACACCAACTCCAAACAGCAAAGCTTCACCCAGGACCCTCATCATTCCACATTTTGTGTAGGATCTTCAGACAAAGCAGACCCTCATCTTGTTTTTCACAAGTTTCATTCATTCTCTGCGGTTCTTCAAGCAGAACAAAGAAATTAATTCCCACTACCCACACATTCACACATACGCACTTTGCTTATCTTGCTGATACTCTCTAATACTTTCAAATTAGAGGGCACAGGCCAAAGGCCAACTTTGAGACAACAGATTCATTATTTCACCCCAAATCTGGTCATGTCCCTGTGCTTCAGGTCTCATGCGTAGCCCGACCTTCCTCCTGCTTGCTCACAGTACATACTCATTCCTCATCCTCTGCTCTGCCCTCACTCGGCGTCAATCCCTTGTCCAAAAGACCATGATGCCATCTGCAATCCAGATTTTACTTCCTCTGTAGTCTTCTGCTCTCCATCCCTGTTGTTGCAACTCTGGCTTCAGCCATTGCCTAGGTTTCTGGCCTAGGTTTCTGCCACAGGCCTCTCGAGGGCCAATCTGCCCTCCTCCAAGACATTTTCTATCCTGTAGTCAGGAATGTCATTCAAAAACACAAAACTGTAGTTCACTTCAATGTTTAAAATTCTTCAGTGGCTTCCCATTGACTCTATTTAGGTAGAAATTCCTTAGGAGGACCTATAAAGTCCTTCATAATCTGTTTCTTTCTGCTTTATATCTTCAAGCTAATTCATCCCCATTCCCATGGTGTTCTATGCTCTAGCCAGGTCAAATTGCTTTTAGTTCTCCAAATGCATCTGCTCTCTCTTCCCTCCAGCTCTCCATAGATCCTCCACATTCTCTTATCTGAGAACATTCTTTCCCCACCACTTCACCTGGCAAACTCTTGTCTTTCCACTTTGAGTATACATTTTACTTCTTCCAGGAAGCTTTCTCTGATTGACTTTTCTGGAAGTCTTAGGTGGGTGCACCTTCCATAAAGTGCAATAGGATCCTTATTATAACAAACTGTAACTGCCTATTTCTCTGATTTTCCCACAGTGGTAAGTCTTTTGAGAGCAGTGATGTTATTTGCCAGGGTTACACCTATAGTGTCAGTCTCTACCAAATACCTGGAACACAGTAGATTTTCAGTATTTACTGAGTGAACGAATGAACAGAGGGAGGTAACCAGGAAGAGAGTTAGTTGAGGTTATTTGGTTGCAAGCAAGAGAACCCACCTCTAGCCAATTTAAGCAAACAGGAATCCTGGCATAGAAAGTCAAGTACAAGTCAGGTTGGAAATATGCAAAAACCAAGACAGCTCTAGATATCTAAGAAGCAAGAATGTAGGCACGCTTATGTGACAGAAATAGGATGGTCAAATAGAAAAACACAAGCCGTTTAAATCTCTTTTTCACTTAGCTTAAGATTCAAATTCAAATTATCTAGGATAAGCCTAGTTTATTCATACACCTTGGCCTGGCTAAAAGACAGCAGGGCACACAGGCAGCAGCTCTGATGGACTGTGTGCAATGGGAAGATGGCAAGGGGTAGAGCTGTAGGGAAAAGCGGAGATGTTGAAGGCCACAGCTTCCAAGTGCCCACGAACTCACAAGTCTGAGTTCTCATTAATAATATTTTAGAGATCACAGTTAGCTATTTGCTCTCAGAGTTAGGGTTGAGGGTTTTGGTGGGAGGTGAGAGAAATGAGGCCAGTATGAGAACAGATTGATCTGTAACAGTGGTGGACTCTTTTCTCTCATAGGACATAACGCCAATTCTCTATAAAAAAGAATATATTCACTTAGAAATACACCATATAAGAAATGCCAGTAAGAGGTTCAAGACACAGAGAACAACAATAATAATTGATAATGCACTGAAAGATGGGTTACAGGATTCCTTTAACCATCAAAATAAGTCTTAAAAAGTGACTTAGTAACTGTTTACATTTATGATTAAGATTAACAATTTTTTATTCTTTTTCTCTTTTCTAAGAGTAAAAGAGAGTCAGCAGGTTTAAATGAAGTGTGAAGAATTTAGAATCTATAACAATATGTGTGCATGGAAAATAGAGACTGTGAGACTTCTAAGCGCATCCTCGTGTCTTGTGCTGTACACAGTGGAGAGCGGCATCCAGGAGCACACAATTTCAAGTCAAAGAAACCAGGGCTTTGCCACTGACTGCCCCTGTGACCTTGAAGAAGTGATTTCTCTATGCCTCAGTTTCTTATCTGTACAATAAATCTAGTAACACTTAATGTAATCGCTGTTTGGCTCTAATAGGACCTTGTATGTCAAGCTCTGAGAACAGCTCCTGGGACATAAGAAGTAATCGATGAATGACAGTTAAGGCTCAGTAAATATTTGTTAATTTTGATTATGGATTTCTTAATACAAAAGTTATAAGGTTTTAAAATAATTTTTTCATAATGTATTACAGAAACTGTGTCTTTTTCCAGCATTTAAATAAAAAAAGAACCTGAACCTTCCTGGTGTGATTTGACTGATGCGCTGCTTAAAAGCAGGGACACTAAATAGACTCCTGTCCTCTTCCTTCTTTCATTGCACCCACCCATCCATGGGAACCCGGCTTCCTGCCTACTGCCTGAAGCATCTCTTCTCCTTTTTGAAAGGGAAATTAGACAGCTCAGTAACATTTGGTAGTTCTTCTAGAAAGGAGACTTTGCCAGACTCCACCATCTTTTTCTGTCTGATTTACTGTGGTCCCCAAATATAGGCTGGCTGTTTTTTCGTCTCGTGTATCCATTGGGAAGGTTAGAACAAAACATATGAGACTCGTGAAAATGGATGGAAATGGAATCCAAAAGTAAGTGCGGTGAAGAGGCGATGGACAGAGATCTGAATTATTGGTGAGTCACACCGTCTGACAGACTTCATCATTTGCTGACTTGGCAGGAGATTTATCGGGCATTCTAAGCCCCAATCTTCTTGAAACTGAGAGACCTTCCAGATAAACAACTGCAGCCCTATTTGCAAACCTGCTGCTCAGCATGCGACAGTAGAAGAGATGCTCCTTAACACACTCTCATATACCTTTGCAAGGGATTCCTTAAATCTCAGGTTTTGATAGTATTATTGTCCTCATTATCATCACCCTGAAATTTCACCATCAGTCAAGATCTCCCATTAGGTCCCTGCCCTCGGCAACCTCCCCTTCATCGTCTTCAGAGACCAACGCTCTTGAAAGAAGTTAATAACTTTACTCTCTGAGAAAATAATAAGTCAATATCTGAGATGACTTGGCTGTTTTTGCACAGCTGGAAGAGGATGAAGAGAGACTAACAGAAAGGTGGGTGCAGTCAAATACAGTAAGTAGAGAGGCCGATTGAAGGAGACAGTGAGGAAGGAGCACTGATGGCAAGGAGCTGGAGAGGGCATGAAAATGCAGCGAGACAAGCAAACCACAGATCACTCAGGAAGGAAGGAACCAGAGGCCACTGCGGCCTGAGGAGGAGCAATGCTGGCCGGAGAAACAGATAATTCACCACCGATGCTGCAGAGCCTTGAAAGAGAGACCAGAAAGGTGATTTAAGGAGTATTAGTTTTGGATTCTGAAAATGATTCACTGAACCCCATGATGAGTGACAATCATGCTATTTTATACTAATATAACTGTACACCAAGCTATTTCATCGGCTGCAATAAATTCTTCCACTTTGGGGAAAATTCTACTTAGCCATCAAGAGCCAGCATCAATTTCAACTTCTCTTTGAAGCCTCCCAAGGAACTTTGAGGGAAATTGTAGCCTCACCGGTCTGTAACCTTTTGTTTACCCATCTTTATTCCTGTCTCTTCCACTTCACCATACTTCCTCCCCCAGCCCCTACATGCTTCCATTAAACTGTGATTCCCTTGGAAATAGGCTTAGGTTTTGCTTATCATCATATTCTTATTCCCTGTCATAATGCTTGTCTCAATAGATACTTATTGAATGGAAGAATAAATAGATTGACAGGACTCATTAAACTCATCCCTAACCAGAGTTATTTCAGCGGCCTATTTGAAACGAGAGTGCAGCCCATTTCTCTCCCTCAGAGCCAAGTGTATTTCCAGCAATCCCAGCAGAAGACACCTCCCCTTTGCTATCCCATTCTTGGATCAGCTGCTTTCCACATGGGATAGTAAAACTATCAAATCTCTCTCCAAATTCCAAATCCCATGAAGGGCCAGAACCTACCAACACTGTGGCTTTATGTCCTTTTCCCCAAAATGAAAATATACTCATTCAGCAACTGCAATTCTTTCCATTGATTTAACCTAAACACTGAGGAAAACCTATTTTCAAGAGAAGGTCCACCAGTAACACAATGAACGGAGAATTTTTTTTTTTTTTTAGACGGAGTCTCTGTCACCAGGCTGGAGTACAATGGCATAATCTCAGCTCACTGCAACATCCTCCTCCTGGGTTCAAGTGATTCTCCTGCCTCAGCCTCCTGAGTAACTGAGATTACAGGTGCCCACCACCCTGCCTGGCTAATTTTTGCATTTTCAGTAGAGACAGGATTTCACCGTCTTGGCCAGGCTGGTCTCAAAGTCTTGACCTTGTGATATACCCACCTCTGCCTACCAAAGTGGAAAGGAGATTTTTATAATACATGCTCCTTCTTGTTCTGACCCTAGACCTAATTAATCACAATCTCTCAAGTAGAACCCAGGACAACCTCTCAAGTAGAACCCGGGACTCTTCTTTTTACCAAGTTCCTCAACAGAGTCTAAAGAATACTATGTTTGAGGATCATTATCCTAAGGAAATGAGACCAAGAAAATAAGAAAGGAAGAGAAGGGGAAAAAGAGCAAAGAAGAAAGGGAAGGAAGTTCAATGAAAGGAGAAAGAGAAGTGCTTGCTATCAGGCCTCTGAGCCCAAGCTAAGCCATCATATCCCCTGTGACCTGCACGTACACATCCAGATGGCCAGTTCCTGCCTTAACTGATGACATTCCACCAAAAAGAAATGAAAATGGCCTGTTCTTGCCTTAACTGATGACATTATCTTGTGAAATTCCTTCTCCTGGCTCATCCTGGCTCAAAAGCTCCCCTACTGGGCACCTTGTGACCCCCACTCCTGCCCACTAGAGAGAACAAACCCCCTTTGACTGTAATTTTCCTTTACCTACCCAAATCTTATAAAACATCCCCACTCCTATCTCCCTTCGCTGACTCTCTTTTCGGACTCAGCCCGCCTGCACCCAGGTGATTAAAAGCTTTATTGTTCACACAAAGCCTGTTTGGTGGTCTCTTCACATGGACGTGCATGAAATTTGGTGCTGTGACTCAGATCGGGGGACCTCCCTTGGGAGATCAATCCCCTGTCCTCCTGCTCTTTGCTCCGTGAAAAAGATCCACCTATGACCTCGGGTCCTCAGACCCACCAGCCCAAGGAACATCTCACCAATTTTAAATCGGGTAAGCAGCCTCTTCTTACTCTCTTCTCCAACCTCTCTCACCATCCCTAAAACACTTTCTCCTTTCAATCTTGGCGCCAACCTTCAATCTCTCCCTTCTCTTAATTTCAATTCCTTTCATTTTCTGGTAGAGACAAAGGAGACACGTTTTATCCGTGGACCCAAAACTCTGGCGCTGGTCACGGACTCGGGAAGGCAGCCTTCCCTTGGTGTCTAATCATTGCAGCGATGCCTGATTATTCACCCACGTTTCAGAGGTGTCTGACCACGCAGGGATGCCTGCCTTGGTCCTTCACCCTTAGCAGAAGTCCCACTTTTCTGGGGGAAGGGCAAAAACCCCGACCCCTTCTCTTCCTGTCTCTACCCCTTCTCTCCCTGTCTCTCCCTCTTCTCTCCCTGTCTCTACCCCTTCTCTCCCTGTCTCTCCCTCTTCTCTCCCTGTCTCTACCCCTTCTCTCCCTGTCTCTCCCTCTTCTCTCCCTGTCTCTACCCCGTCTCTACTTTTTGGGGGGGCAAGGACCCCCCCAGATCCCTTATTTCTGCACCCCAACCCCTTATTTCCGCACCCCGACCTCTTATCTCTGTGCCCCAACCCCTTATTTCCGTGCCCCGACCCCTTTCCCGCTTTTCTAGGGGGCAAGAACCCCTCGACCCCTTCTCTCCATGTCTCTACTCTCTCTTTTCTCTGGGCTTGCCTCCTTCACTATGGGCAAGCTTCCGCCCTCCATTCCCCCTTTTTCTCCCTTAGCCTGTATTCTTAAAAACCTAAAACCTCTTCAGCTCACACCTGACCTAAAACCTAAATGCCTTATTTACTTCTGCAAGGCCGCTTGACCCCAATATAAACTCGACAGCAGTTCCAAATAGCCAGAAAACAGCACTTTCAATTTTTCCATCCTACAAGATCTAAGTAATTCTTATCGTAAAATGGGCAAACAGTCTGAAGTTCCTGATGTCCAGGCATTCTTTTACACATTGGTCCCTCCCTAGTCTCTGTTCCCAATGCGACTCATCCCAGATCCTCCTTCTTTCCCTCCCGCCTGTCCCCTCAGTCCCAACCCCAAGAGTCGCTGAGTCTTTCTAATCTTCCTTTTCTACAGACCCATCTGACCTCTCCCCTCCTCCCCAGGCTGCTCCTCGCCAGGCCGAGCTAGGTCCCAATTCTTCCTCAGCCTCCGCTCTTCCACCCTATAATCCTTTTATCGCCTCCCCTCCTCACACCGGGTCCCGCTTACAGTTTCATTCACTGACTAGCCCTCCCCCACCTGCCCAGCAATTTCCTCTTAAACAGGTGGCTGGAGCCAAAGGCATAGTCAAGGTTAATGCTCCTTTTTCTTTATCCCAAATCAGTTAGCGTTTAGGCTCTTTTTCATCGAATATAAAAACCCAGCCCAGTTCATGGCTCGTTTGGCAGCAACCCTGAGACGCTTTACAGCCCTAGACCCTAAAAGGTCAAAAGGCCGTCTTATTCTCAAAATACATTTTATTACCCAATCTGCTCCCAACATTAAATAAAACTCCAAAAATTAAATTCCGGCCCTCAAACCCCACACAGGATTTAATTAACCTCGCCTTCAAGGTGTACAATAATAGAAAAAAGTTGCAATTCCTTGCCTCCACTGTGAGACAAACCCCAGCCACATCTCCAGCACACAAGAACTTCCAAACGCCTAAACCGCAGTGGCCAGGTGTTCCTCCAGGCCTGCCTCCCCCCGGAGCTTGCTACCAAGTGCCAGAAATCTGGCCACCAGGCCAACGAATGCCCACAGCCCGGGATTCCTCCTAAGCCACGTTCCCATCTGTGCGGGACCCCACTGAAAATTGGACTGTTCAACTCACCTGGCAGCCACTCCCAGAGCCCCTGCAACTCTGGCCCAGGGCTCTCTGACTGACTCCTTCCCAGATCTTCTCAGCTTAGCAGCTGAAGACTGACGCTGCCCGATCGCCTCGGAAGCCCCCTAGACCATCACGGACGCCGAGCTTCGAGTAACTCTCACAGTGGAGGGAAGTCCGTCCCCTTCTTAATCAATACGGAGGCTACCCACTCCACATTACCTTCTTTTCAAGGGCCTGTTTCCCTCGCCTCCATAACTGTTGTGGGTATTGACGGCCAGGCTTCTAAACCTCTTAAAACTCCCCAACTCTGGTGCCAACTTAGACAATACTCTTTTAAGCACTCCTTTTTAGTTATCCCCACCTGCCCAGTTCCCTTATTAGGCCAAAACACTTTAACTAAATTATCTGCTTCCATGACTATTCCTAGACTACAGCTATATCTCATTGCTGCCCTTCTTCCCAATCCAAAGCCTCCTTTGCGTCCCCCTCTTGTATCCCCCCCACCTTAACCCACAAGTATAAGAGATCTCTACTCCCTCCTTGGTGAGACTGATCACGCACCCCTTACCATCTCATTAAAACCTAATCACCCTTACCCCGCTCAACGCCAATATCCCATCCCACAGCACGCTTTAAAAAGATTAAAGCCTGTTATCACTCGCCTGCTACAGCATGGCCTTTTAAAGCCTATAAACTCTCCTTACAATTCCCCCATTTTACCTGTCCTAAAACCAGAGAAGCTTTACAGGTTATTTCAGGATCTGCGCCTTATCAACCAAATTGTTTTGCCTATCCACCCCGTGGTGCCAAACCCATATACTCTCCTATCCTCAATACCTGCCTCTACAACCCATTATTCTGTTCTGGATCTCAAACATGCTTTCTTTACTATTCCTTTGCACCCTTCATCCCAGCCTCTCTTCACTTTCACTTAGACTGACCCTCACACCCATCAGGCTTAGCAAATTACCTAGGCTGTACTGCCACAAGGCTTCACAGATAGCCCCCATTACTTAAGTCAAGCCCAAATTTCATCCTCATCTGTTACCTATCTCGGCATAATTCTCATAAAAACACACATGCTCTCCCTGCTGATCATGTCCGACTAATCTCCCAAACCTCAATCCCTTCTACAAAACAACAACTCCTTTCCTTCCTAGGCATGGTTAGATACTTTCGACTTTAGATATCTGGTTTTGCCATCCTAACAAAACCATTATATAAACTCACAAAAGGAAACCTAGTTGACCCCATAGATCCTAAATCCTTTCCCCACTCCTCTTTCCATTCCTTGAAGACAGCTTTAGAGACTGCCCCCACCTTAGATCTCCCTGACTCATCCCAACCCTTTTCATTACACACAGCAGAAGTGCAGGGCTGTGCAGTCAGAATTCTTACACAAAGACCAGGACCGCACCCTGTAGCCTTTTTATCCAAACAATTTGACCTTACTGTTTTGCCTAGCCCTCAAGTCTGTGTGTGGCGGCTGCCACTTCCCTAATACTTTTAGAGGCCCTTAAAATCACAAACTATGCTCAACTCACTCCCTACAGTTCTCATAACTTCCAGAATCTATTTTCTTCCTCACACCTGACACATATACTTTCTGCTTCCTGGCTCCTTCAGCTGTACTCACTCTTTGTTAAGTCTCCCACAATTACCGTTGTTCCTGGCCCAGACTTCAATCAGGCCTCCCACATTATCCCTGATACCACACCTGACCCCCATGACTGTAACTCTCTGGTCCACCTGACATTCACTCCATTTCCCCATATTCTTTCATGTTCCTCACGCTGAACACACTTAGTTTATTGATGGCAGTTCCACCAGGCCTAATCGCCACACACCAGCAAAGGCAGGCTATGCTACAGTACAAGCCACTAGCCCGCCTCTTAAAACCTCTCATTTCCTTTCCATCGTGGAAATCTATCCTCAAGGAAATAACTTCTCTGTGTTCCATATGCTATTCTACTACTTCTCAAGGATTATTCAGGCCCCTTCCCTTCCCTACACATCAAGCTCGAGGATTTGCCCCCACCCAGGACTGGCAAATTAGCTTTACTCAACATGCCCTGAGTCAGATAACTAACATACCTCTTAGTCTAGGTAGACACTTTCACTGGATAGGTAGAGGCCTTTCCTACAGGATGGGAGAAGGCCACTGCAGTCATTTCTTCCCTTCTGTCAGACATAATTCCTCAGTTTAGCCTTCCAACCTCTATACAGTCTGATAACAGACCAGCCTTTATTAGTCAAATCAGCCAAGCAGTTTTTCAGGCTCTTGGTATTCAGTGAAACCTTTATATCCCTTACGGTCCTCAGTCTTCAGGAAAGGTAGAATGGACTAAAGGTCTTTTAAAAACACACCTCACCAAGCTCAGCCACCAATTTAAAAAGGACTGGACAATACTTTCACCACTTTCCCTTCTCAGAATTCAGGCCTGTCCTCGGAATGCTACAGGGTACAGTCCATTTGAGCTCCTGTTTGGATGCTCCTTTTTATTAGGCCCCAGTCTCATTCCAGACACCAGACCAACTTGTACTGTGCCCCAAAAAACTTGTCATCCCTACTATCTTCTGTCTAGTCATACTCCTATTCACCGTTCTCAACTACTCAGACATGCCATGCTCTTGTTTACACTGCCTGTTTACACTGTTTCTCTAAGCCATCACAGCTGATACCTCCTGGTGCTATCCCCAAACTGCCACTCTTAACTCTTGAAGTAAATAAATAATCTTTGTTGGCAAGACTATGCTGAATCTCCTTAGGCACTCTCTAATTAGATGTCCTGGGTCCTCCCAATTCTTAGACCTTTAATACCTGTTTTTCTCCTTCTCTTATTCCGTTTAGTTTTTCAATTCATACAAAACCGTATCCAGGCCATCACCAATAATTCTAAATGACAAATCTTTCTTCTAACAGTCCCACAATATCACCCCTTACCACAAAATCTTCCTTCAACTTAATCTCTCCCACTCTAGGTTCCCACGCCACCCCTAATCCTGCTTGAAGCAGCCCTGAGAAACATCGCCCATTATCTCTCCATACCATCCCCAAAATTTTTCACCATCCCAACACTTTACCACTATTTCATTTTATTTTTCTTATTAATATAAGAAGACAGGAATGTCAGGCCTCTGAGCCCAAGCTAAGCTATATCCCCTGTGACCTGCACGTACACATCCAGATGGCCAGTTCCTGCCTTAACTGATGACATTCTACCATAAAAGAAATGAAAATGACCTGTTCCTGCCTTAACTGATGACATTATCTTATGAAATTCCTTCTCCTGGCTCAAAAGCTCCCCTACTGAGCACGTTGTGACCCCCACTCCTGCCCGCCAGAGAACAACCCCCTTTGACTGTAATTTTCCTTTACCTACCCAAATCTTATAAAACAGCCCCACCCCTATCTCCCTTCACTGACTGTCTTTTCGGACTCAGCCCACCTGCACCCAGGTGATTAAAAGCTTTATTGCTCACACAAAGCCTGTTTGGTGGTCTCTTCACACGGACGTGCATGAAACTTGCTATGGGCCAGGTACCATACAAGAAAATGCAAAATATACAACATACATTTAAAAAAAAGTGCTGATATGTTGAAAGTAAAAGTATAAAAAGATATATTAACCAAAATGTCCACTGAGGAAAATACTAATAAAAATAACATTTTGGTGGGGATAATATAACAAGTCCCTCTTGTTCCAATCACTAACCAAAAGTCCTCCTGAAATCTGAAGTTCTATAATAATCAGTAAGAGGAAGAACACCAAACATAAAATCAGAAAATATAGGGATGTTATGTCTCTGCCTACTAGCTGTATAACTTTAGAAAAGTTGCTTAAATCTCTGGGTCTCAGTCTTCCCATGATTTGGTTTAAATCGTGGAAGAACCATATAGATGTAACACCATGCTGTTTTCACAGTTAGTTCTCTTTCCGTGTTCTGTCGTGTTAATAAACGTGTGCAGAAGCTGCAAACATTACATATGATTAAAAGCACTATGTAGATGCAAAATATTATAAGGAGAATGTAGCTAATATTTATGGAATGATTACTGTGTCTCAGAAAATATGTAGTGTTTAAAATACATTTATTTGTCATGGTGATAGTGATCCTACAAGGGAGGTCCTATCACCATTCTCACTTAACAAGCAAACGACCTAAAGCATGGAGAAGTTAAGCAACGCTCCTAAGCTCACACAGTTGGTAAATGGCAGAACTAAAATTTGAACCAAAGCAATTTGATTCTAGAGCCCACGTTCTTAATCACGACACTATAAGAAATGCATTTCATAATCAGAAACTCTTCCTGATATATGAATCAGGAAACTATTTCCAATGAGTAGTTCCAGCTTTGCCATTTTCTCTTGATCTCCTTGGAGTAACTTCCTTCCCAAACCAATCATCCTGCTGTTTGGTTACTTCATGACTTACAGTTTTTACGACCATCCTCTTCCCCAAGACTTGACACCACAAATGCAGCAACTAAACTGTGTGCTGTGGAGGTGATCAGCTTCTCAGTCTCACTTGCCTGTCTAGCTACTGATTCATTTCTATCCTGTGCTTCACAACCTGGCTTTCTGAGAGAAGTTACTCCATTTTCCCCCTTCCTAAAGACAACCGTAGTCTCTACCATTTTTTAATTCAATGGATATTTTTCATCTATCTTTTGTAATCGTTGTGCAGCACTTCATACTATTAGCAACTCCATCTTTGAAATTTTACCCTCCTCTGACTTCTCTGCCCTGGTTTCCCCTGGTCTCTAGTGGCTGGAATCCAGTGTGCTCCATGAGCTCTTCTTCATCCTGCCCATCCATTAAAATCTATGTGCTCCAGGATCGCCCCACCAAATGTGCTCTCCCTACAATAGCTCACCTGATGTCCAGGTCCAAATCTTTTGAAGATCTCCATGCTGAGCTCCAGATCCGTATAATCAGTTTCCTGGACATCTCCACTTGGTTTATGTCTGGGAGTCTCAGCTTCCGTGAACCTAACTCACTCTTCATTCCTCAGCCTCTCAGTCCTTGTGAGCTCATCATCCCAGTGATCCAGAAAGCATTTTCTCTTCTCCCTCCTGTTCTGCATATAACCCATCTTATGGTCATGTCGGTTCTGCTTCCTTGGTGTATCTGAAACTAGCCTTCTCTTCCCCACTTGCTCAGCCACCATCTCATCAAACCTTCCGCAATGGCCTTCCCTTCTTCCAAGGCATCCCTCATGCTCCTGTTAATAATGATTTTTCTAAAATGTAAATAGATTAAGGTATCCTCCAGCTTAAAATCTTTCCACGGCACCCCATTGCCTTTGGATGATTTTCAACTTTCTGCCTTAGCATTGCATTCTAAGCTAGGAAGCTCAGGGTTTAGTCCCTACCTTCCTGGCTGTGGTCTGTCCTCTTACCTGTCCCGTTTGCTGCACAGATCCCAGGTGATCAAATACAACTGATTGCATTTCAACAGTCTCTTTCATGAACGTTTTTTTTCCTTTTTTTTTTTTTTTTTTAAGACGGAGTCTCGCTCTATCGCCAGGCTGGAATGCAGTGGCGCAATCTCGGCTCACCGCAACCTCTGCCTCCCAGGTTCAAGCGATTCTCCTGCCTCAGCCTCCCAAGTAGCTGGGACTACAGGCGCCCACCACTACGCCCAGCTAATTTTTGTATTTTTTTTTTTTTTAGTAGAGATGAGGTTTCACCATCTTGGCCAGGATGGTCTCGATCTCTTGACCTCATGATCCGCCCACCTCACCCTCCCAAAGTGCTGGGATTACATGTGTGAGCCACCGTGCCGGTCATGAACCTTTTCTAAAACACTACTCCCTCGACTTAAATTGCACTGACCATCCCTCACTTCTCCATATTGCTAATTTCTGTTCCTCGTTTTAAGTTATAACTTAACTTCCTCTTTCAGGAAGCTTTCTATAACTCCTTTCTCCACACCCCTAGAAGAGGTTGGAAGTCCCTTTTCTTTACTTTGTACCGTTCAAATGGTTGTTTTCTGTATAACGTCTGTGTCATGGCCTTTGCTCCTCACTAGGCTGTGAAGTTCTTGGGGAAATTGTTTAGAAATTATTTCTCCTCTATATTCTCGGCAATTAGCACAGTGCCAGGTGCACAGAAAGTATTCAGTATGGACATTTTTGAATGAATGAATGAATGAATGAATGAAGTGAAATAGCAAAGAGAAGCATTTGGGTACAGCTCCTAAAGCAGGAAACACTGTGCCTGGCAACCAGGTTTCCACATCATCCACAGTTGCTAGTATAGCACAATGCAGAGCTATTTACTCTCCCCTAAAATATAAACTCTCTCCAAAGCTGTGTTTGTGCAAAGACTGCAATGAAAGAAGCACTTGTTTAAATAGAAAGGTCTCTGGCAATTAACAAACATGGGACAAATCCAAGATCCACTAACTTTTCAGGGGCTTTGTGTTTGCAGTTAGATGTATAGAAATGCTTACGAAGAATGAGATTCCCTCTTCACAGAAAAGAAAACATGTGATTTAAATAGCAATGCCTCTGGTCATCAAGGATGCAATCTAGAAAGTCCGGGTTTGGACTTCTCTGAAAAAGTAATCCTCAGGGATTGGGTCAAGAATGGGGCAGGGATCCTCTGGATTTCCATTTACTCTAAAGGAAGGCTTCCCCCTGACCCCCCAGATAGAGCAAGGGACAAAGATCCCAGCTTGCAGGCAAGCTATTTCAAGATCTAATACGGCTCTTAGTAGCATGGCAGAGGGGCAGGACATACGTGGCATAAAAAACACAGGCTGCCTTTGGGGTCTGTGTGCCTGTGTTCATGCATGTGGCTACATGCATGGAAATACACATGCCCCGGCCTTTTCCCCTGTTGAGAATCTCTCCTGGGTGAAAGAGAAGGGGCCTATGGCCTTGACACCCCCACCTCACTGCAACGTGCAGGGCAAGACATCCCTTCCTCTTTACTGCCGTGGCCCCAGCTTCACTCTGCAAAGTCAGGGAGGGAGACTGGGGGATTTTCAAGGATGATTTCAATTCTAACTCTCTATGACCCTTCTGAAAATTAGTTATTTTAATGTTCTGCCTTTATGCTGAAGAGAACAAAGGGGAAAACACCAGATAGGTATTAAAATTAAAATAAGTCTTTGGAATGAGAGGACTTGGATTTGTACCCTGTCTTTTACACATTACACATTACACAAAAGCTGAGTGAATTTTGGAGAATTTCTTAACTTCCCTGAGTCCCCAGTCTTAAAGTAAAACTAAACTTACCTTCTTCAAAGGGTTTTTGTGAAGATCAGGTTGTAGCTTAAGGGCAACGTTGTATTCATCTCTAACTACCGTGCTGGAATAACTGAGAGGCTGAATAAAAGAAGTCTTTATCATCAAACACATCTTTATTTTGGCAGAGATAAATAAGAGCAACAGATCAAGGCAGAAATGTCCCTAAATGACAGTCAGGCACCCACCCCTGCCAGTGATGCCCAGAGACCTCCACCCATTTCAGACACGTCTCTCAGTGGGGTGTCCTCCCAGCTCAGCAGAGCAGTGTGACTTTGCATCTGGGCCCTTTCAATCGGCCTTTCTTATGAAATAAGCCCACCCTCCAGGTCAACCCTTGACCGCCCCCCCCCCACCCCCACCGGGGAAGTGGAGAGTGACACGGGAGAATTAACAGGAGACAGGTAACATCTGTAAGAGGTGGGTGCGGGGCGGCCAGGGACAGGCAGGAGGCATCGATTGCCTGGCCAGACGGCAAAGCCACGTTTGTTCTCATTGCAGCTCTCCAAGAGCCAGCGACCTGCCAGGCACCAGCTTTATTTGTAGGTGAGGGTCATTAATTTGAATTAATAGTACCGCACTGGTCGGCGCTTCGTTTTGCTTTGTTTCCCTCCTGTGGACGCCACAGACTTCTTTGTTGCCTGGTTCTGTGAGTGGGAAGACACTGTGAACAAGCATCCAATTAGCCAGAAAAACAAAATCTGCCTGGATTCCCGCTTCAGCCAGAGGCCTCTCCCTCAAAAGCCTGGAGACCACACTCCACACACAGGCTGCTTCTGTTTAATTTGCCCCTCCTGGCAGCATTCCCACTCTTCCCTGCCCTTCTAACCCATATAGTCATCATCCCTACCCCAGGGACATTATTATCTCCCAGTTACCCCCACCTGCTGTGCCCCCCGCTCAGGCTACCGTGGAAATAATACCCATCCCATAGGGACAGAGTGAGGATCAAAGATAATGTATGCCGAGGCTTAGTGTCTGGCCGACGTAGACCTCGATAATTGTGAGGCCGTCCCTCAGGAAGGGGCGTGGTGTGTCTCATTGCCCCTGCCCTCTGGAACTGTAAATGGGTTTAGGTGCATACAGCAGACCAGAGTAACAGAAGACAAGACGCCCCCAGAATCTCAGCCAGAGTGGCCCCCAGCGCCTTACAGAGCCAGAAACAGCCCCTGGAAGCTGAGGGAGTCTCCAAGCTCCATCGGAACAATCACCAAGTGTGCGTGGTCACTTTGCCCACCCCACCTCCTCTGTGCCTCCAACGGTGGCCCTGCCACCTGCACCTGCTTTTCCTGCCTGATATTTATAAACAAGCCATCTCCTTCACCAGCTAAGAAACAGAGAAAGCTCAGAGAGCTGGTCTACAGCAGGCTGCCCTCAGCCACAGCAGCCCCACAAGAGAACCCTTTCAACACTGGGCACGTCTGTGTTCAAACACTAGGCCACCGCGAGGAGGTATGGGCTTTCAGATACAACCAGGCTTGCAAGAAATTAGAGTGCCACCTTCAGTGATTAGTGAGGTGAGTTTTAGACACCACACTTCCTGCTCCAGAGAAAAATCATCCAAATGGCTTGCTGTGGTTGAACTACATGAAGGCCCAAAGGCAGTTCCTGGCCAGCTTTTGTGTCTGGTGGGCGAAGGGCTTTTCACCAGGGCAAATAGCTAAAGGAGGACAAGGCTCTCGGATGGCCTCTTCTCAAGACTCTTGGCTCCAAGGAACTGCAGCCTTCTAAAATGACAAGCACTTTTTGTCACCTTGATGAAGTATGGAAAGGTCTCAAGCATCTGCAGTAGAAAGGGCCACCACAGGGATCCTGAAACATCAGTATTTCAAACATGTCCTTATACAATCATCTCTCAATGCCAATGCATCTGCTGCTGTATCTGAAAGGGGTTGCCAACCTGTGAAAGCCCATTATGACTCACTGCAAATCCAGATTCTCTCCCTCACCCACCACCTTCCCCTTCCCTTCCCTCCCCACCAGCCCCACCAAACTGCAAAAAGACCAAGAATGGTGGCTCTAGAGCCAACTGGAAGGAAATCACTTGTAGCAGGTGGCACCACCTGTCCTCATCTAGTTCTAGCCAAAACAATCCACTCTCCATCATTCCCAACTGTAGGAAAAGTTTAACTGGTTCAGCATGAGCTGGCCTCATCCAGGCAAGCAGAGAGGAAGAGGAATGGCTCTGGTTCCTGCCGTGAGCCAGTTGAGAAATAAGTAATTGGCAGCATGGTTTGCCATCTCCCACTTCCGCTCCTGGGTTCTAGTGGAGAGTGACCCTGCTCTCAACCTTCTTGGCCTCCAAGATGCCACCTGAACACCTGTGTGCCTGTTCTGCCCTTGCTCAGGTGTCTGGCTGCAAGATCTTCCACCTGCTTAGCCGCTTCCCACAGCAGGAGGCTGAAGGAACCACACACTCAAATAATGCACCTCTATGCTGGACTGCCCAATCCCCCTTCTTCCTGAAAAATCATCACTTTCTATCTTCACTAAAATGTCCCTAAACTTCTAACCCAGGTAAAATCTTCTGAACCAAAATCTCTCCCGCCGCCCGCCACTCCCGATTTAATTTCCTTCTTTACATCACTGGTTGCATAGCTCACTGAATCACAGTGCTTCCCATGTAATGAGCCTCCAGTATTTCAGACTTTCCAGGACACCCACCAGGTCACTTATCAGCACTAATTTGCCTCCTGCTCCAGATTCTATTTCTCACTAGTCCCTGTGGAACCCTCCGCTCTTAAACTAAGAAAGTTAAATGCTTTCTTTCTGTGGAAGAAGGAAACTTAGAGTAGTCATGCAAGCTAAATAACTAGAGTCAGTGTAACTATATCAAGATGACCCTGAAATGGTAGGGGTCTAATGGTAGGAGAATTGTCTCTATTATTATGGAAAATCTGGAAGTCCAAACACTGCACTTTTCTCCCAAACCCCAAACGAATATGGCTCCCTTGGGTCCATGCATGGGACACATTAGGCTGTATCCTCTAAACATTCTGGGCACACCTTCTCATTCTCCAGAGAGGATCAATAACAGCATTAAGTTCCTTCCATAAGTGCATGCCGATCACGTCCTTGAAGTTTGATCTTGGGGTCTGCCATGTAGATGTGTGTCTTTTAACACTGTTATGCTACTGAGAAGTCTTAACAGTGTTGTCTGTCACTCAAGTGACAAGAAAGAGTGTCATGAGCTATATTTGGCATTGACTTGGCCCTTATTAGAGTGTTATGTGCAGTCTGGGGATTCTAATTTTCCAAAAGGTACAGAGAAATTGGAGGGGGTCCAAGACAGAGCAGTGAAAATGATTAAAGGGGTGGAGAGTGAAAACTCAGGAAAAAGGTTAAATGAATGCAGGTGATTTATCAAAGGCAGAGAAAAATGAGGGTAGACCACATATCTTTAAATAAAGGAGACATCATTTTAAGGACCCACAGCCACTGCTTTTTGATATAGGGCTACATCAGAGAAAGATGGTCTTGATGGTGTTTGAGTATTAAACAGGTCAGTCTGTACATGTGTTCATTAACTTTCTAAATCATTGAAATCAGATAATGAACTAATGAGAATGATTTTTCTGGGTAAACTCAAGAAAAAAACCCCTCCATCCTTATAAACTTATTTAATTTTCATAATAATTCCAACATAAAAAAATGGAGTATCTCAGAAGCCGATAGCCTAAGATCACCTAGTAGTTAACCTGGATTCAGAACTTGTGATGGCAATCCTGGAGTCTCTGATTTCCACCACGGCTGCCTCAGCCAGGATGCCCATTCTCAAATGCTCAGGTTGATTTCATCTGGAAGAGAGGGCCACATGACCATCTGAGGGTAGGGTGATCATCACTCTTTCATTTAAGCCATGAATCACAATTTCCTCCAGATTATTTTTCCTTGTACCCCAAAAAATAAATAGACCTAAGTTTTTCAACTCTTAGGATTTTTATCTGATGGTTGGGTAAATGGAGAAGCTACGAAAGGAGCCAGAAGATAGCTCCAGAGAAGTTTACAGGTGAAAGGGTGAGAGCAGCTTTGGACATACTGAGTTCAGGGCTCTGCGACCTCAGTGTCCAGGTGGAGAGGCTCATCAGAAAGCCAGGCACAGTGGTCCGAAATGGGTGAATGCCTGCACTCAAGCTTTAAATTTGAATATCAGTATACATATACATATATATATATATATATATATATATATATATATATATATATATGGCATTTGACACCCAAGAATGGGGGCCTCGTCAGGGAATATGGGTAGCACAAGAATGCAGGGGAAAGACCAGAACCCCTGCAGAACAGCCCTTGAAGAAGGCAAAAGAGGGAACGTTCATTGAAGGAGGGAAATGTACAACAGGGATAGTTTATAGAAATAAAAGGTACAGGGAGGAGCCAAGATGGCCGAATAGGAACACCTCCGGTCTACAGCTCCCAGCGTGAGCGATGCAGAAGACGGGTGATTTCTGCATTTCCATCTGAGGTACCGGGTTCATCTCACTAGGGAGTGCCAGACAGTGGGAGCAGGTCAGTGGGTGCGCGCACCGTGCGCGAGCCGAAGCAGGGCGAGGCATTGCCTCACTTGGGAAGTACAAGGGGTCAGGGAGTTCCCTTTCCGAGTCAAAGAAAGGGGTGATGGACGCACCTGGAAAATTGGGTCACTCCCACCCGAATACTGCGCTTTTCCGACGGGTTTAAAAAACGGCGCACCACGAGATTATATCCCGCACCTGGCTCGGAGGGTCCTACGCCCACGGAGTCTCGCTGATTGCTAGCACAGCAGTCTGAGATCAAACTGCAAGGTGGCAGCGAGGCTGGGGGAGGGGCGCCCATCATTGCCCAGGCTTGCTTAGGTAAACAAAGCAGCCGGGAAGCTCGAACTGGGTGGAGCCCACCACAGCTCAAGGAGGCCTGCCTGCCTCTGTAGGCTCCACCTCTGGGGGCAGGGCACAGACAAACAAAAAGATAGCAGTAACCTCTGCAGACTTAAATGTCCCTGTCTGACAGCTTTGAAGAGAGCAGTGGTTCTCCCAGCACGCAGCTGGAGATCTGAGAACGGGCAGACTGCCTCCTCAAGTGGGTTCCTGACCCCTGACCCCCAGCAGCCTAACTGGGAGGCACCCCCCAGGAGGGGCACACTGACACCTCACACGGCAGGGTACTCCAACAGACCTGCAGCTGAGGGTCCTCTCTGTTAGAAGGAAAACAAACAGAAAGGACATCCACACCAAAAACCCATCTGTACATCACCATCATCAAAGACCAAAAGTAGACAAAACCACAAAGATGGGGAAAAAACAGAACAGAAAAACTGGAAACTCTAAAAAGCAGAGCACCTCTCCTCCTCCAAAGGAACGCAGTTCCTCACCAGCAACGGAACAAAGCTGGATGGAGAATGACTTTGACGAGCTGAGAGAAGAAGGCCTCAGACGATCAAATTACTCTGAGCTACGGGAGGGCATTCAAACCAAAGGCAAAGAAGTTGAAAACTTTGAAAACAATTTAGAAGAATGTATAACTAGAATAACCAATACAGAGAAGTGCTCAAAGGAGCTGATGGAGCTGAAAACCAAGGCTCGAGAACTACGTGAAGAATGCTGAAGCCTCAGGAGCCGATGCGATCAACTGGAAGAAAGGGTATCAGCAATGGAAGATGAAATGAATGAAATGAAGCGAGAAGGGAAGTTTAGAGAAAAAAGAATAAAAAGAAATGAGCAAAGCCTCCAAGAAATATGGGACTATGTGAAAAGACCAAATCTACGTCTGATTGGTGTACCTGAAAGTGACGGGGAGAATGGAACCAAGTTAGAAAACACTCTGCAGGATATTATCCAGGAGAACTTCCCCAATCTAGCAAGGCAGGCCAACGTTCAGATTCAGGAAATACAGAGAATGCCACAAAGATACTCCTCGAGAAGAGCAACTCCAAGACACATAATTGTCAGATTCACCAAAGTTGAAATGAAGGAAAAAATGTTAAGGGCAGCCAGAGAGAAAGGTCAGGTTACCCTCAAAGGGAAGCCCATCAGACTAACAGCGGTTCTCTTGGCAGAAACCCTACAAGCCAGAAGAGAGTGGGGGCCAATATTCAACATTCTTAAAGAAAAGAATTTTTAACCCAGAATTTCATATCCAGCCAAACTAAGCTTCATAAGTGAAGGAGAAATAAAATACTTTACAGACAAGCAAATGCTGAGAGATTTTGTCACCACCAGGCCTGCCCTAAAAGAGCTCCTGAAGGAAGCACTAAACATGGAAAGGAACAACCGGTATCAACCGCTGCAAAATCATGCCAAAATGTAAAGACCATCGAGACTAGGAAGAAACTGCATCAACTAACGAGCAAAATCACCAGCTAACATCATAATGACAGGATCAAATTCACACATAACAATATTAACTTTAAATGTAAATGGACTAAATGCTCCTATTAAAAGACACAGACTGGCAAATTGGATAAAGAGTCAAGACTCATCAGTGTGCTGTATTCAGGAAACCCATCTCATGTGCAGAGACACACATAGGCTCAAAATAAAAGGATGGAGGGAGATCTACCAAGCAAAGGGAAAACAAAAAAAGGCAGGGGTTGCAATCCTAGTCTCTGATAAAACAGACTTTAAACCAACAAAGATCAAAAGAGACAAAGAAGGCCATTACATAATGGTAAAGGGATCAATTCAACAAGAAGAGCTAACTATCCTAAATATATATGCACCCAATACAGGAGCACCCAGATTCATAAAGCAAGTCCTGAGTGACCTACAAAGAGACTTAGACTCCCACACATTAATAATGGGAGACTTTAACACCCCACTGTCAACATCAGACAGATCAACGAGACAGAAAGTCAACAAGGATACCCAGGAATTGAACTCAGCTCTGCACCAAGCGGACCTAACAGACATCTACAGAACTCTCCACCCCAAATCAACAGAATATACATTTTTTTCAGCACCACACCACACCTATTCCAAAATTGACCACATACTTGGAAGTAAAACTCTCCTCAGCAAGTGTAAAAGAACAGAGATTGTAACAAACTATCTCTCAAACCACAGTGCAATCAAACTAGAACTCAGGATTAAGAATCTCACTCAAAACCGCTCAACTACATGGAAACTGAACAACCTGCTCCTGAATGACTACTGCATACATAACGAAATGAAGGCAGAAATAAAGATGTTCTTTGAAACCAACAAGAACAAAGACACAACATACCAGAATCTCTGGGACACATTCAAAGCAGTGTGTAGAGGGAAATTTATAGCACTAAATGCCCACAAGAGAAAGCAGGAAAGATCCAAAATTGACACCCTAACATCACAATTAAAAGAACTAGAAAAGCAAGAGCAAACACATTCAAAAGCTAGCAGAAGGCAAGAAATAACTAAAATCAGAGCAGAACTGAAGGAAATAGAGATACAAAAAACCCTTCAAAAAATTAATGAATCCAGGAGCTGGTTTTTTGAAAGGATCAACAAAATTGATAGACTGTTAGCAAGACTAATAAAGAAAAAAAGAGAGAAGAAACAAATAGACAAAATAAAAAATGATAAAGGGGATATCACCACCGATACCACAGAAATACAAACTACCATCAGAGAACACTACAAACACCTCTACGCAAATAAACTAGAAAATCTAGAAGAAATGGATAAATTCCTCAACACATACACTCTCCCAAGACTAAACCAGGAAGAAGTTGAATCTCTGAATAGACCAATAACAGGAGCTGAAATTGTGGCAATAATCAATAGTTTACCAACCAAAAAGAGTCCAGGACCAGATGGATTTACAGCCGAATTCTACCAGAGGTACAAGGAGGAGCTGGTACCATTCCTTCTGAAACTATTCCAATCAATAGAAAAAGAGGGAATCCTCCCTAACTCATTTTATGAGGCCAGCATCATTCTGATACCAAAGCCGGGCAGAGCCACAACCAAAAAAGAGAATTTTAGACCAATATCCTTGATGAACATTGATGCAAAAATCCTCAATAAAATACTGGCAAAACGAATCCAGCAGCACATCAAAAAGCTTATCCACCATGATCAAGTGGGCTTCATCCCTGGGATGCAAGGCTGGTTCAATATACACAAATCAATAAATGTAATCCAGCATATAAACAGAGCCAAAGACAAAAACCACATGATTATCTCAATAGATGCAGAAAAAGCCTTTGACAAAATTCAACAACCCTTCATGCTAAAAACTCTCAATAAATTAGGTATTGATGGGACGTATTTCAAAATAATAAGAGCTATCTATGACAAACCCACAGCCAATATCATACTGAATGGGCAAAAACTGGAAGCATTCCCTTTGAAAACTGGCACAAGACAGGGATGCCCTCTCTCACCACTCCTATTCAACATAGTGTTGGAAGCTCTGGCCAGGGCAATTAGGCAGGAGAAGGAAATAAAGTGTATTCAATTAGGAAAAGAGGAAGTCAAATTGTCCCTGTTTGCAGACAACATGATTGTATATCTAGAAAACCCCATTGTCTCAGCCCAAAATCTCCTAAAGCTGATAAGCAACTTCAGCAAAGTCTCAGGATACAAAATCAATGTACAAAAATCACAAGCATTCTTATACACCAACAACAGACAAACAGAGAGCCAAATCATGAGTGAACTCCCATTCACAATTGCTTCAAAGAGAATAAAATACCTAGGAATCCAACTTACAAGGGATGTGAAGGACCTCTTCAAGGAGAACTACAAACCGCTGCTCAAGGAAATAAAAGAGGATACAAACAAATGGAAGAACTTTCCATGCTCATGGGTAGGAAGAATCAATATCGTGAAAATGGCCATACTGCCCAAGGTGATTTACAGATTCAATGCCATCCCCATCAAGCTACCAATGACTTTCTTCACAGAATTGGAAAAAACTACTTTAAAGTTCATATGGAACCAAAAAAGAGCCCGCATCACCAAGGCAATCCTAAGCCAAAAGAACAAAGCTGGAGGCATCATGCTACCTGACTTCAAACTATACTACAAGGCTACAGTAACCAAAACAGCATGGTACTGGTACCAAAACAGAGATATAGATCAATGGAACAGAACAGAGCCCTCAGAAATAACGCCGCATATCTACAACTATCTGATCTTTGACAAACCTGAGAAAAACAAGCAATGGGGAAAGGATTCCCTATTTAATAAATGGTTCTGGGAAAACTGGCTAGCCATATGTAGAAAGCTGAAACTGGATCCCTTCCTTACACCTTATACAAAAATCAATTCAAGATGGATTAAAGACTTATACGTTAGACCTAAAACCATAAAAACCCTAGAAGAAAACCTAGGCATTACCATTCAGGACATAGGCATGGGCAAGGACTTCATGTCCAAAACACCAAAAGCAATGGCAACAAAAGACAAAATTGACAAATGGGATCTAATTAAACTAAAGAGCTTCTGCACAGCAAAAGAAACTACCATCAGAGTGAACAGGCAACCTACAAAATGGGAGAAAATTTTTGCAACCTACTCATCTGACAAAGGGCTAATATCCAGAATCTACAATGAACTCAAACAAATTTACAAGAAAAAAACAAACAACCCCATCAAAAAGTGGGCAAAGGATATGAACAGACACTTCTCAAAATAAGACATTTATGCAGCCAAAAAACACATGAAAAAATGCGCATCATCACTGGCCATCAGAGAAATGCAAATCAAAACCACAATGAGATACCATCTCACACCACTTAGAATGGCTATCATTAAAAAGTCAGGAAACAACAGGTGCTGGAGAGGATGTGGAGAAATAGGAACACTTTTACACTGTTGGTGGGACTGTAAACTAGTTCAACCGTTGTGGAAGTCAGTGTGGCAATTCCTCAGGGATCTAGAACTAGAAATACCATTTGACCCAGCCATCCCATTACTGGGTATATACCCAAAGGACTATAAATCATGCTGCTATAAAGACACATGCACACGTATGTTTATTGCGGCATTATTCACAATAGCAAAGACTTGGAACCAACCCAAATGTCCAACAATGATAGACTGGATTAAGAAAATGTGGCACATATACACCACGGAATACTATGCAGCCATAAAAAATGATGAGTTCATGTCCTTTGTAGGGACGTGGATGAAATTGGAAATCATCATTCACAGTAAACTATCGCAAGAACAAAAAACCAAACACCGCATGTTCTCACTCATAGATGGGAATTGAACAATGAGATCACATGGACACAGGAAGGGGAATATCACACTCTGGGGACTGTGGTGGGGTGGGGGGAGGGGGGAGGGATAGCATTGGGAGATATACCTAATGCTAGATGACGAGTTAGTGGGTGCAGCACACCAGCATGGCACATGTATACATATGTAACTAACCTGCACAATGTGCACATGTACCCTAAAACTTAAAGTATAATAATAAATAAATAAATAAGAAATAAAAGGTACAATTCTCCAAGAAGGCATCACAGTAATGAACATTTATGCATTGAACATAGGAACAGCAGAAGATATTTGAAGTAAATGGTGTAGCAGATTTTAGTGAAACTCTATCAACTGAGAAACCAAATAGACCAAAAAGTAATGGTAGACAGTATTTGAATAACATGATTAACAAACCTCATATGTACCTGCGTATATGTGTATACATACAAATAAGAGAATATGTATTTTTTGAAATGCCCATCAAACATTGATAAAAAACATGATCACAGTTTAACTAAAAGGAAAATTTCAACATGTTCCAAAATGCACAGGTTCTTTTCTGACTTGAATGTAATAAAACCAGATACCAACAACAACAAAAGAACAGAAAAATAAGTAAACAAATACCTACTGTTTTGAAATTTAGAAACATTCTTCTTTTTTTTTCTTTTTGAGACAGAGGCTCATTCTTGCCCAGGCTGGAGTGCAGTGGTGCGATCTCGGCTCACTGCAAGCTCTGCCTCCCAGGTTCACACCATTCTCCTGCGTCAGCCTCCCGAGTAGCTGGGACTACAGGCACCTGCTACCATGCCCGGCTAATTTTTTTTTTTTTTTTTTTTGTATTTTTAGTAGAGACAGGGTTTCACCATGTTAGCCAGGATGGTCTTGATCTCCTGACCTTATGATCCACCCGCCTCGGCCTCCCAAAGTGCTGGGATTGCAGGCGTGAGCCACCGCACCAGCCTAGAAACATTCTTCTAAGGAATTCTTACATGCAACAATGTAATTAAAATCATACTAGAGACTACTTAGAAGGAACTACACTAAAAACACTGAACCCAAAGCAATCTTTAAGGAATCAGAATAATTTGGCATAATGGAAGTCAAGAGAATAGAGGATCAAGAAAAGAATTATCAGCAACAATGACTAAAAAAATAAAGACTAAAACTGTTCATTGGATTTGGCAATAAAAAAATCATTGGTGACTTTACTAGAATAATTTCAACAGATTTGGATCCTTTTAACATTTTGATAGAATAATTAAGATGCCATTGGTAAAACAAAAAAATGACTAAAAGGTGAGGAAGTAGAGACGTAAAGTTTAGAACACTCTTTTGAAATGTTTAGGTGAGTATGAGAGAGAACACTACAAAAGTAACTAGATTCGGATTCAGAATCAACAGAGGCTTGTTTAATTTGTTTATTGTTTTTGAACTGGACAGACTTAGATATCTAGAGAGGGTAAGGACGTGAGACCATTAGAAAGAAAACAAAACAGGTTGGGCACGGTGGCTCACACCTGTAATCCCAGCACTTCGGAAGGCCAAGGAGGGCAGATCACCTGAGTTCAGGAATTTGAGACCAGCCTGACCAACATGGAGAAACCCCATTTCTACTAAAAATACACAAAATTAGCCGGGCCTGGTGCCACATGCCTGTAATCCCAGCTACTGAATCACTTGAACACGGGAGGCAGAGGTTGTGGTGAGCCGAGATTGTGCCATTGCACTCCAGCCTGGGCAACAAGAGTGAAACTCTGTCTCAAAAAAGAAAAAGAAGAAAGAAAGGAAACAAAACACCACAATGAGAGAGAACAGTAATTGGCAATGTAGGATATGGAGTCAACACAGAAAGATGGGGAAGGGGAGGTGAAGAGTCGCAGACAGAGGGGCTGACCTTGAACAGAAGACACACTTCATTTTCTCGATTAAAAGAAGATAAGTAGGAGTAGATGTGGCTACATGTCATTTAGGGTGACATACAGGATGTTGTTTATCAGCAAAGGAAGAGGTGAGCTAGTCTTCCAAAATTGAGTGGAGTTGAGGTTGACCAGACAATAAGAGCTAAGCCCATAGTAATAACTGCTAAAATTATTAATGCTGATTTATAAATATTAACTAATTCAATTCTACGAAAAACTAAGAGCTTCATAAGGAAGGAGCCCTATGTATTATTACTGCCATTTTCAAAAGTAAGGAGTCCGAGGGACAAAGACGTTAATTAGGCAAACCATCCAGGTCATACAACTAGCAAGTGAGGCCAGGATTGAAGGAGGCCAGGACTGAAGGAGGCCATGCCCTCCAGTGCTATGGTACACTACATAGGTATGTTAAATTAAGTCCAAATCTTTGCTTTTTTGCAGGAAGATTTAAGCTTGGGCACAAAATATATGGGTTTATCAAAGCAAGCAGGAGTGCATCGCCAACTATCTCACTGGAGTTCATCAAAGTTCTGTTGCTTCTGTTCACCGCAGCCTATTGATCTCTGCTGGAGAAGTCACCGCAACCTGGCCCAACATGCCAGCCCTCCATCAGGGGTAATTTATAAGCCTGTAGAGAGAGGCTGTGAAGCTGATGAACCCAGCTGGCGGGTGGAGCGGGTCCCATGATTGATTCACTCGCCGCTCGTCTGCTCAGCCAGCCATTTCACCCTGTTCAGGCTATGCTGCCTGGCTTGCCACATTCATCCATCACCCCGTAAATATCATCAACGCCGCAGGCCGCAGCACCATCTTTCGTATGTTGTTTTCTTTTTACGTGGGACCCTGGAAGCGCTGGGGCTTATCTCTGCCCCGCCCTGGGATGCCAACCTCCACAGCCATACCTGCGAGAGACCCCTGACAAGAGATGCCGGTGAACCAGGTGGCAAATGTGAAGCACACATTGAGAATCCAATCTGGGAGGGCTTCCAGGTGAGCCTTCCTAAGCTGGACATGGGGGTGAAGGAGCCTGCACCTGCTAACAACCGCAGCACAGGCAAGCACACGTTGTAAACGTCTTCCCCTGGAGTAGGCTTTCAGATAATGCCCTATATATCCCCAAAATATAGTGGCATGTCCTTCTGTTTCCCTGCAACAGCCTTTAGTTGTCACTTACAAACAGCTACAAAATGCTGTCAGGGAGCCAGCAGAGGTTTTGTGGGGAGAGAACCACGCACATTGTCACAGAATTGTACAGAAAACAAGTAAAAAAGGTGAAAAGGGAGAGTGTGAAGAAAGAGAACTTGATGTTTCATCCATACATCACAGCCAGGCTGGAGTTTCAGCGTTACGCACTCTTAAAGCCAAAAGTTAATCTTATCTCCTGTGCAACTTCACAAACAAAATATCTCGACCAGAGAGAAATGAGGCGGGAATCTTCCCCTCACATAAACTTCCTGGTGCACAGACCAGACCCCAGTCCCAGACAGAGGTGCTCGCTCCCCGGAGCACAGCAACTGCCTCACTGCTGTGTCCCTCCCCAGGAAGGCCCCTGCCAGAGGGTCGGCCTTGCTAAGGGATCAGAAAGGTAGAACCAAGGCCTGACCTGTTGCACCAATCAGGGACGACTCTGAAGGACAACGCCAGCTTCCAGGACCCCCTGTGGGGTCAGCTGAGGCCTCTGACCTGACTATAGAGCCACTGGGCCCTGCTTCCCTCCCTCCCAGACAGGGCTGTATCCAAGAGCACTCCTGATAAACCTCCTGCTCTCAAATCACTGCCTTGGACATAGTGTTTCCCCAGGAACATGTCTCATGGCACTTAGGAAATGGAGTCCATGGACTTGAAAGGTGACTAAGATACTACATGTATCAGAACCAATTGCAATGTTGGGGACAGTAGGATGTCTTCTAAACCCGACTAAGAAAATAACCACTGTTCACAGTGAAACAAGAATGCTTTAAGTAAGAGAATAATAGCTTCTTGAAAATGATTTATTAACTGCCACATACATCAACGGAGAGTTTGTGTGATCCTTCCCTCGTCTGGGTCAAGCGTATTCACCTGAGATTGTCTTGGAGGCCACTGGCTCTTTCTCTTATGTCCCCCAGGTGCTGGAGATGACACTGGCCTCTGCCTGTATGGAAACAGCCTATAGAAAAAAATAGAAGAAGAAGGAAAGAAAAAACAGAGGAAGAAGAGATTTTAGGATTGGTGAATGATAGGAGATGGCTTGTTGAGGAAAGGATTAAAAGACATCCATTTGACATGAGGGTCACCAGGGAAACGTGTCACCGCTGTGCTTCCTTGGCCATGAAGCCAGGTTGGCTCTGCAGCTTCGAGGTGCATTTGTCTGGACACACATAGCCACCAGCACCACCAATCAACTGCATGTGGAACAACTGACAGCCCTCTGGGTGTTTTGGAGTCATTCAGCTTTACCTGGAAAGGTGCTGTAAAAAGTAAATAAAGCTAGATGTGTCACACCTGGTCTTAGCATGAGCCACTTGGCATCACTGGATGTCCATTATCTCACTCATTTATGTGAAATGCCAGTTCCCTCGGGCCCTTGAGTTTGACAGCCCTCTTTTAAAATTTTAGATTCAAGGAGCACATGCGCAGGGATATTTTTTGTTTTTGTTTTTGTTTTTTGTTTTTTTTGAAGTAGAGTTTCACTCTCCCCCAGACTGGAGTGCAGTGGCATGATCTCGGCTCACTGCAACCTCCGCCTCCCGGGTTCAAGTGATTCTCGTTCCTCAGCCTCCTGAGTAGCTGGGACTGCAGGTGCCCACCATCACACCCGGCTAATTTTTGCATTTTTAGTAGAGGTGGGGCTTTGCCCTATTGACCAGGCTGGTCTCAAACTCCTGGCTTTCTGCCTGCCTCGGCCTCCCAAAGTGCATGTGCAGGTTTTTACATGGATATATTGCATGGCTGAGGTTTGGGCTTCAACTGAACTGTCACCCAGATAGTGAACACAGTACCTGATAGGTAGATGTTTGGCATTTTCTTCTGTCCTTCCCTGCCCCCTCTATAGCCTCCAGTGTCTACTGCTCTTGTCTTTAGGTCCATGCCCAGTGTTTAGCTCCCCCATATAAGTCAGAACATGTGATATTTGGTTTTCTGTTCCTGCACTAATTCATTTAGGATAATGGCCTCCAGCTGCATCCATGCTGCTGCAAAGGACTTGATTTCATTGTTTGTTATGGCTGCATAGTATTCCATGGTTGCCACACCTTTTTGATTGACCTTTGACAGGCCTTTCTACATGCTGGATTTCATATCTTGTTAAGCAGATGTATTGATCCAATTTTTGTGGTCAGCTCAATGGTACAGGAACTAGAAGAACGTGCTAGAAAGCATATTAAACACAAGAGCCTCCTCCAGAAATGGTGATGCCTTTCATAGTAATCTAAGGGGTAAGAAAGGAAAAGGATGGATAAGTAAGCTCACTCTTAGAAAGCATACAAGAAAGCAGAAGGCAGCAGGAGATGGCAGCTGGAGACAGCCAAAATTACTGACATTCTGGTCAGTGTGAGTGAATTTAAGGGCAAAGAAACAACTTCTATATGTTCTTTAAAAACCTCAATTATGAAGGTTTGCCTCCTCCAAGGAGGTGTCACCGAAGCAACTATGGTCCCAGAAAATAAACCCACCCTCTTTCTTCCCGGTTTCCAGCGGTTCTCAAGAGCCAGCGCTGCTCAGGCAAAGGAGAAAAACAGCCTTCCCTATTTAGTCCTCCTGCTGGATTCCAGTTTCTTTTGGTGTCCTCCTTCCCAGCCAGGCCTTTCATGATACTTGAGCCAGAGTAGGTTTTGCAGATAGCGTGGGTTAAGAGGCCATTTTCCCTGGATTTTAGTAGCGCCTTGGGCCGCCGTGTTACATGCTCTGCCCGCCAGTATTCCCGTGATCTTCAACATTTACAGAGGGTGTGTCCGTAAGATTCTCTACCATTAAAAATTAAGCTTAATGTGTTACTTAGAACTGAGTTCTATTATTTCCCAAATGCACTCTCCTCCTCAATTTCATTTCTAAGATATATCTGACAGGCAACCGGCAGTCTAAGGGATATTGCAGAAAGTGAGACCTAGTATGATTACATGAAAATTACAAAATTCTGTCCGTCATCCTCCTGCCCAAGCTCTTGGTCTCAGGCTCCTCCTCATCTTCGTCATAAAAAGCCCAGCAATCGCTCAGAACTGCTCGCTAAAAATCAGAGGTAAGCAGCGCCTAGCTCACCAAGGCAGCAGGTCTCTCATGGGCGAGCTCCTACTTAGAGTCTCACTTCTTTTGTTTTGCCTCTACTGTACCATTAATCCTGGCTCAGTCACAAACCTCCCAGGTGCCTCGATTTTTCTGTCTCAAATGGTGGTAATATAAAAAAGCAGGTAATTTAAATAATATGGGAATCGTTCAAGAAACGGTAGGAGAAAATGTACTATTGCTGTTATTTCTGGATTAATCTGTTCTTAATATATTACATTAAGACATTAATCCCCCGACCCACCCAGACTTTTCTTGGAAATTTTTTTTTTTTTTTTTTTTTTTTTTTTTTTGAGACGGAGTCTCACTCTGCCACCCAGGCGGGAGTGCAGTGGTGAGATCTCGGCTCACTGCAACCTCCGCCTCCCGGGTTCAAACGATTCTCCTGCCTCCGCCTCCTGGAATTTTTTAAAGCTTCCGGTTTTTAGGTAAATATTGCAGCTGCCTTCTACGGGGGAGAAAAGACTATCTGTGTGAGAGGAGGGTGGAGACAGCGCTAGCAGGAAAGACACAGCTCAGACAGGGGTGCCCAGAGACATCATAGACCTTGGGGGGACTTGCAGCCACAGAGAAGCCACCAGGACCCATCCATGCACCACAGAGGACAGCCAAGAGTCGGGGGCCAGTATGCATCAAGTGTGTTTATTCAAGGGAAGGAGCAGGGGAGGAAAATCAGCTATTGGCTTCTGCATCTCCTCTCAGATGTCCCCAGATGGAATGTGACTTTGCTCTCCTGACTGGGAGGGCTGCTCTGAAAACATGACATAGAGAGCAGTCACAGGAGGACAGGGTAACTCATCACACAGGATCACCTTTCTATTGGGGTAGTTTTTGTAGGTAGGAGGCCAGATGCAATAACAACTTACTGCCAAACTTACTCCAGCAGGCTTTGGAAATCTTTTCCGGATCAGGTGGCTTCTGTGAGCTGGACGGCAGCCCGGCCGCCAAGATGATAACTGAGTTGACTCTGCTGCTCCCCAGTCTCCACATCTAGTTCATCTCCATCACTGGAGTCACGCTGGTGATTACATTCTTCCATCCTGGGTTCTGCTCATGTGTCTGCTAAATGGAACAGTTAATTCAATAAGCCCCATTTCATTATCAATAGCGTTTTCCTCAAATCATTCTGTTGGCTAAGATTTTTCTCTTATTGTGGCTACTACATTCCTTTTGTTATGAGAATCACTATTATTCATGTTAGTCAGTCGCACTACTAATAATGCTCTGTGTCAAGGCCAAAATCATCAGTGATCAACTCGCCGAAAAGTCATCTTAGTGCAGTGTTCCCGTGTCTCCAAACAGCAAATCCTGGCAGGAAACCATGAAAAGAACGGAGAAAGGTTACTGTGTTTCCCATCACCCTTTGGACTTAATTTGTTAGGAAAGAGCCTTTACTGAAAACCCCGGGGTGTAGAGCAGTGTGACAAGGACGCAGAATGTGTGGGCTCCCTCAGAGACCCCTGCACCTCCACGCTGGGAAGCCAAGCCCCATGGCAGCCAAGTTGCTGGTAAGATGAAACCCTCCAAAGCCAAGCTGTCAACAGGGATCGCGCCACCAAAAGTGAAAAAGGAAAGAGAAAAAAAAATCTTTTCCAGCACACTGGACTTGACTAAATCTCCAGAGCTCTGGAAGAAGTTTGGGTGAAAAGAGTCATATCGCAGGGGCTTTGTGAAGAACAACAGGCATCCTCCGCTCCATGAATCTGACCAAACAAAACCTTCAGAAAGTTCGAGTATGATCCTAATGTCCACAGCCTCTGGGATGCTCCATGCAAGAGGCGGAGGACAGTGTGGTGTCGGGACCAGAGAGTAGAAACTATTTTGCAGGAAAAACTAAATAAATATGTGTTGGGTGGCTCTGCCACAGTGAGCCCAGGAGTAGAGAGAGAGACCGAGGTTAGCAGCCCTAGTTGTCACTTGAATGACTTCCCCGTGTCGCCATCAGCCTTTTTTCTGTAGGAAGTTGTCAGTTCAACTCTTCGATGGGCAGGTTTGTTATCAGCAAGCGGTTTACAGCCCCTGGGCTGTGCATTAATTAAAACGGCTTTGTGCCCAGCCTTATTCATTAGCACACTGCTTCCTTAATCACTGCCTCTTCAGCCACCAGGACAATCTATAAATCTCCTCATATATGAAATAATGAAGTGGAATGGTTCAATTTATTACAATGTAATAAGTCAGGAGAATGTGGAGGTGGACAAGGCGGCGTGGAAGCGGTTGCCTGTCCAGAGCCCTCCCTCCTCATTTCCTGACACACAGCAGCAGTCGGAATCTGCCTGGGTCCTCGCCTGTCCCAGACTCTTATGCCCTTTGCATCTGTCATCCAGACAGGCAGACCCCAGAAGAAAGAATGGCTGGAGAGGAGCAGAAACAGTCCTAAAGGGTGCTGCAGGGCTGGCGGCTTACTCCACAAAGCTGGGGTCTGTGGAAGAGGGCGTTCACACCTAGGGTCTCATTAACTCTTCCAGAGCCCCCTCAAGTGGATCATGCAGAGACACTACCTCCTCTTCATGCAGTGAGGCTCCACAAGCAGAAGTCACCCAGCCAGAGGCGAACAGTGAGTGCGCAAGGAAGAGGTTCCTCCTTCACTCTTCTACGCAGAAGCCTGAACTCTCTAGTGTGCGCAGGAGCCTCCCCTACCTGAGCAAAAGAACACCTTGGAGCTTTCAGAACTTGCAACACTCAGCCCCCACCCAGATGAAATACAGCCGACTCTACAAGATGAGGCCAGGGGACCAGCAATTATCAAGGGCTCCTTGATTAATTCTAATGCGCACCCTGTTGAGAGCCACATGCTCCCTCTTGTAAGAATCACGGGAGTGCTGATTCAAGAGGCAGATTCCCAGGCTCCTCCCCTGGAGGGCTGGCTGATTAGTTTGGGGGTGTACAGCCCAAGAATGAACATTTTTATCAAGTTCCCTAAAAGATTCTTGGGACAAGCCACCTTTGGTAAAGACTGAGCTGTCTCTAAAACATCTAGCCCTTGCTCTCCCATCCCACCTCCTAAGTCAATGGTGCTCAATTCCTCCCCAACTTGGAGACATGCGGTAGATGCCATTTGTGTGACTGACACACTTCCACCAGAGAAGCCAGATTTTCCTAAGACTGTGATAAATATAATAAACACCGTGACTGTGTGAGTTTCTGCATGCTAACTATAAACCCCTTCCTTCTTTCATTCACTGATTCCTAACCATCCCATATCCCCAGAGCTCTGCCTTAAGTGGCTCTGCTGGCTTATAAAGGTAGGGTGTCCAGGTTCTGCCCATTCCTCCCTAGTTTCCCATCTCTGAGGTGCCCTATGACCAGAAACTAGAAGCACAGCCTGACTCATAGATGCAATCAGTGAGATGCTTCAGATCAGAGACGTGTGCCAATAGAATCAGCTAAATGGGAGCCCTGGGAGGCCGACATCCACAAATTCATTCACTCCAGAAGTTCACCGCAGCTTCCAGGAATGAAGCTCCCGGTTTGACATGCTTGTCCAGAGATAACCCCAAGCCAGGCATTGAGGAGTAGCGACACCAATTTGAAGAGGAAACGGCTGAGCCACGCAGCTGTCCAGATGCAGCCGTTTGCCATCTGTGCTGCTGAGTGGCTTTATTCCTTGGCTTGCTTGATGTGGTCAGCAACCGCCAGACGTCACCAACTTCCCGTCCACCGGCTTTCCCTGACATCCTCTGGAAAAAGGGGGCAGCTCTGCAGCTCCACAGCCAGGTGTGCCCCACCTGGCCTCTCCAACCTATGCCAGTCTCTTCCTCCTGGAAAGATGGAGAGGGAGGGTCCCAGGAGCCAGCACAGTCCTTGGGGGCACAGGCAGCAGGTGGGCAGTGCAAGGAGGGAGCGACACAGGCCAGGACAAGCCATCCCTCGATGACGTTTTTCTGTCCAAGAGATACCTCATGGAGTTGTGAACATTGGACAATATACATGACTCCAATTCTTTGGGATCCAAATGCCATTCAGCCAGGAAAAGGCAGAAACAAGGTGTGTAGCAAATAGCATTGCTGCTTACCACAAGGGCTGTCAGCCCACCCCACACTCTCTGCTGCTTTCTTTTTTCTCCTTCTTACTATATAACATGGTATGGACTGATCGTTCTGTCTTTTTAGTATTCTTGTGTTGAAGCCCTAACTCCTAAAGTGAGAGTAGTAAAAAGTGGGGCCTTTGGGAGGTGATCAGGTCATGAGGGTGGAGCCCTCATGAATGAAATTAGTGCCCTTATGGGAAGAGACAGGAGAAAGATTGCCCCCCTTTCTCTGTCTCTCTCTTTTTCTCTTCCTCCCTCGAACCCTCCCTCTCTCTGCCACGTGAGGACTCAGGGAGAAGACAGCCATCTGCAAACCAGGAAGCAGCCCTCACCAGACACCAGCTCTGCCAATGCCTTGATCTTGGACTTCCCAGTTTCCAGACTGTGAGAAACAGAGGTCTGTTGTTTAAGCCTCCCAGGCTATGGTAATTTGTATAGCAGCTCTAGCTAAGACACAGCACTTATCACCTGCTAATCTACTATCACATTTGCAAATTTGGTGTGCTTATTTTTTATTATCTATCTCCTCCCGCTAGCAGATAAGCCCCACAAGGGCTGGGAACATGGTTTGTTTTGTTTAGTGATGTGTGCTCATTGTTGTCAACAGTGCCTGGCACATTGGAGGACTCCACAGCTACGCAGTGAGTGACAGTAAGCACAGGAGAGACTGGACAGCATCAGTGGGAATCATCCACCCCCCATCTTGTCCCAGGAGAAGGGAGACACATGAGGGAGAGAAAGTATGTGCACTTTTCATACCTCTGCCTGTCCTGGGTATTCAGAGGGCTTCGGGCTATCATCATAATCCATAAACAAACTAAGAAACCACGAGGTCAAGCTGCCAGCTGATATTCAGGCTGGCATCCTATCACTCTCCATGGGAAAGACTCCACCACTTCCATCCCACGTTGAGAAATCAGATCCCCCAATGAAATATTGGTTGTTCTTGCTTAACCAGGTGACAAATAACATGCTCAATAAATTATAAATGATAAAATATTGCAGAAAAGCCCAATATCAATTTTAATACTTTAAAATGATTTATTAATATGCTTCCATACTGTTTGCTGTGTCTGTTATTTCTCACGTTCCCACGACACACTGTGAATAAGGAAGGGGAACTTGACAAGGTGAGTAAAGGGAGACATAAGGCTGCCTTGACAGGTGGGGTGTGATGAGTGATGCGAGCATAGGCAGGATCAAAGGAGAAAAGATACCACTGCTCCAGGTCCCAGAAATGTTTCCAGAGAATTCTAAATATTCACGAAACACTCTTGCCATCTCCCCTTTCCAGGAGATGCCAAAAGATCACAAAGCCTTTTGTGAAGGCTGTTCTAACCCTGTCTCCTTCTAGGAAAACCACTTATTCTGTTGATTCCCCACTGGACTGCATTGAGTACCTGCCTCTGACATGGCCCCTCTAACACAGGAGCCAAGGAGACCATTCACTTTGGATGGATGGATGGATGGATGGATGGATGGATGGATGGATGGATGATGGTTGGATGGGTGGATGGGTGGGTGGATAGGTAGATAGGTGGGTGGATGGATGGGTAGAAGGGTGGATGGATGGGAGGATGGGTGGAAGGGTGGATGGGTGGGTGGGTGGGTGGATGGATGGATGATGGGTGGGTGGATGGGTAGATGGATGAATGATGGGTGGATAAGTGGGTGGATGGGTGGGTGGGTGGTGGATGGATGATGGGTGGGTGGGTGAATGGATTGATGAATGATGGGTGGGTGGGTGTATAGATGGATGATGGGTGGATAGGTGGATGGGTGGGTAGATGGGTGGGTACATTATTTGGTTTATGGGTTTCTTTCCTCACTCAGCCTCTCTCTACTCACTTGTAGACTGTGCTCTCTAGCATAGGGACCAAGACCATCCTCAGAAGGGCACTAGACCTGGGACAACGCATCCTTTGTAGTGCAGAAGTCGGCGCAAATAACTGCACATAGTAAAATGACACCTCAGCCCTAGTAACTTTCGTTTAAAGATCGAAATTTCAAAATCAATGCAGAAAGGCATTTAGGAAAGGGGAGTGGGCAGCCCCTTTGCACTTCCCCACCCAGCCCCTCAACCCCAAGGTGGGAGTGGTGTTTCTAGTTGTCTCCTGACCCGAACACAGTGTGGAATCTCATAGGTGTTTAACACGCGTTTGTTGAGTGGATTCAGGTGCTGCGGAAGCTCTCTCCAGAGCTTAGGAGCTTAGCGGGGAGGTAGTATGGCATCAAGGTCTCGGGGCTCAGACCCTGGAGCAGTGTGCCTGGGTTCACAGCCCCACACCTCACATCCTGCCAGGGCTGTGTGGTTTGGGCAAGGTTCATAACCTGTTGTGCCTCCATTTCTTCCGCTGGAAAATGGGAGATAATAAAAGTGCCTCCCACATAGGGTTGTTGTGAAGATTGGATGTGTAAATACAGACACGGTGTTCAGAAGGGTTCTTGAGGCAGCTCATGCCATGCAAGTGCCCATTGTTAGTAGTCTATGAGCATCGCATTTGAAGTCAGATGGTCTTGTGTTCCAGTCCTGCTCAGCCCTTTGCAAGTTCTGCCTCAGCCTCAGTGTGAGGAGGTTATTCAGGTCCCTTATGTGTAAAACGGGAATGATTCCATCCATATCAAAAAGCTGTCAAGAGGACTAAATTCATACAAAATTCAGGGTTTGACACGTTGTTAGTGCTCAAAGATAGCACTAGTACAATTTTTTATTAATATTGATCACTATAACTAATTGTTGTTCGTATTTTTGGGTGGAAGACACAGGTTTAAAGAGCAGACTGACTCTTCCTATTTGACCCAAACCTCTCAGCTGCCTCTTCCGCACAGTATGAGGCTTAGATTGTAAGTTTGTGTGTTTTGTGATCTGGGCCACATCACAGAACAGAATGCACAGTGGAAGGCCTGCTCTCCTGGGGGCAATTAGCGTCTGGCCTGTGTGGGGCCCACATTTCTCTTAATGAGTCATCACAGCTAAGTTGTCTAGGACTCTTTCTTTTTCCCCATTTCCTGGTTCTAAAACATAACAGACTAAAGGCAGAATATGGATAAAACTGCTTTGCTCCCCCTGCCCCTAAAAGACAAAATAAACATATTGAGAAAGAAAGACACAGAGACAGGGACAGAGACAAGACGGGAAAATAGGAAGAGAGAGAGAAGCAGACAGGGAAGACACTCCAGAAGCAATAAGCTGAGCTTACACCGATGGGAGGGGTGGCTTTGTGAATACAGGTGTAAACGGTGTCACCCTGAGCACAAAGCCAGCCGCCGGCTCACAAACCTATTAGCTGGTAAACAGCAATGTTCTGTAATTCCAGCTATTAAAAACAGCTTAAAGAGAAATCAAATCTTATTTAGCAGGGATTGTAGGGGTCTTCTTGGACTATTTTAAAGTTTCATATTCATCTAAGCAGACAGGCTCTAATTCTTTCTTGGAGGCAATCGCATTTCCAAGCTTATTAAACATCCATTTAAAGGGGTGAGGAGGGCCTGTGAATGTTCCTTCCCCCCCACCCCGCCACACAGACAATAGTGGGCCTATGAATGACTTTCTAAGTCAAGGGAAACTACAGGGACAGGTGGAATGTTTCCTGCAATTTGCATATGAAACAAGGTTGTCTCTGCTTTGCTGCCAGTGAAGAAGAAGCGATCATAATTAGGGAGAGGGTCTTTACACATCCTCAGTTCCTGAGGTCAGGCTATACATCATCACAAAAAAAGAGGTCTCTCAATCACTGAAGTATCGACGGTGGCTTTCTGTGCACGTGTGTATCAACTGTTCACACTGTGGCCATGTTCACAGAACCCCATGAACTTTCAGATGCTTATTTTGTTGAGACACTAGGGTCACCAGTCAGGGTAGAAAAGCTGGGCTCTTTTACAAGCCATCAAAAATATCTATGTGTTAAATGCTAAGTATCAGGGTTCAAAAGAGTCAGATAACATTTCTTCTGACTCTCAACATATGATTCTCAATATATGTCTGTTTAGTAGCTAAGAGCTAAATAAGCCTAAAAGCAAAAAGATGACCTTGCAAGTCAGTCAGCTGGCAGATGAAAAATCAAATCAGGTCTCCATGCTCTCGGTCTGATAGTCCCACAACCAGATCAAATTACTTGTGTTCCTTCCCTTGGAAGCGCAATTCTTCATCTCAAAATCCCTTCAGTCTCAGACTTCTCAGAATAACTCTCCTGAACATAGGCGAGGAGGACGCTGCAGCCTAATTATCCTCTGCAACGACTGGTGAAGAATAGGTTCTTATTTGGTATTTTTCTTGATCACATAACAAACTGACAAGATCTTTTCAAGAATGACGCTGTTTGAATCCTTCCAAAAATAGAGTGCCTGCATCCACATTTCCAAGCTATATGAGAATTGCAACGCTAATGGGTCCCCAGGTCCCTGGAAATTCTAAGCAATGGGTCATTCTCTAGACAGAAGAGAGACTCAATACACCTAGGCAAAAATGTCCCCCAAGTCCCCTCTAATTACCATTCACTTCCTGTATATCTCCTTTTTCATCACTGCTGATTACAGATACATCCATGTCTGAATAATATCTTTCCACTTTATAATCAGACAACTACCACTTACTCTGATAACCTGAGACACTCTAAGTATGATTTTGCCTGCAGAATACTCTGTCTGCATTTGGTCTCTTTTCAGGGTTAGGCAAATTACTACATCCTTGGCAGCAGAAAGCTGACTGGAACAACATACTAAGAAGACACCCTGTCTAAGGTGAGACTTAGAGGACAGCTCTAAATACTTGGTGCTGAAAATTCCCATTCCCAGACGGCTGTGTGGAGGGGAATGCTGCATCTGTCCACCTCAAAGCTCCAGCTTCTCAGCTTCAGGCTCACACCAAGTCTCCCATAAGAAGCCAATCTGCTCATGATCTCTCTTCATGATGGGATTGCTATTTCTTCATTTTATAATATTACACGACCCTCTAATTTAAAAGTTGCTCCCATCTATAGGGCCTCATGTCATTGGATTCAGACAGAAGCTTTGTAAAAGAATTTTCAGTGTCTCTAGTTTACAGTTGAGGAAAAAGAGACCAGAAGACCCTCCCCTGCCACAGCAGAGGGAGCGGGGCACTCTGGGATGGAGCTTGATTCTGTGTAGTAAGTGCACGGTCATAACAAAGAGACAGAGCGAGTCCTGGAAGTAAGCCTAGCACCAAAGACTGGGGTTCCAGCATCGATTCCGCCACCTCTCAGTCACCATGGATATGGAATCTAAATTCTCCAGGGCAGTGTTTGCAACTTGGCTGCAAATCGGAGCCGTGTGGGGAGCTTTCACAAAACTCATGCCCGGGCCCACCCCCAGCATTCTGATATAATTGGTCTGGGTAGCAGGAGTTTTTAAGGCTGCTCCAAGTAATGTTTCATGCAAACACAGTTGAGAAGCCACGGCTCTAAGGCCTCAGTTTCTCCCCCGGTGAAAGGAGAGTGACAACATGCACCCCATAAAATCATAGTCCTACCAGCAAAATACAGGACAGTCCATAAAATGATTTGCACCACTTTAAGTGCATCAAAGGAGAATACAGAAGTGTTTCCAACCCATTCCAGATTGGCCCCCAAAGTGGTTTTCTCTCTTAACAATTTGCCTGCAGGGATCTAGGAAGGCTTTGGAATCCAACTGATATCAACCAATAGGATAACTTCCATCTAAGTTTCTTAGCCAAGTAAGACTTTTACATAAAGAAGAGCAGTGCTGAGACATGGCTACCTGATCCAGACTCCTTCCAGGCTCATACACTTTGCTCTCTCATCTACGCTGTTTGCTGGACTCTGCACTAGGCACTGTGCTGGGTGCTGTGGTGGAGAGAAAGATGAGGCACGCTACTGCCATCATGGAGCCAACAGCCCAGAGACCACCGATGGCCAGTGTTGTCATCAAACAATGCCCAACAAACAGGCAGGAGGAACTTGGAACTGGGACACAATTTTCCAAAGAGTGATGGCTTTGCAGGAGGGGAGGCATTTGCCCTGAGTCTTGAAGGAAGGGTACAAGTTTGCCATAGAGACAGAGTTATAGGAAAAGGCATAGCGTGTTCAGAGACTAGTTGACTCAGTAGAGGCTGAGAACTCTGCCTTCTTTGCTAAGGATCTGGACTTCTTATTCCCATTTTGCAGATTTAAAAACTGACATCCAGAGTTTAAGTAACAAGCTGAAGGCCACATGACAGTGGAGATTTAGATACAGTTTTTGAGCAAGGAAGTGGCATGGTTATATTTTTCTTTAGAAAGCTAATTCAAAGAACAGTTGGAAGAGGAACCAAAGGCAAGGAGCCCAGATGTGCAGCAGCACAAGGGAATGATGATGCCAGCCTGGACTAAGGTATTGGCAATGAGGGTGAAGATGAAAGACAGGCCCTGGGTCCTAGAGACATGCCTGGGAATTCGGAGTTTAGTGCTGATGATGTAAGAGAGAAATGAAGGGAACTAGGCTGTACCACAGGAACAGTTTGCATCATTCCACCCCAGCCCAGCCTCTCTGCAGACCCACATCCTGCCTGGTGACGTGTGTGCACTTATGCCAGGTCCATGTGCTCAGCTAACAGTGCTTCCTAAACTTTGAGATCTACACAAGTTGGTAATCACTTGAAAATTTCCAATTAAATGTAAAAAAAGAAAAAAACAAGTAAATCTATTCTTTCTTTTGACTGCTCTATTGATTAAAATGAATGTCTGTGCTGGGACTGCTGAACCATGGAAAGCAATCTGTTTTAGATGGGTAACAGATCGTTAGGAAATCACTGGGTTGAAGGAAAAAGTCAAGAAAAAAATTTGCACAGATTCACGTGTGGGGGTGTCAGTGTGCCTATCTGTAGCTCCATAGCCGCGTATAGATATGTGCATTTCTATATATAGGGGACATATGCCACAGACTTCAATCAGCAGCCATGAGCCAAAGGCACAGGCAGGATTCCTGAGAGGGTGGCACCACCGAGGGTTCAGCAGACTCTGGGCGACACTGCTGGGTCCCCATGGGTGTGGATGGGGCACAAGGAGCTATTCAGATAATAAATTCAGCTCTCAAGCGGCTCCTAGCTGACGTGTGAGTTTGACAGAACCTACAACATTGTACTTCAAGACCATTCTCTGGGAAATTCGGAAAAACAAGCGGCATGAATACGTATGCTTCTAATTTCATCAAAATGTTAGTTATGAGAGCTAGTCTACATACAAGAAACCTCTTGCTTAAGAAGAGGGAAAAGAAAAAAACAAGAATGAACTCTCCGTTGCTATTCTTCACTGCCAAATAAAATAAGCTGTGGCCAATTCTGCAAGGTACACCTTAGAGTTTAAGTCAGAGTCAACCTATCCCAAGTTTCTGAAATGGATTGTTTGCCCTCCACAAATTCTCCTTCAATGGGGCAGGAATGGGAGGAAACCGGAGAGCGAGGCCTTCCATCAAAACGGATGAGTAGAAGCAAAGGGGGCAAGCCTCTCTTGTCCTGCCAGGGTGAATTGCTCTATCATGTGTTCACCAGCTCAGTTTGTCCAATTAGCACTAATATCTTCCCCGTAGACTCTCATGGGCAGCATCTACCCTCCCTCATGTAGAATCTTCATCTCTATGATCTGACCATTCTGCAACCCAAACTTATCCCTCTTCCCTTCCCTGGGGCTCTCTCTCTCCCATCAAAATTTAGGAACTCTGATTTCAGAACACTATTTTGGACCCGTTTGCTGGAACAGTGGATCTGCAGTGGGGGTACTGGTGACATCACCTCAGAGCAGCAGGAGGGAGGGGAGAAGCTTGGGCACAGTATCCTCTATCCTCCAGGTCATGTCTAAAGGAATGGAGATTCGTTTGGAAAAAGTGAGTACACTCAACCATGTCTCATCATGAAATTCACGTCTCCTTTGCTTTCTGGCTATGCAGCCTTGAGCACGTCATTTAAACTTTCTAGATTTCAGCTTTCTTATCTGTAAAATGGGGCTAATATTAATTATTATGATAGTAGCTGACAATAGCATTTGCAAATTGATTTATCCCTTTGATGAAGTTAAAGATTTTCTGAAAATCTGGAAGCAGTTTTTGACTTACTTGCTTTTGTTTAGCATCTGAGTGATGTGAGCTGGGTGATTGTCTAGCTACTCAGAGGGTCACAGTAAGGCCAAGTTGACTAAAAGCATGTAAAATTTTTAGAACAGTGCCTGATACAGAGTAACAATTGCTACTCTTCCCCCCATCCCACCCCCACCACCCCTGCTCAGGTACTGAAGAATAATGATAGAAACTACATTTTCTCACAAAGAGTAAGAAATATAGTTGCACTGATATTATTAAACACTTGGTATTAAACACTGAGTCAAGAACACGGTACAGAGATACAGGAAGTCAGACAAAGGACCTCCCTAAAAAGTCTTGAAAAAGAATATGGGCAACGTCTCAGGGGAATTGGAGGACGGGACCTAATGCCCCCTTCAAAGTTAAGAGCATCCTATTTCTGTGAACTCTGCTGGTTCTGGGACTATAAACAGGCATGGCCCCTGCAGTGGACAAGCAGGCCAGTGAGGGTGCCACCAAAGGCTGAACAGTCCCTGGCATGGAGCAGGCACTCAATACTTAATGAATGAAAGACTCAAGAATGAATAAATGAATGAATGAAAGAAACTATAAAAATAATGCATACAAATTACCTGCATAGGAAATGCTTTTGAGAAATACCCTGCATAACATGGAAGTCCATTACTATTTTGAGCTTAATTAACCTTTTATTTCAATGAGTATTTTATTTAATACTCATTAGTAGCCATATAGAGGGTATAATAAATACATGGCGTTTCTGAATGCACATAGAATGTTCTAGTTTCCAAAAATTTCTAACGCATCTCAGAAAGGAGAGTGATGTACTCCATTTATGTTTTTATCTTTCCTTTCTTTGTAAATTTAGGGGGCTTTTGTTGTTGTTGTTGTTGTTGTTTTTTGTTGTTGTTGTTGTTTGTTTTTTGAGACAGAGTCTCACTCTGTTGCCAGGCTGGAGTGCAGTGACGCGATCTCGGCTCACGGCAACCTCCGTATCCCAGGTTCAAGCGCTTCTCCTGCCTCAGCCTCCCAAGTAGCTGGGATTACAGACACGCACCACCACGCCGAGCTAATTTTTGTATTTTTAATAGAGACGGGGTTTCACCATGTTGGCCAGGATGGTCTCGATTTCTTGACCTCGTGATCCGCCCACCTTGGCGTCCCAAAGTGCTGGTATTACAGGTGTGAGCTACCGTGCCCGGCCAAATTTAGAGTTTTTAACAGATAAATTTGACTTTAAAAAATGGCGACCTCTAATAATTAAGTTTCTAGAAAGTATAATAAAAACCTAGAAAGTCTGTGAAAATAGATTAAATGATACATGCATAAAGGGTTCATTGGTTGCCTCTTTTAATTTGCTTTTCTCAATCAAGATGTGCCATCCTCCAGCTTAAATAGCTGTCAATAGCACCTGCAATTTGATTTATCTCTTGATGAAGTTAAAGATTTTCTGGAAATCTGGAAACAGTTTTCGAATCCTCGCTGTTGTTATTTAGCATCTGAGACTTGTGAACTGTTTTTCCCACTATTTTTCATCTTAGAATTCTAGCATCTGCATAAATTTGGAGAGCAACTTGCCTTCTCCTTAGATACACGAATATGGAAAATGCAATAGAAGTTGCTTATCATGCACTCAGGTTGAGTGAAGTTTTATCATAATGAAGCTAAATGAAATTCCCAAATTGCTCTGGTGGAGAGGAACGCCTTGATATTCCACTTGTGGAAAAATGGCTCTATGCCAAAAATAAAGTTACATCAACCTCAGTACAGGAGAAATCAGAGTTTCTGCTCACAGCAGCAGCAGAGGAATCATCTGCAACACAGAGACTTTTGGGTTGTATGTAAGGCAGCCTTGCTGGATGGTCTTTAACAGGGTTTTGGTAGGGACATGGTAGAGGCTGGTTCCTAAACTCTTCAAACGTTTCTTCCCAGCCCTTTAGCTTTGACCTCACGTGCAGAGTTGAGTTAATTATAAGCCTTATTTATGGGCACACTTTCACCATTAAGTTCATACACAGCCCCATTTTTGTGCCATTCTTCACTCCTATGTCCTTTTCTCCCCTAAGCAACCATGTAAACATGTTAGAGAGGTGAGCGTGCACACACACATACACACACATTCATTTACACATGATCTTGTAAAACATGTAATTTGATTTGCTTAAATGTGTTTCAGTCTACCAATACTGTTTTGTGCTATAGACCTCATTCAGTTTCTTTCTACATTGAACACTGTGGGTTTAAGATCTAGCCATGCTGTGCTGGGTAGATCTGTTCTGTTGCTTCTTAAATGTGTCATTGTAATTCACAGTGTGATTCCGTCATGCTTTATTTATCCATTCCTGCCTTGATATGTATCTCTCCTCTACCATGAACAATGCTGTGATGAGCATCCTTGGACCTGGCCTGGAAGTTTTCTGGGAAATGCACCTAGGAGGAAACTGCTTGACAGTAGGGTATATGTATACTTAATTTAAGCAAGTACTTTCCGATTACTCTTCACAATGGCAATCTCAGTCTCTACTCCCCCCGTGAGGGTTCCTGTATCCCCTCACCCTCATCGACATATCACCCAGCTTCCTAATTACTGTCAGTTATATGGGGATTTCCGTTTTCTTTAATTTCAAAAAAATTAGCATCTCTTTGTATCGCTTGTTTGGTTTAATTTGGATTCATCTTATACAAATTTGCTATTCATATCTCATTTTTCTTTTAGAGCTCTTGTCTTTCTCTTGCTGAGTCTCAAGATTTTTTAGGTATTAATCTCATCAGCTTATCATCCTGCATATCATCTCTCAATCTCTCAGTGTTGATTTTATCCAAGATATCTTTTGTTGAACAGAGCACCTAATCTTACTGTAATCCAATTTTGCCTTTATGTACTTTCTGCACTTTTAGTGTTTTAAAAAGTCTTCCCCCACCCTGGGTCACAAAGATCCCCCAACATTACTTTCTGTTAACTTTTTACCTTTCAGATTTAGGTCTGTAATTAACACGGAGTCCACCTTCGTAGGTGGTTCCAGTGAGGTATCCAGTTTTATCTTTCTCCATGTTGTAAGCCAGGTTCCCCATCACTTCTGTTAAAGAGACAGCCCCTTCCTGATTGTTTTTAGTACCACCTATAAAATGTATGAAATCAATTTGGTTCTATCTCTGAAGACTGTCTTTTGCTCCATTGGTCTATTTGTCTGTTCTTAGAGTCCACATGTTTTAACTACTATAACTATGCAGCACATCTCTCCTTCCATAAAGTTGACTTAGCTATGCATGGACCTTTGTCCTCTCGTATATGTTTAGAATGCTTTTATTGAGTTCTGTTTTAAAAAAAAAAAAAAATTCAGCTAGTCCAGGCATGGTGGCTCACACTGGTAATCCCAGGACTTTGCGAGGCCAAGGCAGGCAGACCACTTGAGCTCAGGAGTTTGAGACCAGCCTGGGCAACATGGCAAAACGCTGTCTCTACCAAAAAGAATACAAAACAATTAGCCTGGCATGGTGGTATGAACCTTTGGTCCCAGCTACTTGGGAGGCTGAGGTGGGAGGATCACTTGAGCTCAGAAGGCGGAGGTTGCAGTGAGCCAAGACAGCACAACTGCACTCCAGCCTGGGTGACAGAGTGAGACCCTGTCTAAAAAAAATTCAGCTAGTACTTTAATTGGACATTTGATTTGCATTGAATGTAGAGATCAATCTGGGAATACTGACATCTTTATTGTGATAAATTATCCTATTCAGAGTATGAAACGATTGAACATATATTTGTATTATTTCTAAATATCCATAACAGATTTTTATATTCTTTCTTAAATATTGATTGTATTCTTTGCTACATATGTTGCTTTTGTTTTTGGTTGTTATAGGTCGTATCTTGGATTCTAAAAGTCTTCTGGCTGGTTACTGCTAGTATGCAGAAATGTGTTTGATCTTTTTAAGTTAATATTGTATCTGAAAACTTCACTGGCCTCTGCTTTTAGTTACAATGGTTTAATTTTCTGCGGTTTGTTTGTACATCATCACGTTATCTGCGAGTGACAACTTCAGACCTTCCAATCATTTCATCTTTGATTGCTTGTTTGTATTTATCCTTTTTAAAGAGCATTTTAAATACCTGCTTCAATTCAGAATAATTTGGGGTCATTTTAACTCCCAGTATTGGCTTTCTCCTCAAGACTCACAGGGTGCTACCTCCTTTTGAGATAGCTCAACAACCCCATTCATTTTTGGGAGTCCTATAAAGTTTTCAGAAATTTGACTGAAATATTTACCCCACTCTGGGGTTGGGAAAATAAAAACAGTTAAAAGCCATTTGTGGAAGAAATGCTGAAACTTTTTTTTCCCAAATCAAAGAGTAGATATAGATTTAAATATGAAGTTACCATTATAGCTATTTCCTGAATGCCAATATGAGGGGTGATTGCCGCATTCTGAATTGTCTATATATAGATAAACAACTAAGACACATACTGTTTTTTCTATGTGCCAAATCCTCTTCTAGCCATTTTCTACATATTACCTTATTTCATTTAACAGACCTCTGAGGTGAGGACTGTTATCTTCCCCATTTCACAGGTGGGGAAACCAAGGCAGAAAGAGGTTAAATACTTTGCCAAAAGTCACGCAGCTATAGAACTAGAGCCAGGACTCAGACCGCAGCAGTCTGCCCCAGAGGCTGTGCTCTCGGCCCCACAGCCCCGCCTTCAGGTCCCAGGGCACGCGCCATCCTCAGGAGGAAAGAGCCAAGCTGGGGTCTAAGAGCAAGCTGGGGTCAGTGTGGCTCAGCCAGTGTTGTTTTAAAGTCCTTTTTGGCACAGCTGATAGGTCATACTCCTTCACGATCACCATCTTGGTCTCTGCTGCTTTTTGCTCCCTACAGTCTGACCAGCAGTCCCTCCAAACCAAAATAGTCAAGTAACTTCTCTCTGCCCCCAAAAAAGTGTTCAACCACAGAAACAGAGAGTGAGAGAGGGAACGCAGTCCTCCACGGGCTGCGGCTTTCCGCCCCGCCCTGCTGTCTGCCCACAGAGAGGGAAGGGCTGAGCAGGGCTTACAATCTGGGGAAGAAAGACAACTTGCTGGCTTCTCTGACTTGGGTTTCCTAAGAGAAGAATTATTACTTTGTTTTGAATATTGAAAATCCCTAGATTAGATGCATCTATATTAAAATGTGAATATAATATATGCATTCACATTTGCATATAGGTGCATCTAATCTATGCATCTACAGATGCACCCCTCCCCCCACCTCAGAAACTCCAAGTATAAAATGCAGACACTAACATTCAGGTATGTAGACATTCTGATTACAGTTATTATTGGTTCTTTCCATTTAGATAATAGTGAGATGGCTAGATAATAGGGTATTGTCTGTTTGCTAAAACTAAACAAATCTTTTTCAATTATGATGAGGCATATTTCATGGTGCAGGAATAGGCTGGAAGTTTGCAGCTCAATTTGCTTCTGAATTGGAAGCACAGGTATGGCAGGCCATGATAAACAAAGGGGCTAAACTGCGTGTGGCTAAAGCCTTGTTGAAGGAATGTGGACCTAGTAAAATCTCACTTGCCTCAGGTTAAAGAGTGTGAAATGGGCGTTCCTTTTCTTTTTTCTTTTCTTTTTTTTTTTTTTTTTTGAGACAGAGTCTCACTCTGTCACCCAGGCTGGAGTGCAGTGACGTGATCTTGGCTCACTGCAAGCTCCGCCTCCCGGATTCACGCCATTCTCCTGCCTCAGCCTCCCAAGTAGCTGGGACTACAGGCGCCCACCACCACGCCCGGCTAATTTTTTGTATTTTTAGTAGAGACGGGGTTTCACCGTGTTAGCCAGGATGGTCTCGATCTCCTGACCTCGAGATCCACCCACCTCGGCCTCCCAAAGTGCTGGGATTACAGGTGTGAGCCACCGCACCCGGCGAAATGGGTGTTTCTTTACACACACAAACCCCTTCACACTTGTGGTCTTCCCCCCTATGAATCAAGGAGTCCAGGTCTTGATGCAGACCTGAGACAGCAGAGTGTCTATTTTCAAACTATCATGTGCTCACAGCTGCCAGAAATAAGTCACCTCAGCAAACTCAAATGGTGGCAATTTCATAACACATAAAATTGATTGATGCTCACAATCAAAATGTATTTCCCTCGATAATTTATGCTCAACAATTTGACGTAATTATCTGTGCCACAATAGTAACATTTCTGCCTTCCTGTCAGCGCTGAAGTGCAAGCACACAAGCACACACACGTACACAGAACAAAAAACACACTATCTTTCAGAGGCAAGATTTCCAAAAAATCAATGTCATCGCAGCCTCTTTTGTATTTTGTTGTGGCAAGAGTGAATTTAAACAGCCTAGGAAGTCAAAACAACGGGAAAATGTCAATACATATTAACTTAATCACGCAGCTCTGCCCTGCCATCCTTGTCTAACACTCAAATTAGGCTTCCACTGTAAGTTCCACGCCGCTATTGGCAGCTTGTAACTTCCCCACAAATATTTGCAGTCTTGAGCGGTCATCCAAAATGAAGGATGGCTCCAGGCTTCCAGGCATCTTCTTTGCATCTGTATGAGATTTTGTCACTGCTGTTTTAAGAAAATCACTCCCCAGGCAGGCTTGGGCTCACTTGTTTGATTCACAATCTTAAAGCATCTTCTATCCAGCAAATGCTTTTCTGCCTGCCTCTTGATGGCACTGCAGCAGAAACTTCATTATCTGATGCTCTGCATAAGCCTCTTTGAAAAGAAAACTTAATATAAGACATGTTAATCCAAATAAATGCACAATGTACTGGCCCCATCGAACCCTGGGTGTGCCACATTGGACTGCGAAACAAGCATCTGATTAAAGTGCCAAGAGTGGGGCAGGGAGACCAGCGCACCAAGTGGAGAGACTGAATAGACTTGACCTTTTAAATGAACACTCAGCTGCTATTCATTCATGCCAGCATGCTCCTTTCTTTTTCCCCAAAAAGGTAATTGGAACAGACACTCTAGTTGTCTCATTAAGTACGTAGAATGTTCAGGTTATCTTATATGAAGATGATGCTGCTGGCTGGTGAACATGCTGAGCTGTTTCAAGAAGACTAACAAGTGAGCATTTCAGCATTCTCACTCTTCCCCAGCACCCCTGGAGATGAGGTGCCGTTACCAGCAACAGGACCCAGAGGAGTCATTTAGTCATGTACGCAAGTGGAGCTGAGGATCCACCATCAGCATGGACCAGTGCTGACACTTAGGACAGCCTACATAATTTTCAGGGCCAAATACAAAATGAAAATGCAGACTCCCTTGTTCAAAAATTATTAAGAATTTCAAGTCAGCAGCAGCAGAGCATTAAACCGGTCAAGAGGCCCTTCTGAGCATCACGGGCCCATGAGGCCAGCCCCACTGCTACTTCAATCCTTCCCTTGCAGACACTCACAGGTGAGGGGACATTGCACCATCGGTGGGGACTGAAATGGGTGACTGTCAATACAGCTGTGTCCAAAACAGCTTCCTCTGCTCACACAGAAAAACATCGAAATCATGGTTTCCTCCTGCTTTGGGTAAAAACAGGCCCCATATGAGACTGCCTTTGAAAAGGAAATAAATGCCCTTCAATTAGTAAGTGCCTAGTCTCTCTCTCTAAAATTCTCTCACTTTTAGAAGAAAACCATTTAACCATTATCCTAGTGCTGGGATTTCTGGGAAGACACAGGGATAGATAACCCTGTCTTTCCACATCCTCTCCCAACAGCGACTTTCCAGGAAACAAAAACAAAGGCATCCATGTGGATTTCTAAAGAAATCTTATGAGAATATCCAAATGTCTGTAATTATTCATATAAATTAAATATTGGGACAACTGGGACTTGACAGCCATTACCCTCTAAAATGACACAAAAAGAGAAAAGTGTGCTTAGACTGCTATAAAGGACTCTCTTGAGCCAATCCTGTAAGAGTAGTTTTTGTTAAAGGTATTGTTTGTTATCAAAGATATGAGAACATCACGTCCAAGCCCTTCCAGCTGACTTTTCTTCCCAACAATTTCAAATCACCATACCACAGAGAGGTAAGAATTGCTACCTTTGTGGGAAATTCAACTTCACATTTTTTCAAGGACCATGTATAGCAGAAGCCCAAGCTAAAGAACTTTGTCAACAATTAGGGTAAAAATATTACCTACAGGTCACCTTCTGTTAATTGATTCTATTAACAAAACTCGATGCTGACCAAAGTTGCAAAACATTTCTATGTAGTTATGATTGATGTTCAGGTTGATATATTCCTGCAATAATTATTGAATTCCTGCTGGCCTGACAGCATTCTGTTGGCTACTTTACGTTCTAAAATATAGGCATATAGAACACTGGAAAATAAACATTGAACAAATATAAGGTATATTTGAGGTACTTAATGATCTAAAAATTGAGGCAACCTACAGAATGGGAGAAAATTGTTGCAATCTACTCATCTGACAAAGGGCTAATATCCAGAATCTACAATGAACTCAAACAAATTTACAAGAAAAAAACAAACAACCCCATCAAAAAGTGGGTGAAGGATATGAACAGACACTTCTCAAAAGAAGACATTTATGCAGCCAAAAGACATGAAAAAATGTTCATCATCACTGGCCATCAGAGAAATGCAAATCAAAACCACAATGAGATACCATCTCACACCACTTAGAATGGCGATCATTAAAAAGTCAGGAAACAACAGGTGCTGGAGAGGATGTGGAGAAATAGGAACACTTTTACACTGTTGGTGGGACTGTAAACTAGTTCAACCATTGTGGAAGTCAGTGTGGCGATTCCTCAGGGATCTAGAACTAGAAATACCATTTGACCCAGCCATCCCATTACTGGGTATATATCCAAAGGATTATAAATCATGCTGCTATAAAGACACACACACACACGTATGTTTATTACGGCATTATTCACAATAGCAAAGACTTGGAACCAAGCCAAATGTCCAACAATGATAGACTGGATTAAGAAAATGTGGCACATATACACCATGGAATACTATGCAGCCATAAAAAATGATGAGTTCATGTCCTTTGTAGGGACATGGATGAAGCTGGAAACCATCATGCTCAGCAAACTATGGCAAGGACAAAAAACCAAACACCGCATGTTCTCACTCATAGGTGGGAATTGAACAATGAGAACGCATGGACACAGGAAGGGGAACATCACACACTGGGGCCTGTTGTGGGGTGGGGGGAGTGGGGAGGGATAGCATTAGGAGATATACCTAATGTAAATGACGAGTTAATGGGTGCAGCACACCAACATGGCACATGTATACATATGTAACAAACCTGCACGTTGTGCACATGTACCCTAGAACTTAAAGTATTAAAAAAAAAAAAAAAAACTCGGTGCTAACCAAAGTTCCAAAACATTTCTATGTAGTTATGATTGATGTTCAGGTTGATATATTCCTGCAATAATTATTGAATTCCTGCTGGCCTGACAGCATTCTGTTGGCTACTTTACGTTCTAAAATATAGGCATATAGAACACTGGAAAATAAATATTGAACAAATTTAAGGTATATTTGAGGTACATAATGATCTAAAAATTGAGTATATACATAAATAACCATAATATGAGGTTTAAAGTAAACCAGAAGTGAACGTCTTAACAGAGCCATACATTTGGAGTTGTGAGAGTTCAGAGAAGGGAGATAATACTTCCCCATGGGAAGATCTCCAGCGATTTCATGGAAAAACTATTCATTTAATAATTCCTTGAATGACGTGTAAAACTGTGGAGCAGTTATGAAGGACCTTGCAACAGAAGGACACAGCATCAGCTATTCCACAACCATCTGTTCTACCTAATAACTAGGTAGTGGCCATCCAGTCTACCTCTTCCCCTTCTAACCTGTCATTTTCAGGTGAGACCTATACTAACTGAATCCCATTCTTCCCCTCCCAATCCTCAGTAATTTGGCTTCTGCTTTCACTTTCAATTGAATATATTCTCAGAAAATGTCACTCAGGAGCTCCTAAATGTCAAATGTAATGGGCGTTTTAAGATCCTAATCTGATTGGGTTTTGATGCTACATGTGATGTAATTAATCATTCCTTCCTTCTTGAGGCTTCCATTACACCATGTTCCCTGGCTCTCCTTGCACCTTGGATGATTTCTCTCTGGCCCCTTCGTGGGCTCATCTTCCTCCATCTGCTCTGTAAAGGCTGTCGTTTCACAGGGTTCTGTCCTCCACCCGCTGGTTTTCTCACTCCACATGCTCCCTGGATAACCACAGTCATTCACATGATTTTAATTATCATCTATATGATGACGACTCCTAAATCTATATTTCTAGCCCTGGCCTCATCCCCTGAGCTTCAGACACATATATCATATATCCCACAGGCAACTACAGCTCAACATGTTGAAAATGAAAAATCATTAGTTTTCTCCCTAAGAAGTCACCTTCTCCTATATTTTCTGCCTCAGCTGGAGTTTGCTGATTTTACTCACTACATATTTCTCAAATCTATCTCCTCCTTCCTGTCACTCCTACCAAGACCCTAGCTCAGTCCCTTATTAGCCTTGCCTACATTACATTAACAGGCTCTCCACTCCAGTCTTTTTTTTTTTTAGACAGAGGAGTCTCACTCTGTCGCCAGGCTGGAGTGCAGTGGTGCGATCTTGGCTCACTGCAACCTCTGCCTCCTGGGTTCAAGCAACTCTCCTGCCCCAGCCTCCCAAGTATCTGGGATTACAGGTGCCCACCACCACGCCCGGCTAATTTTTGCATTTTCAGCAGAGATGATGTTTCACCATGTTGGCCAGGATGGTCGTGATCTCTTGACCTCTTGATCTGCCCACCTCGGCCTCCCAAAGTGCTGGGATTACAGGCGTGAGCCACCGTACCTAGCATCCACTCCAGTCTTGACCCCTGAAACCTACCTCTAAACATCTTCCAGAAAGAATCTAGCTGAGTTGCAGGTCTGATCATCTCTCTGCCTGTCTCTCTGTCTCTGTCTCTCTCTCTCTCTCTCTCTCTCACACATACACACACACACACACACACACACACACACACACACACACACACTTTAAAGCATTTTACCAGCAACACGTTTCTTGGGAATAAGATTCAGACTCTTGAATACAAGGTGCTTTATATGTCCATTACAGAAGAAAGGAGAAATTCTGAAACAGTCATTTGGCAGCTTAATGAGGAACATGTAAAGGGTTTCTGGGTAGCACCAGTGACCAAATGAACTGAAGGAACATGGTCTTGGTAGTGATATTTGCCTGGCCAGATGTCCTCAACACTACACAAAGGATAATTATAGAGTGCAGAAGGTAGACAAAAGGATTGATCCAGGATTTTATGGCAGAATAACAGAGTTTAGGGTACTGTCCAGAGAGCCATCAAAATTTTCAGGAATATTCCACAGAGTTCAGGCTTGGTAGAGAAGGGAGTGGAAAAGGAGAAAAAAAAAATAGTGGAAGCAAAAGATTGACAGTTGCAATGAGACTTGAGAATAATGGAGGGAAGCCACAGCACAGAGGAATTAGCAGAGGGCTTGCTTAGAGGGAAATCTTGGAAAGGGGGCTGTTCTAGGCAAGCACATGATTCTAGCCGCAGTCAGAGTACATGACTTATGTGAAGTAAAGGGAAAAGACACTGCAGCTAAGGGAGCCATGAACTTCTGCAGCTAGATAGCAAGGTAGAGCATTTATCATTGAGTTTATTACACTGGACTACAAATGTGTGTTTATATGTCTCTTCTTACTAGACAAAGAGCTACTGGAAGTCAAGGACTATATATATTTAAATTTCTCTCCCCCAGGATCTAGCACAGTGCCTGGGACAGAGCAAGTGCTCCAAAAATTATTTAATGAGTGGCAAAGGCTTGGAATTGGGGAATTCTGGGACATAAGCACGGAGCAGTGTAATTTGGCTGTTCAGATGCACAAAGATAAATAGTGAGAAATAACATGGGGGCCGCATAATGAATGCCCTGGAAGAGCAGGTCATAAAAATTGGGCTTTTATAGTCAATTGGAAGTCACTGAAGGTTTGGGGCCTAGGAGAAATGGAATATGATCAACACTATATTTGTAACTATTGATTAATATTTATGACCCTAAAGTAAGGCACAATACTATCTTCTGAATCATCAAAAAGGGATTATATTCTACTCACCATAGTATTTCCGTCCTGATAAACATATCGTTTTCTATTGTCATTCTCTGGAATTGGTAATCTTCTGTTTCCATTCAGGTGGTGGTGATTCATCAAATGTTCATTGACTACTTTCTACGCCCCATGCCCCAGGCTAGGCACTTTTACAAATGTTATTTAACTCCATTCAAGAGATTAATTTGATAAGCCAGAACATCAGATTTCCAAACTATGTTGGACAATGAACATAATATTTACATATCACAGGATCTCTTATACCAAAGACCCCAAAGCCACACACAGGATTATGTAAAGTTCATTTTGTTCATGTTTTTAATGAAATTGCTTCTATTCAAAGACAAGGTATCTAAGTAGGAGCTGAAATTCACCATCTATAAATGGAGTAAATTAGACTGAGAATGATTCAGTGATGTATCAAAGGCTACAAAGAAAGAGGATAATGAAGCCAAAGTCAGAACTCTGTCTGATCTCAAGCATGGTATTCTGTTAGCTCTGTGATTTAGATGTAAACTTTACCAGCTCTGAAATGTGATCTCTGTACAATAGACAAGTGGAAAATTGGCCATTCAGCAAAACACAGTGGAAGGGAAGCAGGCTGCTGGTGAGTTCCATCATTTATTACCACGCTGGTCCTAAATTTTCACACCTAATTAATCAAGCTTGCTCTGTAATCACTTTTCTACACGTGCTGTTGGTGGATTTTACAGCTGCGGTTTTAATGAGCTGCTGTTTCTTTTGACATTTGGAAATCTAATCTGGAAAAATGATTCAATGACTTGTTAAGACCTTTCATATTACATGTTTAGCCATGTAGCTTTCTAGGGTCCTGGGAGGAAATTACGGCCAGCCACATTTCCCATATAGCTCTCGGTTCATGGCAGGCAATTCCTATGGAGCTACCGAACAGATGTAGCCGGCAACCCAATGAGTTAATGAAAATGAATATCAGTGATTGCAAACACCTAGGAAATAAATAAGAATTTGCAACTTGACTTATGAGAAGATGATATTTGAAAACCCAAAAGCTCTCATAAAATACAAAAAATTTGGGTGGCCATCCCATTTCAGGAAACAGTCATCAGGGTGGAGAGAAAAAATACATTCAGTACAGATCGGAAACAACTACCGAATTATAGAAACATGTCAGATACCAAGAGAGAAATAGCATGAGAAGCACTCTTTCCACTTACAAGGAACATTAATTAATATTCTATAGCCTGTGTAATTCTTGTAATTACTTCTCTAAAATTGGGGTGTTTTGCAGTGAAAAGAGATCCTAGAGGAAATACACATGTCAAAATACATTATTCCTGAGTGCACGGCACATATGGATGAGGCTAAATTGGCCTTCTTATTCCCATAGCAAACCCCACAGGAGTTCTAGGATTAAAGACTGGCAGTCATTGCTCTATCAAGCTGTTCATTCCCAGGGATTTGTGACTCTCTAGTCAGAGGAGGCAATCTGGAAACAGGACAATTGCCTGTGAATTTTGAAGCCCCCACCTCAATATACTTAATGAGATTAATACACAATTGTTCCTTTCAAATCTCATGGTATTCATAACCGCTCTTGTCATGTGGCTCTTGTCAGTGAGTGTGTTGATTTAATATTTCCTGGATCATACCCTTTTCCCTCGCCCACCTTGACTATTTGCTGTCAAATTAATTGGTAACTATTTGCCTAGTTCACCTATTTCTTCTTTCTTCCTTGTGTTCTTCCTCAGTTCATCAACAAGTGAAAAACTCTCGGCCATAAAATCAAACAATCAATTTTGGTTGCTAGGAGGGAAAACATCAGTCCAGAAAAATTGAAGCTGAAGGGTCAGAATTTGCTAATGTCATTTCAAGCTCAGAGCTCATAAATATTCTGAGGTGAAAGAGAATTTTGCAAATAGTCTGAAAACAAACTGAATCAAAGAACTGGCTCTGCGATGGATGGTATTTCAAAATGGCACCACTGAAAAGCAAGGTTAGAAATAATACATATCATACCCTGTTTAATGTTTAAAAATTACACATACAAATATCCACAGTAAATGCATGGACTATCTCTGTAAGGGAACATGTGGAACTAATAACACCTCCTACTCCCATGGGGAGGAACAAGATGCTGGTAGACAGGGAAAGGATAGAGCTTTGTCTTGCTCTCTACATTATCTTTTGGTCCCTTCTAAATTGTATTCGATGTACATATGACTTATGAGAAATAAGAATCTATTTTTAATAGCAGTCCTTTCACCAATAACTAAGCTGTCTAGTTCAGTCCCAGCTCTAAGATTGAAGAATACATTTCTTTGCCAGAAATCCCCACTATGCCCTCTTCATCTTCCACACAGTCCACACTCTGGACTCCTGCCATTTCAAATGCTTTCTTTAGGAATACCTTTACAATCAACCTGCTATTGGTCTCAAATACAAGACCAAGAAATGGCTTCAGCAATGCAAATGACCTTTCCAGAGTCTCCCAGCTTTCTAGAGGCATGGTTAGAACCAAAATCTTTCCATAAGAAACCACTTCATGTATTTCTAACTTTGCTTACCCCAAAGGAGGCAGTCACAGAGTGCTAGCCTGAAAACATTCCTACCAGGTAAGTCTTTCAAGGCCACCAGAAGTGAATTGCTTCTTTTCTCTGTAACTCTCACCCTGACCCACACCACCCCACCACTTTGCTCCTTTCATTGCTCTACCATTCCCAAGAACTCCCTTCCCAGCACAATTAAGAAATCTAGAATTAAACATTCTTTCGGTTTGGGGCTCCCAATCCCAATCTGTCCCAGGAGAAATTAGTCTCCAATCAATGGCTTTAGAGCAGCACAAAAGAGAGCTCCGAGCAGCTGTGCTTCCCGACATTGGTAGTGGCTGCCACCATGTGCACTGATCTGTAGGGATTTCTGAGTCTCCCCTAACAGCTCATGAATTTTATAAACTAACCTCATTGTAACCAAACCATGAAATTGCAAATTTAAACTTTGTCAACAAACAAAGACCTAAAGGAAGCTAATGCAGCTTTGCCTCTCCAACGCCATCCAAGCTGCAGGCCGAGACAGCAAACTGTCCATCGGAGACACCCAGTCCTGACTCCCGGAACCCAGCCGTGGAGGGGGAGCATTCTGGCCCATCAATAGTGCCATCCATGAGACCAAAGGAGGCTCAGCTTCCTGGGTCAAAAACAGTGGGGAAAATTGCAGCCAGCACAGAATCCCTTCAGGCTTTTGTCTTGTCTAGTCTAGGAGGTTGCAGAAGTCTCCTAACTGGACCCCTCAAGTCTCTTCCCTCCATTCTGACCATAACACTCTGCAGCTCATTTGTGGTTAGTTGTTTCTAAGATAAATTTGGAACTCTTGATCATGGCAAACGTCTTCAGTGATAGGCATACTGCCTACTTGAACCACTTCACCAACTGAAAATCCCTACGCTTAGCAGACAAACTGAGGCTCAAGCCTCTCTCACCTACCCCCTGTCCATCCTACACAGCCTTGAGCTGTCAGACCTGCCTCTGTCTCATCACCAGCAACCATGTATTCAACTAATCTCAACTCATCTTTTAATATTTACATGAAACATCCTCTCTTTTGGTGCTATTATTAATACTGAGTGTCAACTTGATTGGATTGAAGGGTGCAATATTGATCCTGGGTGTTGCCAAAGGGGATTAACATTGGAGTCAGCGGTCTGGGGAAGGTACACCCACCCTTAATCGTGTGGGCACCATCTAATCGGCAATCCATGAATATAAAGCAGGCAGAAAAACGTGAGGCAGAGAGACAGGCTTCACCTCCCAGCCAACATCTTTCTCCCATGCTTTCAAGTTCTTCAGTTTTGGGACTTGAACTGGCTCTCCTTGCTCCTCAGCTTGCAGACAGCCTATTGTGGGACCTTGTGATCATGTAAGTTAATACTTAATAAACTCCCCTTTATACACACACACACACACACACACACACACACACACACACACACATCTATTCTATTAGTTCTGTCCATCTAAGAGAACCCTGACTAATACATATGGGAATCCTTTTACATTTCAAGGTCCACTCCTTGGGCTTTCTCTCTTATGTTGAAATTGTCTTTTCCGCGTTTCCTTCTCCCTGGACTATGCATTCTTTAATGGCATGGCCTGTTCCACCTGAGATTCCAAGAACCCAACCCAAGGTCTGCTAACTGGCACTAAATGAATATTTGCTGAGACCAAGCGTCACGGTTGCTAGCCTTGGAGACAGACCTACGTGAGTGCAAACCTCACTTCTGCCACTTCCTAACTAAGTAGACTTGGGCAGTTTACTTAACATCTCAGCATCAGTTTTCTTAACTCCAAAATGGCAATAATAATGCCTATTTCACAGGGTGGTTATTAGGATAAATGAGCTAATATAGGTGACATGCGAAGCAGATAGAAAGCACTCAGCAAGTGCCAGCTCTGCTGTTATCATGCTCGGCTATGGACTGACCGTGAAATCTTGGCCATGTTTCTTGACCTGTTTAAGACTCAGTTTTCTCATCTTTAAACTGGGGATAGTAATAGCTTCCAACAAACTGTATTATTATGTGGATTTAATGTCCTAATTCTTGAAAAGCACCTAGCAAAGCACCTGACATACAGTAAGAATTTATAGTTAATATATAGAAGGACTCTGAAAGGGCCTGAGAGTCTCCCAGCCACGCCTTGTTTGTTAGAGTTGATCCAAGCCTCTAAAAGAAAGAATCAGAGGCAGAAACAAGAGTGAAACTGGAAAGAGAGTTCCTTCCAGGCTGTCATATCAGCTGTGAGAAGCATTTGCCACTTGTACCACCCCCCACCTATCCTCCTCCAGGCAAGCCGGGGCTGTTTAAATTCAGATCAAACGACAAGTTGCTTGCAAAGGGAAAAAAATAAAGCAGCAGACAGACATCACCCACGTAGCTGGAAAGTGGGCAGAAAGAACCCTGGACCATAGTTTCTGATTGGCCACGGGTGTGACCTGCATCCAAAACATCTCCACGTTCCTGAAAGCACAGTCCCTCTGGTGGGGGAGGCAGGAAGAGCTCCTCATTAAGCTAATGGACCACTAATTCATTTCCAGGTGAAGAGAAGGGGCCTGCAGAGCTGCCTCATTTGCCTTGTCTAGAGGGTCATTAAGATGAAGGGTGGCAGGCTCTTGAGACAGAGCCAGCAGTGACAGCTGCTGGCTGTCGGGAGGGCACGGGGAGTCTGCAGGGGATTCCAGAGAGAGACTGATGCTGCAGACTTTTCACTGACACGGTGCAACTGTTGACCAGATGTAGACATAGAACATACCAGAGCTTCATGTCAGGGATGCAAGATACCTGTGCTGCAGCCCTCAGTGACCTTCACTCGCTATGTATTTAAGCAAATGTCCCTCTAAAGAGGCCCGAGCACATGAGACTGGCTTGTTTCCAAAATCCTGCCAAGGAGGGGCTTCCTGTTACTGGGACTCCAATATGCGTCTTCCTTTCATTCCTCTTACCAGCATTCTTCCCAGGGATTTTCAGAAATGTCATAGACTTATTGCTTTTATTCACATATTATGTTATCAGGAACACTTCTCTTATCATTAATATTTTAATAAGAAAATAATGTTTCATTTAATACCTGTTATGGATGACATCTCATCTCTCATTCAACTTTTTCATTTTTTCACATTTTTACCTTGTGATGTGATAAACATCACTGTTCATAGTCTTCACACACTTTATTTTCCTAGGATACATCCTCAGAGGTGAAATCAACAGTATGCAAATCCTCACCTTTGTTTCACAATCTACAGTGAGCCACGGCTACCACAGCCCTGCAAACACAGTGCCAACTGTAGAAAATCCAGGGGTTCATGGCATGGTGTTCCACACTGCTTGACCAACTTTGAGCAATTTTCTTAACTTATATGCTGTTTCGTTTCCATCTCTGTAAAATGGGTATATTAATATCTAGCTCACTGAGTTTCTGAGAAAATCAAACCATTAAATGAGAAAACCCACATGACTGCTATCACTACAATAGATGCAGATAAAATACCTGACGATATTTGATACCAATTGTGAGTTTTTAGAAAAATCTACTAGAAGATGAGGAATAAAAGAAAAAATCCTATCTCCTAATTCAATAAGAAATATTTACCAGAAAATGAAAGCCAATCAAATATGAAATGGTGACATAGCGGAAGACTCATTAAAGTAAAGAAGCTCACTTTTCAGCATCACTAAGCAGCATTGCAATTGGGTCCTACATAGTACAATAAGAAAAAAATAAAATAAAAATACTGCCGAGAAGCAAAACTGTCATTATTTGTTAAATATATTATTGTCTACCTGAAAAGCCCAAAAGAATACATTTTAAAACTATTAGAATTAATTGACAACAGTTCATTAAAATGACCAGACATCAGATGAAAATCAAAATCATTGGAATGTCCAGCAATATTAAATTAGAATGTTGTAATAGAAGCAGTCACAGTAATAGGAAGAATTTTATGAAACACTCATGAATAAACCTAACATGAAATTTGCCAGGACTATGTGAGCCAAACTATACAGCTTTACTGAAGAAAACAGAGACCTTGCTAAGTAGAGAGGCAAATACTCTCCCTCAGTTAATCGACAAACTCAGTAAATTCAACCCCCACAGACATTTCTATAGGATTTTTAATAAAATTTATAAGTTGATTATGAAATTACTCTGGAAGATAAAGTTGAAAGAATAGCTGACAAAATATTGAAAAAAAAAGGAGTGCAAGTGGAGATTCACCTGACAGAACACACAAACATCTTATAAAGCTATAGTAATTAAGATAGCATGAAAACGCCACAAAAATATTCAAATAAATGAATGGAACCCACATTCATGTGGGAATTTAGTATGTGATAAAGGTCATGTTTCAAGTTAGGGAGAAAGGTATGAATTCTTTAACAGCATTAAAGCCATTAACCATTAATAAGAAGAAATATAAGTTATGAACTAATTGATAATGTACAGAAAAATAAATTCCAATCAATACCAAAGCTAAGCCTAGAAAACAAATCATATGGATGTCAGAAATGATTATAGGATAAGATGTTTGTAATCATGAAATAAAAGATGCTTTCTCCCCTTTGGAACCAAGATGCAGAGAATTCGGTTAATCAAACGCCCTAGTTGATGGACGATTATCCTCACAATCTGTACAAGATTTCTTCTGGCTATGTGTAGTCGTTCTTCTTTCCTGATCACCATTCCACTTCCCCCACTCCCACAGGCGCCCACTCTAATGAATTTACATTACATTTTTTACATGCATCTATAAATGTATACCAGTGGAACTGAGCTATAGATATTGTTCTGATTTTTACATTCTGTTCTCAACTCTGTGTTGTTAGCTCCCTATCACCCATCACATTTGGCCTATTTATTCATCTAGAGATGAACATGCAGGTTGCCTTTAACTCTGCTGCCACAAAAAAGGCTGCCATGAGTAGTGCAGAGCATGCCTTTTTACATAGTCATGCGTGCGTTTCTGTAGGGTACACACCAAGTGGGACCTCCAAGTCCTGCACAATTATCAGGATGGCCGCAGCACACTCTAGTCCTGCTGGCGGTGCATGTGTTTTCCCATTTTCTTACATCCTCAACAACAATTAGGATTATATAACTTTTAAATTCTTGCTAATCTAATAGGTATAACATTATATCTCATTGCTGTTTTTATTGTCATTTATCTAGTGAGCAGTAGGATTGAGTATCTCTATTCAGATTGCTAGCTATTTGGTTTTCTCCTTCTGTGAATTGCTATTTATATCCATTGCTCGTTTTTCTATTAGGTTTCCCAATATTTTTTTTCTGGCTGACTTGTAAGAATTCTTTGTGTGAATTATATATTAATCTCTTGTCAATTTCTCTTTTATCTTGCAAATATCCTCTATCAATCTGTCATCCATCTGTTAAAGTTGTTTATAGTTTTCTTCATTGATCAGAAATCCTTAATATGTATGTGGTCAAAGGTCTAGTTTCTTATGCTAGATACCAACAGGAATGGCCAAAGAGGAGAGATGATCAATACACCTACCAAAAAAAAAAAAAAAAGCCTGCACAATTAAAAGCAAAATTAACAAATTAGTTGCACAGTGAGAAGACACTGTGACATATATAATAATTTGCAGAATAATGGACAAACGACTGCTATCCAGTTTGTATGTAAGCACCAACAGTTCAAATAAGCAAAAGAAGACTAAACTAATAGAAAAGAAGAACAAATTCTGTGACTAGAAAATGTGCAGAAGGGGAAGTGTATACATCTAATAAACACGTGAAAAGATGCTGATTAAATCAAGGGAGATGCCATTTTGTGGTCATCTGAGTGGCAAAAACATAAATAAATAAATAAATAAATAAAAAGGTACAGGGTAAAGAGGATGCTCACATGTTGCTGGTGGAAGCATCAACTGGCCATGCTGCCTGGAAGGGCAAGTAGAGAGCACCTATTCAAATTTAACATGTACATAACCCTCTGCCCTGGCATTCCCCATGTGTGGGTTAATGTGTACTGCGGCATTGTTTGTAAAAGGGAAAAATTAAAAACAGCTACAGTCATTGTCATAAAGAAAAAAATAAGCAAGCTACTATACCACAAACTATGGACTACTCTGTATGAACTAAAAGGAAATAGGACCTGTGTTTTATATGCATTGATATGGGATGATCTCTATGATGTATTTATTGTAAAGTAACAAAAAGCAAGTTTAGAATACGTACAACATTATTTACCACAGAGTAAGCAAAAACTTAAAAAGAAAAAAAGATCCACAAAACTAGATGTCATATAAATACCTAAGATGTAAGGTCAACAAGTCTAAAGAGCTAAGCTACAACATGAAGACTGTAGATAATAAAATTGTACTGTATGTGGGATTTATGCTGAATCCATAGATTTTAGCTGCTTTTGCCACACACACAAAAAAAACCGGGTAACTATGTATTTAAGATGATGGATACATCAATTTGCTTCACTGTAGTAACCTTTTTACTATTTATCTATATATTTCCTAACATCATATATTGTATACCTTACACATATACAACAAAATTTATTTTAAAAAATAAATTTTGAAAAAGCAGGATTTTGAAAGAATCTACATCAAATTTATAGTTTTCTTTGGTGAAAACAGTTGATTTGGGTAGAGGGATAATGAGAACTTTCACTTTTCTCTGTGTTTGATACTTTTAACAATAAGAATATTTTCATGTTCTACTTATATGAATAAAAAAATTTGAAAATGATTTTAACCAGATTAAATGAAATCATTAAATGTAAGCCCTTTGTGAGCTGAAAAATACCACAAAATGGATCAGCATAATTAAGGAAAGATAGAATATAGAACAAGATTTAATCAAGTTATAAGGACTTTCTGACATTAAAATTCAATTATTACAATTGCTGCCTAACTTACTTCTGAGTTCTTTAGCCAAAGCCAAAGTAGAAAACTGGAGAACGATGTTCATTTAACTTGGATTCTAAAATTCAAAGCTTCTAAATTACCCAAGTTCAAGGGCTAGCCAACTACAACCCACATGTAAAATCTAGCTTGCAGCCTGTTTCTCTACATACCCCAGGCTAAAAATGGATTTTACATTTGTAAATGGTTTTAAAGAAACTAAAAGAAGAAAAATATTTTATTACATCAGAAAAGTATACAAAATTCAAGTTTTAGTGTCCATAAATATAGTTTTATTGGAACACAGCCATATCAACTCATTTATGTATTATCTGTGGCTGTTCTCATGCCAGCAGTGATACTGGACGACCTGCGAAGTCTCACATATTGTCTGTCTCTTCATAGAAAAACTTTGCTAATTCCCTGCTACAGGTCGTCTTTCTGGATTAGCAGCTTACTTTTGGGATTATATCAAGCTTGGCATAAAAACTTGCCATTCACATTTGCTCCCCGCATTGAAGATGTCAAATACTTTAAATAGCTATTTATAATTTATAAATGCGATAAATGTTCACATTCCTTTCTCATTTCCTCATGTTCAACTCATCTACTCTGTGTCTATTTTAACACAGAGGGGAATTATCTGCTGAAGGAGAGCATGACTGCGGGTCAGTTCTACTTCTATTCTTCCTCAATTATCTGCACCTAGGGAGAGTCTCTCCACGATCCTGAGTGACTAAACCCAAGGCACCACCGTACACCTTGGAGAAGCAACGTGGCATCTCAAATGATCCTGTAGCAAATGCCAGCTCTAGCAAGTTTTTCTTTACTGAGGGCCATGGGACTTCAGAGAACCTGATGAAACCTATGGGGTCTCCCCTTACCATAATGCAAGTGTGTGCGTACAAAATTGGGACTAACACTTTAGGGCATTAATAAGTTCTCTGAAGCCCATCCTCAGACCTCTAGGTGCCCATAGATCCAAAGTGTAAGAGCCCTGAACTATAGGGCTTGCTTACAAAAGGATGGAAATGGTCTTCCCCCGTTTCTGTAATTCCACAAAACTTGAGTATCCCACTTTGAGCACATAAAGGAAATGTAACACACACAACAAGGCTCTAAGAAGACTGAAAATCTCTCTGTTCCACCTGCTGCTATTGCCAACCAGTCCCCTCTTCTGGCTTCTGCCTCAGTAGACTGGGAAACGCTTGCGGCCTTCAGTGTTCCAGTTGCCGCCTGAAAGGGGGAGAGAAGAATCTAGGGAATTGTGATCATTAGGTATAAATAAAACTGTTTAATGACAAACTGACTTTAAAGTTTTCAAAAAAGAGCTAAATTTTTTTTCAGGAAAAGTTGACTGAAAGTGTGTACACCATCAAGCTGCAGGGCCAAGTGAAAGGCTGTGAATCTGTGAAAGCACCCAGTGTGTCTACGAAAGCACCCAGTGTGTCTACACCAGGCTGGGCAGCAGCAGCCCCCGAGGAAGGTTTCCCAAAATGCAGATTTACCGTCCCACCTCAGACACACTGAACGAGAATCCCTGACAGACACAGACAGGAAATGCGCACATATACATATGCATATGCATAGCCATATACACTTTAAAATAAGACTCCCAGATGACTCTCCAGCCAGCACAAGTCTGTAGACATGCACAAAGAAACCACTGAAAAACACAGTTAATATACAGACCTATATTCACAAAAAGAAATGCTTCATTGGTCAATTCTATGAAATGTCTAGGGTGGTTCAGTGAAAAGAATAGTGAACAAAGAGTCAAAAAACTTGAGTTCCAGCCCTGTCCCTGCCATTAATTTGTTTTGTGACCTCACAGAGCTTTCTTCACTTCTCTAGGTCCTACTTTCTTCATCCAAAAAAAAAAAAAAAAAAAGAGGAAAATGGACTAAATAATATCTAAAGGCCCTCCGATTTCCAAAATTCTATTACCTCTTATCCACCATCATCTGTAAGTCCCACTTAATGGAAAGACTGAATCAATTGCAAGCAAGTTCTAGAATATGAGTTATAAAGCTTTGAATGGATGCTCAGATATAACCTGACCTTACTAAGTCTGGAAAAAGAAGGTTAAGGAAATAACTGTAGTATGATAGACAGAAACTTATCAGGCCCAAGAAGAGATGCTTTGAAGTGCAACATAAAACAATATGGTGGTGAACCTAACGACAGAGACCCAGAATGCATGAAGCAAAAAAAAAAAACAAAAAAACAGAATTGAAGGGAGAAACAGACAATTCTACAATAAAAGTTGAAGACTTGAATAACTCACTTTCAATACTGTATAGAACAACTAAGATCAATGAGGAAATAGAAGACTCAAACAACACTGTAAACCAACTAGACTAATAGATATCTATAGAATACTCCACCCAACAGCAGCAGAATATGGAATATTCTCCAGGATAGATGGTATTCTAGACCATAAAACAAGCCTCAATAAATTTGAAAGTATTGAAGTTATGCAAACCATGTTCTCTGACCACACTGGAATGAAATCAGAAATCAAAATAAGAAAGAAATTTTGGATATTCACAAACATGTTAAAATTTAAAAAAATTAACATAATCCTAAATGACCGATAAGCCAAAGAAGGGAATCACAAGGGAAATTAGAAAATAGTTTGAGATAAATGAAAATGACAACATGATATATCAAAACTTATGGGACGTGGTGATAGAAATGCTTAGAGAGAAAATTATAGCTATAAATGCATATATTTAAAAAGAAGAAATATTTGCAATCAACAACCAAATCTCCCTTAAGACACCAGAAAAAGAGGAGCGAATGAAACTCAAAGAAAGCAGAAGAAAGGAAATAATAAAGACTAGGTGGAAATACGTGAAATAAAAAATGGAAAAAGTGAGAAAATTAAAAAAAACAAAAAGTTAATTCTGTAAAAAAGATTTAAAACATTGACAAACTTTTTTTTTTTTTTTTTTTTTTTGAGACGGAGTCTCGCTCTGTCGCCCAGGCTGGAGTGCAGTGGCGGGATCTCGGCTCACTGCAAGCTCCGCCTCCCGGGTTCCCGCCATTCTCCTGCCTCAGCCTCCCAAGTAGCTGGGACTACAGGCGCCCGCCACTACGCCCGGCTAATTTTTTGTATTTTTAGTAGAGACGGGGTTTCACCGTTTTAGCCGGGATGGTCTCGATCTCCTGACCTCGTGATCCGCCCGCCTCGGCCTCCCAAAGTGCTGGGATTACAGGCATGAGCCACCACGCCCGGCGAACATTGACAAACTTTTAGTGAGATTGACTGAGAAAAAAGGAAAAACTCAAAATGCTAAAATCAGGAATAAAAGAGCACATCACTACCAACTTTACAGAAATAAAAAGAATCAGAAGGAGGAGCTTATGAATAATTGTATATCAGCAAATTAGGTTACCTAGATGAAATGGACAAATTCCTAGAAACACACAAACTTTCAATACTGGTTCAAGAAGAAACAGAAAATCTGAATATATCTATATAATTAGTAAAGAAATTGAATTAGTAATCAAAATGCTTCACAAAAAGAAATGCTTCATTGGTCAATTCTATGAAATGTCTAAAGCAGAATTAACATCAATCCTTCATAAACTCTTCCAAAATATAGAAGAGGAGAAAGCACTTCTCAACTCATTCACTAAGGCCATTATGACCCTGATACAAAAACCAGAAAAAGACATCCTAGATGTCCTAACAGAATGCTATCAAACTGAATCCAGCAACATATGAAAAGGAGTATGTACCATTGCCAAGTGAAATGTATTGTAGGAATACAAACCTTGATCTAATACGTGAAAATCACTATGGTAATAGTAATAGAATCAAGGACAAAAACCATAGACACAGAAAACCCACATGGCAAAATTTAACAGCTTTTAATGATGAAAACATTCAACAAACTAGAAATAGAAGGTGACTTCTTCAGTCCGATAGGGTTTTGTATGAAAAACCCACAGCTAACATCATAAATGATGAAAGACTGAGTACTTTAAGATTAGTAACAAGACAAAGACGTCCTGTCTCTCTACTCCTTTTCAAAATTGTACTGGAGGTTCCAGCCAGGGCGATTAGGCAGGAAAAAAAATTAAAAGATATCCACATTAGAAAGAATAAAGTAAAATTATCTTTATTCACAAATAATGTGATCTCATACACACACAAAAAAATCCTAGGAAATCTACTAGAAAACCATTAGAGCTAACATACACGTTCAATAACATTTCAGGATATGAGATTAACATACAAAAAACAATTATATTTCTATACATTAGCAATGAACAATCCAAAAGTGAAATTAAGAAAACAATTCAATTCACAAAAACATCAGGAAGAATAAAATACTGAGGAATAAATTTAACAAAATAAGTGCAAGATTTTGTACACTGAAAATGACAAAAAATTTAAAAGAAATGAAAAAACACATAAACAGGAACACATTCTATGTTTATGGGCAGGACAACTTAATATTGATAAGATGACAATACTCCTCAAATTGATTTACAGATTCAGTGCAATTCCTGTCAAAATCCCAGCTGCCTTTTTTAAATAAACTGACAAACTGATCCTAAAATTCATATGAAAATGTAAGGAACTCAAAATAGCCGAAACTACCTTTAAAGGCAACAAAAAAGTTGAGGACTCACACTTCTTGTTCACAAAACTATGGTAATGAAGACATTATGCTATGGCATAAGAATAGTCATATAGATCAATGGAATTGAAATATATCCAGAAATAAATTCCTACACTGTGGTCAAATGACTTATGTCAAAGATGCCAAGACAATTCACTGGGGGCAAAACTTTTTTTTCAACAAGTGTTACAAGGACAACTGAATATCCACATGCAAAGTTGGGTCCCTGCCTTAAACCATATGCAAAAAAAATTTTTTTTAATTTCAAAGTGGATCAAAGACTTACATCTAAGAGAAAAAGTATAAAAATTTTCAGAGAAAGCATAATTACCTTGGATTAGATAATGGTTGCTTAGCTATGACACCAAAAGCACAAGCAAGTAAAGAAAAAATGAATTGGACTTAACCAAAATTTTAAAATTTGGGGACTTCAAATGGTTCCATCGAGAAAGTTTAAAAAAACTCACAAAATGAGAGATATTTGCAAGTCAGATATTTGATAAGGATCTTACACACAGGATATATCAAGAACTATCATATTTCAACAATAAAAAGACAATCTAATTTTAAGATGGGCAAAAGATTTGAAAAGACATTCCTCCAAAGAAGAGAGGCAAATGCTAATAATACATTAAAATATGCTTAACATCATTAGTCACTAGAAAAATCTAAATAAAAAGTTTACACCAATTTGGGTGGTTAGAATCAAAAAGTCAGATAATAACAAGAGTTGGTGACGATGTGAAGAAATTGGAAATCTTGTACATTGTTAATGGTAATGTAAAATGGTGTAGCCACTTTGGAAAGCAATTTGGCAGTTCCTCAAAAAGACAAGCACAGAGTTACCGTATGACCCAGCAATTCCCCTTCTAGGTAGATACCCAAGAGAATTTAAAACATACCCACACAAAAACCTGTACAAAATGTTTATAGCAGCATTATTCAGAATAGCAAATGTGGAAACAACCCAAATGCTCAACTGATGAAAGAACAGAAAAAAATGTGTCATATCCATACACGTTATGGCATAAAAGGCAGTTAAGCACTGATACATGCTATGACATTTTATTGGTCATTAAAGGCAGTGAAGAACTGATCCATGCTATAGCATGGATGAACCCTGAGCACACTATGCTGAGTGGAAGAAGTCAGACACTGAGGCCACATATTGTATGACTACATGCATGTGAAATGTGTGGAAGAGGCAAATCCATGCAAGAGAAAATAGATTCGTGATTCCCAGAGGCTGAGAGAAGAAGGAATAGGCTGTGATTGTTAGTGAGGATGAGGTTTCTTTTAAAGGTGATAAAATGTTCTGGAATTAGATAGTGGTGATGATTGTACAATATGTTACGAATATACTTTACACTTTAAAAGGGTGAATGTTATGCTATGTGAGTCATACCTCAGTGAAATTGTCATAAATACACACACACCACACACACACACACACACACACACTCTGACGGCAGCAGCAGAGGAAAGCTGCTGTTGTCCAGCCAGCCTCACACAGCCCATCAGAACTGTAGTGGCTCTCAGTGCTCAGGGCTGATGGAGATGAGATAGGGAGCTTCCAAAAAGGGAAAGATGCTGTGAGTAGCAACAGCTATCTTAAAAGTGGAAAACCCGAGTTGTGTGCACAACACAGGAAGAGCCAGTGCCACCATCACACGTTTAGCCACACCTCTTTGCGGGGAGCAGCTCCTCTCTGGGTGTCACTTTACATATATACAGGCACGTCAAAGACTGGAATGACAGCCACCTCTGTCCAATCCACAGCCTACAGTTTATGAATATTTCTTCATTCATCAACTTACCAGTTTTATAACATCCCTGACATGATGATTTCCATTTGAATTTGTGGAAACCGAGGCTCCGGAGGTTTCAGAGACTTGACTGTGAAGACTCACCAACGGCCCTGAAATAGAACCTGAAACCAAGGCCACCCCGATCGTGGATGGCAGGACATAATTGTGCTGCTGGACAGCTAAGAATCCAACAATTTGTTAAATTAAATCATTTCCCACCTCCCGCCCCCCGCCCCCACCCTGGCTTAGCAGGAAAAGATTTAGGCCATTTTCCAGCTGTTTATTCCTCTCTCCTAATGCCCTGTGCTGCCATCCTCAAAAACAATAGATCTGCACGCAGGTCAGAATGCCTGCTCCAGAAAGAGCTCTGCCTGCAGGCCAAGGGCCCAGCCAGTCCGGCCCAGCCTCGGTTCCCTGCACATGGAACGCAGCATGTTACGGCCCACAAGAGCTGTGTCTGCTTGTGAAGAAAGGTCACCCAAGATAAGCACCCATTCGTGTCTGCCCCTCCAGGCTCTGACAGCATCCACGCACTCCGCCACAGCCACCTGCATCATTCCTGGCCTATTTTAAGGGTCAGGAACGGCACACTTCAGCCACTGAACTTCAAGAGGGGAAGTGAGGCAGAAGAAATTCCAAAACAGCAGTTTTGAGGATCCTAAAAAGGGCAGTAAATCAACCTTCTCACAGGGTTTCTCTGCTGGAGGTTCACTGACCTTCCATCATGGTGGGGAGGAAATGCGGTCATTTTCCCCATTTTGTGTAAGAGACACTGAGACACGGAGACTCACACAGGGCCATACAGAAAGTTGCAAAACTGGGATGAGTTTATGAAATATGTGGGGTTTGGAATTACAAACCCACCTGGGTGGACTCTGGCAGATCTCTTACCATCCTAGTCTCCAGCCTCTCACCTGTGAAATAAAAAAAACTCTCCCATTGTGGCAGAGCTGGGGGCTCCTTGTCTGTGTGATGGCACAGGCCCTTGATCTCCAGGAGAGTTGGAGAAAGGGCCGCAGCCTTGGCTTGACAAGCCCCTAGCAGGACAGTGGTGGACATTCCGCTGGAACATGAGACCCAAGGACCTGATTCTCACCTTGACTGGCGCACCCCTTGCCGTCGCTCTTCCCTGCCCCAACTGCTGTCCTCCCCGAGCTCACTGCTGATGGAAGACACCTAACCACTGTTGCCCCCAGCTCTCCAAGAGCCTCAAGAATCTTTCTACCACTACTGGAAACTGACAATTCCTGAATACCTGTGTTCCAGATGCCATGCTGGGCCTTCAGCTAGCAAGTGATAGAGTTAGGATTTGATTCCGGTTTTGTGTCCTGAAAAGCTCCAAAATGTTCTGATCTACTCCATCCTACATTTTCTGTATACCCATCTGGTGATCCCAGTATCACCCCTTGCACCTGGAACAGGTAAGTATATGAGGGGCTGTGGGGCCTATGCAAGGGCACTCTGCTCTGATAGGCCTGGGCTCTTAAGCTGTGGAGGTGCCTCTGTTTCCAACTGAAGGAATTATGGGGAGGGCGGAGCCCTGGGGAGTACAAGGCAGAAGGAATATGCACTGCATGTAAGACTTGCAGGTAAAACCTGCGTCCTCAGAAATGCTAAACAGGACATTTAGCAGCTTTACCAAGAGTTCAAGAACAACAGCAAGGAAAACTGCAAAAGCCCCAATGCACAAAATCTCTAGCTATACAAGTCTTTCCAAGTCACTGAGACCAAAAACCATGATCTCTAGTCATCCACATTTTTTTAGTACAAGTGGACTTTAGGGGCACTGAGATTTGGTTGTGCTCCTGGCCCCACATTCAATCTTCTCAGTCTTCTCTGTTCTCTGTTTAGAAGTGAGGACCCAACAAAGAGATATACAGTATCACAGGATGAACCAGGCCCAGCCCTTCAGAGTTACTGAACATGGAACCGTAGGGGGAGCTGGACACAGAGCCAGAAGGAGAGAGTAAGTCATGGAAACAAAAGGATTGGTGAGCCAGGAAGTGACCCTGCAGCAATGGGCAGAATAGCCCAGACTGAAAGCTCAAAGAGGGCTCTCGGTGTCCTGAGTCCTTCCCTGCAAGGACTGGCCAGGGGAGCCTTGGGTCCCCATCCCTGCCCGGAAGCCAGTGGCTTCACAGGCCTCAGGCCCTCACAAGGGACAGGAAGCATTCCTTGCCAGGGTGTGGGGTCTGTACTTCCCATTTTCAGAAAGCTTTCACAAGGATTTGCTAACTGATTTTGTTCCACACAACTCGACACAGCATCAGAGCTTCCCTTGGAGGGAGAGCTGTGCCCATGTGTCAGGGAGTACAATGGAGCCAGGAAATCTGAGAACATGACAGTCTGCAGTCAAGAGGTGCAATGAGGTGTGCTCCTTTCCAGGACTCAGGAGGACTAGTTTTCCTCCATCCTGTCCTCCCCACTGTAAGGACAAACACCAGGGCAGTATGATATCCAGGTTCCAGGTCCAGGTCCCAGCTCTGCTGCTTAGAAGACATGCAGCCTTGAACAAGGTCCTCAGTTTCTCTGGGCCTATGCCTGTTGCAATGCCTCTGACGTCCTGTGACTCCTGGATAAAGCATCTGCTCTTACCCAGGGCTCTGGACACACCAAAGGGTGGGGAGCAGTGAGAGAAAAGGATGACATTGGTCAGTGTCTATCACCTGTGGCCAACAGGCCATCTTTCAGCAACTGGCCTTGAAACCTCTGGGAGGATTCCCAGGATGTTGACTCAGCTGAGCTACAAAGTATGCAGATATTTGGTCAAACATTTTCCTGGGTGTGTCTGTGTGGGCTGTTTCTGGATGAGATGAACATTTAAATCTGTAGACTGAGTAAAGCAGATGGCCCTCCCCACTGTGGGTGGGCCTCATCCAACCCGTTGAAGGTCTGAACAGAAAAGGTTAACCTGCCCCCAAACAAGAGTAGACTCTCAATGCAACTGCCTTCATCTGGGACACTGGCCTGTTCCTGCCTTCAGACTCAAACTGGAATCTTAGCTCTTCTTGGGTTTTGAGCCTGCTGGTCTCCAGCTTGCTGACTGCAGCCTTCATAAGCCAAATCCTTCTAATAAATACACACACATACACATAAATGTCTGGGATATATACATGTCAGAGAAGATGGCTGAAAACCCCTGCTGGAAACCATTCCCCACCACATCCTTATAGGCCTTAAAAATAGTAGAGATGATCTCATGTGGTTAGTCGTAAAACTCTGGAAAGTAACTTTGGAGAACCCGGTGTTGATCAGACCTTTACTGAGGCCATGCACCACATGTGCAGAGCCATGGCTTATGCCTGGGACTTGGAGAGTTTAGGAGGAAAGCCACCGCTACCATGAGAGTATAAAAAGGAGGTCAAAAGATGAGAGCAAATGAATGAGTTTAACTGGGGATCAGAGCATGGAGGCAGATGTGCAGAGTTAAAGCCTATGGAGGATGATTATCTGAAGCACTCTTCTACCATGGGAGCAAAGGCAGGGGTCGGGGGCTAGTTTCAAGTGAAGGAGATGAGAAGCAAGTTATGGACATTAGGAGGACTTTGTTGGGTGGACTTGTAAGAGAAAATGGTCTAAAAATTACCCAGAGTCCCACAACCCAACATTTTGGTGCATATGCTTCCAAAGTTTTCTCTAAGCTCAAACAGCTCCCCCATCCCCGCCATACTTCACACAGTTTTATATCCTATTTCTTTCACTTACAAAAACATCGTGGACATTTTTCTAAACCATCAACTGTTCTGTGCACCATGATTTTGGGGTAGATAACTGTCATTCTATCATACAGATGTATCACAATTTATTTAACAATTTCCTACTTGTGGGCTTTTCTGTTCTTTCCAATATTTCACTAAAGAACACTATGATGAATGGCCTCATACTCAAATTAATTTTTACAACTTTGATTGTTTTCTTACAACAAATTCTCAGACGTGGAATTGCTGACTTGAAAGTTGTGCACTTATTTAAGCACTGTGAAAACTATCGCTACATTCCTCTGTAAACACACCATTCCTACCATCACTAGCAATGAGGAAAAGCACTGAATTTGCAATGCTTTCACCAACATTTACCTTTGGTGAATTAATTCTGAGTAGGAGAATATCATAGAGGATTTTGTGAACGGAGCTGGTCCTTGAGGGAATGGCAAGATTTCAATCATCACGGAAGTTGAGGAGGGACACTTCAAGGCAAGAAACTTAGCACAGCTGCTTGGATACCGATGCTGTTTTTGGAGAATTCGAAAGTCTAAGTGTACTGAACTGTGTTGGCCCTGGGAACACAGAGGGGGAATAGACAGAAAAGGCAAGCTAGGACGGAACCATAGAGGGCCTTGAATGACATTCTAAGGCGTTTATATTTTATTCTACAGCAATTCTAAGCCATTAGCAGCTTCTGAGCAGGGAAGCAATGTGTTTTTCATGCTATCTTGAGGATGCCAAGAACCTGCCAGAAGGTTGTGAAGTGGCAGGATTGGGTTTCATAGTTTTGACAGTAACCAGGAGACATGTCTATTTTTCCCCCTCTGGTGTGACGTTGAGGTTGGAGCACTTCACTGGTGTTCCAATATGCTTCCTATTAAAAGGACAAAACCCCAGCCAAACAAATCGAAAGGGGTGAGAGAAGAACAAATGTATGCAGACCAGGCAGAACAGAATGCAGCCGGGCCTGCAAGTAACATTTGATAATTTATCTTAGTCCTTATTTCGCTCATCAATATTTTATGTCACCAGGAAACTCCAGCTTCATTTTCTGGTAATGAATTTATCATGAGACTAAGAGCAAGTTGCTGAAACAGATGCCTGGGGAAGCCGGGGAGAAGGAAGGCAGCTCCGAGCCTCCGTCTGCTGACTCTGCCACCCTGCAGGGCAGAGGTGATACCAGGCCAAGAGAGAGCACCCTGGCCCTGGGAGTGGGGCCCACATTCACTGTGTAGGTAACTGATTCTCCAAATAAACCCTCTTCAGAAAATGCCTTCCCTCCCTGGAATGCTGAGCTGTCAGGGAAGGTAAGTCAACACCACTGAGTAATCACCCCATCGCTCCCTGGGCAAAGAGCCCTGTCATTGAACTGAGGGGAAACACAATATTGAGATATAAGCCCTGGTTCTCACAGAATCTGCCATCTTTTTCTGCATCCTAGCAGCATGATAGAGTGCTTGGAATGTGGCAGGCACTCAAACTGCCTTCTGGGGTAGGTGAGTAACTGCCAAAGGCCACCCCTTGAGCATTCTGGTGCCTAATTTCCACTCTAACTTTGACTTCCTGTGTGACTAGGGTAAGTCACTCAATACAGTCTAGCTTCAGAAACCTTATTTCGCAAAAAGGAAAAAAAATAATTACAACAGCAGCAGACATTTCCATAGCACTTATGATGGGTACTTCCGAAGTTATATATATTCAATGAATTTTCCCAACAATAAGATACTAGTATTACTTGTATTATGCAGATGAGGAAATGTATGCCTAGATAGGTCTAAGACCTGGCCCAAGGTCAAGGGCAGGTTTTGAATCCAGGCTTCTGGTCTTCATCCCCACCCTATGCCATCTTGTGTCACCTGTGTCAGGTAGAGCTCCTCTTGTTGCAAGTGATCAAAAAAAAACAAACTTTTTTTTCACCCAACTCAAGCTGGCTGAAGCAATCATCGAATTTATTGGCTTACAGAAAATTCAAGGTACATACATTCCTGGTTCCAAGTAAGGCTTGATTCAAGGCCTCAGATTATGTCCCCAGGACTCCATATCTCACTATCTCAGCTGCAGTTCCTGTAGTGGGGGCTCCATTCTCAGACAGGCTCCCCTGTATGGATTCAAGATGGTGGCACCTATTCCACATCCTGCATTCTCGTGGCATTTAATTGGTGAGAAAAAGCAAACCTCCTTTCCAGTATGCCTGGCAAAAGTCTCATGGTATCTCATGGGCTCAGATCAGGCCCTGTGGCTCCCCATCCAGTCTAGCTGCCAAAGGAATGTGATGTGGTGATTGCAGGAGGTGTCAGTGGCATGCTTAGCCACTCTGAATGCCCAGGCTCATTTAGGGGAAGAGGTAAGCTCTACAGAGGGAGAGCAGAATACAGTTGTCAAAGAACAGGCAATGCATATCAGGTGGCAAATGCAATAGATATCTACTCTACACTCCTTGTACTCCAAGAAAAATATTGAAATGCTGATGGAAAGACATCAGTTGAAGGGTCTCCCTTAAAAGAAAGATGAACTTTCAGCTCAACTCTGCCAAAAAGGTAGAGACCATCAGTCAGTCAAAAAGCTTCTACATCATCTGGCATTTCCTCCTCCTCCCTCTTCTCCAGACCATCTGGAACATTCTCTGCTCCTCAAACACACCAACAGCCTCTGGCCTCAGGCCTTCGAAGCTCCTGTCCCCTCTGTCTACAATGCTGGTCACATGGAGATCTATGTGCCCGTCTTCCTCATGATATTCAGGTTGCTGCTCAAACGTCAATGTCACCACAAAGGCCCTTTCCGGCCATGCTATCACTCTCGGTGCTTTAGTTTTTCTTAAAGTACTCATAAGCATTGAGGAGTCCATATATTCACCAGCCATTTACTTGTTTGTTGTCTGTGTCCTCATGAGAAGCTAAGCTCTGTAAGCACAGGAGCTTATTTCGTTCAATGCCATGTCCCTATACATAGTAGGTATACATCTGACACATAGTAGGTACTCAAATATCTGTTGAGTAACAAATGAATGAGGCATTAGAGAGCTTCTTTGACTATAGCTGGTGCAACCCAGCCTGCAGCAGAGAATCTGGGAGGAAAGGAAACAGAGGGAGAAGGCCCGAGAACCCACACAGATGCCAGGCCTGCCCAGCCCCTCTATCACCCTGCGTGTGGCTAAGCCAGCATGCACTGTATGACACAGGTATCTCTGAAGGGCTAGAGACGTAGCAGGAGGGAAGAGAGCAAACAAACATTAGAAAGGAGGCTGAAGAAGCAAAGACTAAAAGAGAGAGAAAGCAGCGGAAAAAGGCATGGAGCAGGCACCAGAGATGTGCTCCCTCTGATTCCCTTGGAGGCACCTCCACACCATGGTTTCTGTGTCTGATTGAGCCATGAGGGTTAGGAAGGCCTTTGGCCCTTCATGGACCAGAAGCAGACCATCACAGAATTGTATCTTGGAAGGAATCTTAGCAGGAAAAAACAAGACAAAAACTACTGAGGAATGTTAATCAAATTCCCAGTCTCATTGAGCAGGTGCTAAGACTCAAATATTTTTTCCCTTCAAACTTCATGTTGAAATTGAATCCCCAGTGTGGCAGTACTGAGTGGTGGGGCCTTTAAGAGGTGATTGAGTCATAAGGGTTCTGTCCTCACGAATGAATTAATCTATCCATGGATTAATGGATTATCACAGGAGTGGAACTGGTGGCTTCATAAGAAGAGGAGTCCTGAGCTAGCTCAGCCCCCTCCCCATGTGACGCCCTGTGCCACCTCAGGACTCTGCAGAGGTCCCCCATAGCAAGAAGACTCTCGCCAGGTGTGGCCCCTCAACCTTGGACTACTCAGCTTCCAGAAATAAAGAAATAGGTTCCATTTCTTTATAAATTGCCCAGTTTCAGGTATTCTGTTATAAGTAACAGAAAACAGACTAAGCCAGAAGCTCAATCTGTTTTCATTGAGAAAACTGAAGACTCATATTCGTCTGTGACATTTACTACACAGATCAATTAATTACCTAAATAGATCTGAATTAGAAAAATAAGATAAGTTCAGATAATCATAACACAAGACACTTACAATTTCAGGAAAATGTATGCAAAAGTAACTAAACAAGGCATACGAGATAATATTGGTTCATTTTCCTCCCTTTAAAATTAAGTTTTAGTCATTTACCATTTTCTCATAGAGTAACCTCTGATAGCTACTGAATAATAAAAGTTCATTATTGCAAGGTAACATTATTGCATGTATTACGCCATTTGAAGATCATAAATATTCTGCAAACAATCTCATCTCATTCTATGAGGCAGAAATTATGTTTCCCACTTCTCATTAAATTTCTTATGAACTAATAAATGATTGAAAAGTACTTTTCAAGAATGGTGTATTACACACGAATGTGGGATGTTGATTCCTGTAGCCAGTTTGTACATTGGCATCAAGACTAAATGTTCAGGATTCTAGTCCTGGGTGACCCTCAGAGTATTGGCCAAAGGGGAACAGGACCCCAGAAAAAGCAGCGAGCCTCTTCCCACAGCCCACGCCTTCCTCCCACCTCAGAGCCAGGCTCACATTTCCTCATCAGCCTGGTGGCTGGCACACCAGAAGTCTAGTCTTCTCTCTGGGGGAAAGGAAAACTGAGAGAGAAAAAAGCCTTTTACTCCAGCCACTCTCATCACTTCTGCCCTCAAACACACCCCGCTACCTATGCCTTATTGCCATTCATCCATCCTCTTTCCCTCTTCTCCTTCAAGACCCAACTCCAACACCGCCTCCCCTGCACTAACAGTGAGAGTGTACTAAATGTGCCTGGTATTGTGCTGAGGACTCTACACACTTTACTTACACTGCACCCTCACAACAACTCATATGGGGGAAATAACAGTACCCCATTTTACAGGTGAGAATACAGAGGCCTAGGAGGTTAAAAAAACTGGCCCCAGGTCAACAACAATGGGCAACACTTGAGTAGGAGCCCAGCTCCAAGCCTCTCCACACCACAGACCTCAGTGACCACCAGGCAATCCTGTCCCCTACAGCCACCTGCCTCGAGTGAGCAAGCCTGCTCTGAGCATCCTGAGCAGTGAGCGTCTCTTCAATTGACTTCACGGTTCTTCATACCAGCTTAGCTTTTGTTTTCTGGAGCTATTGTTTCCTTTGTTTAGATATTTATGCCTCACCTCCCAGACAAGCCTGTAAGCTCCGTGAAGAAATTCATCTTCCCCCTTGTACCATGCCCAGCACATATAAGAGACACCAATGACATCTTGACTGTTTTGTGAGAGCTCAGGGTGGCAGAAGGCAGACCTTGTTTCAGAGCCCTTAGCCCCGCAGGGTCTCCCCCAGCACTTCCCCATCACAGGAACATCGCTTACCACCTCATCTTTATGCCCTCTTCCAGGGCACAGCCCTGACCTCAGCCCTACAATCTCCTCCTGACCCCATAAATGTATACAAACAGTTCTTGCCAATTCAATCAATTAATTTTTTAAAAAAACAATAATCATATAATAATAATAAAAACAACTTTTATTTAAAGAAAAAAACAGCTGGGTCATCATCTCTTCCCAACCAAGACCTTGTAAGGCATCATTTCCTCACCAGAAAGACCGGGCTGCAGGCTGGGGAGCTCTTACATGGTCTGTGGTGTATGCTGCACCAGGATGTCCCCTCAGGTCCACTGTAAGGTCTTACAGATCCACAGGGGAAAAACGGAAACTTAAGCACCATTTTTTTTAATTGTAGTAAAAACACATAATACAAATCTTATTATTTTAACCATTTTTAAGTGTATAATTCAATGGCATTAAGTACATTTATATTGTTATGCAACCATCACCACCACCCATCTCAAGGATAATTCAACACCCCTAAACTGAAACTCCTCACCCATTAAATAATTTCGTATTCACGTTTAATTTTTTGAGGAGCTGCCATATTGCTATCCACAGGGGCTATACCATTCGACATCCCCACCAGCAACATACAAGGATTCCAGTTTCCCCACATTCTAGCCAATATTTGTTTTTTCATTGTTTTTCTTCTGTTTTTGTTGTTGTTAACGGTAGCCCTCTTAATGGGAGTGAAGTGGTATCTCATTTTGGCTTTAAATGGCATCCCTCCAATGACTGGTGAGGCTGAGCATCTTTTCATGGGCTTATTGGCCATCTGTGCATCTTCCTAGGATAAAGTCTGTGCAAGTTGTTTGCCCATTTTTTAATATGGTTCTTTTTTCACTTTTGAGTTGTAGAAATCTTTTATATATTCTGGATGTTAATCCTTTATCAGATTTATGATTGGCAAATATTTTCTGCCATTCTGAGGGTTGCCTTTTCACTCTCTTAATGGTGTCGTTTGAAACACAAAAGAGTCTTTTTTAATTTTTGTGAAGCCCAGTTTGTCTTTCTTTTCTTTTGTTGCCTGTGCTTTTGCTGCCATATCCAAGAATTGCCGGATCCAATGTCATGAAGCTTTTCTGTGTTTTCTTCTAAAAGTTTTACAGTTTCAGTTCTTACAGTTAGATCTTTAATCCATTATAAGTTAATTTTTATATATGGTCTAAGGTAAGAGTCCAAGTTCATTCTTTTGCATGTGGATAGCTGGTTTTCCCAACACCATTTGTTGAAAACACTATTCTTTTCCCCTTAAATGCTCTTGTCACCCTTGTGAAAAAAAATCATTTGACCATAGATGTGAGGTTATTTCTTGGCTCACGATTCAATTCCATTGTTCCATGTCTTATGCCAGGGCCACAGTGTTGATTATTTTATCAAAACAAACTGTACAAACAAAATAGTGGTGAGTTGCTAAATCAGGAAATGTGAATCCTCCAACTATGTCTTTGTTTTCAAGACTGTTTTGACTATTCGGGGGTCTTTGAGATCCCATATGAATTTTAGGATATATTTATCTATTTCTAAAAACAACCTCATTGGGATGCTGATAGGGGTTGCATTGGATCTGTAGGAGGCTCTAGGTGGTATTGTCATCTTAACAATGTAAGTCTTCCAAGCCAGGAATATGGGATGTCTTTCCAGTGATACCTCTTGAAACACAAAAAAGTATTTTTTGAGCAAATGAAAAGTAATTTACACCAAAAGTTTGTGCAGGGCAAACACAATTAAGTTCTAGAAGAGTTTAGATGAAACCATGACAAACCTACAACCAGGTATTAAGGGAAAACTAGAAAGAATAATAGTGAACATTTTGAGAGAACTTACTATGAGCTGAGACCTTTTCCAAGTGCTTTATAGATATTAAATTATTTAACTCTCACAACTATCCTATTAGGTCAGCATTATTATTTTCCTTATTTTACAGATGAGGAAACCGAGACACAAAGAGATGAAGTAGCTCTCCCAAGGTCACAAAGTTACAAAGTAGTGGAGCTGTGACTCCAACCTGGGCAGCCTAGATTCAGGGAGACTTCACTCTTGCAGTCAACTGAATAATGGTCCCCTAAATAGACCAAGTCCTATTCCCTGGAACTTGTAAATGTCATGAGTTTTGGGAAATGTTTTTTTGCAGATGAGATGTAATTAGGAATCTTGAGATGATAGAAATACCCTGGGTTATCTGGAGCGGGGAGGTGGGCCTAAATACCATCACAAGTGTTTTTATAAGAAATATGGAGGGAGAGGGAAGGAGAGAGAGGGAGGGAAATAGCAGACACAGGGAGGAGGCTGTATGAAGAGAGAGGCAGGGATCAGAGCGATGTGGCCAAGGAAGCTGGAAGAGGCAGGGGAGTGTTACCTGAAGGGTTTTTAATTTCTGGCCTCCAGAGCTGTAAGAGAATAAACTTCTATTGCTTTTCGCCATCAAGTCTGTGGTTATTTGTTAGAGCAGCCATAAGAAACCGACATCTCTCCTGATCAGGGTTGTGGGGAGTCTCATATTGGAAGATTTAACCCTCTCCTGCATCAGGTAAAATCATAGCAGCCACCACAACTCCTCACAAAGGATCTTGGTGAAGAGAAAATACAGGCCTGGTCAGATCACTGGTTAAACAGGCAGTTCAACGGCATGTGATACTTTTCAGTGTGTGTCCCCATCAACCATATCAGTCAACCACCAGACCCCCACCTGATCTCACGAAAGAACAACTAGCGTCACAGATCCAGTTTCTAAGTGCAAGAGCAACTTCGTCTCTTGCTTCAGAGCATGGTTCTTCCCACTGTACCAAACTCCAACTCCTAAAGAGCAGAAAAGAAGGTCCCAAGAGGGAAGTCCCCATGTTTGTGAGTGCGCTTTCTAGTTTACAATGCTCGTGCATCTGTATTATTCTAATTCTCACAACAATATGAGGTTACTCCCTGTTCCATAGATGAAGAAAACCAAGGCTGAGAGAAGTCTGGGGATTTTCTGTAAGACACACAAAGGACCAGAAGTGGTTTTCTCTTCCATGCATGGCCAATCCCGCCACTTCTGCTCTAGTATTTTGCACACATAGGGGCCCAGGCGGAGATGCACAAGTGCCATGCCCAAATGCACATGATTTCTTTTTTCATTTAAAAATAAAAATAGTCTTGATGTAAAGTTAGAAATGGGAGGATGATTTGCATGAGACCCTGAGCTCTCAATTACACCAATTACTTTATAATTACAGGCAATGCCATCTTGGGTTTCTTCAAAACCTACAGCTATTCTTAAAGGATCTGTCAGGAAGAAGGCTTCTTCTCAGGGAGAGATTCCAATTAGTATGCATGTTGTATGCAGAGTGAGAGAAAACCCGCTGGAGCTCTGAGGAGAAAAGAGACAGGAGCTTTAAATGTCTGCAGCTCAGCAAATGTGTCTGTCAGTCCAATAGGAAACCAGGACCTCTGAAACATCCCCCAGGTCTTGGCTCTGGGGGAGTGTCACGTCAAGGCAAACTCTGTCTGAACCCTGCTGTCCCTGCTTCCCCCTCCCGCCTGTCTGTTGCCCCCACAGCCACCTCTTGGGGTGGGTGGAGAACAGCTTAGCCTGCTGAGCCTGGGTTCTCATAGCGCCCTTACAAGCTGCTGGGGAGAAACGATTGAACAGGCCTACCTCAGATCCCCCCGCCACAATCATTGTCTTATCTTTCACTTGTTCCACATACGCTGAATAGTGAAATGTCACCGTCTTCTCTATCCAAGCGGTATTGGCTCAGAGAACTCTCTTGGAATGGGGGTGGAGGTGTGCACATAGGCAGTCAGGAAGCCCAGCATGTTTACATCTTGAATTTCCTCCTCTGGGGTCTAGCTGCTCTCCATGCCCTGATTGTTATGCCATCAGGTCAGTGATCAGTCTTCAGGCATCACTACTTAAAGAACAGTTTACCTCATGAGCCCTTATCTACCTCTGGGTTAGAAAGAGAATCTCAGAAAGAACATCAAGGCACCTTAGGGATCCCTGAGGCCACCTACTCATTTTGACTTGGCCATTTTGGGCAGGGCCCATTTTAACCCTACTTGTCCGAATGGCAGGTTTGCCATGTAATCACTGTTCTGCAAAGCATGCATCCCTGACCCTCACTGCTTGGATAAAGAGATGTGTATCCATGTGGCAAGGGTACGTGCTCCGACAGATGGACCTCACCTCTCCAACTGCCAGTGCTGGCAGATGACTTGGTCCATCTGAGTCCACCACAACCTTGGCACTCAGTACTAGAACAAGCACCTTGGAAGAGCCTGCCTACCTGCTTGTATGTCTGTCTCCTTCTCTAAATGGAACTGCTGTCTTCCTACATTATCAATCTCTAGAATTAATCTTCAGAAGAAGAGAAAACCGGCCCATAACTGACCCTCATTTCTTCCCAAGTCAAGGTCACTCTACCACGCTGCATTTCTTTAGCGAGAACACCTCCAGTTACAGTTTACAAAGTCGTGTCCTCTCAGTCTCCAGGGTGCAGCATCTCTGAGAAGGCAATTTCCACTCTATCCCTCCACAATCTGCTCTCTCCATTTCTACTCTTTAGAAAACTGCTTTACAGGGGGGCCTGGGAAAACAAGTGTGATGACTCATGCCGGTAATCCCAACACTTTGGGAGGCCAATGCAGGAGGATCACTCAAGCCCAGGAGTTTGAGACCATCCTGGGCAATATAGCAAGATCCCATCTCTACAAAAAGAATTAAAATATTAACTGGGCATGGTGGCACATGCCTGTAGTCCCAGCTACTTGGGAGGCTGAGATAGGAGGATCACTTGACCCTGGGAGATCAAGGCGGCAGATTGCACCCCTGGGCAGAAGAGTGGGAAGGGAAAGAGAAAGGGCAGGGGAAGGGAAGTGAGGGGAAGGGAAGGGAAGGGAAGGGAAGGGAAGGGAAGGGAAGGGAAGGGAAGGGGAAGGGGAAGGGAAAGGGAAAGGGGAAAAGGAAAGGGAAGGGGGGACAGAAAGGGAACGGGGAAGGGAAAGGGAAAGGAAAAGGGGAGGGAAGAGAAAGGAAAGGGAAGGGAAGTGCAAGGGAAAGGAGAAGGGAAGGGAAAGGGAAAGGGGAAAGGGAAGGGGAAGGGAAAGACTAGGGAAGGAAAGGGAAGGGAAAGAGAAGAGAAGGGAAGGGAAAGAGAGGAGAAGGGAAGGGAGGGGAAAGGGAAGGAGAGGGAAAGGAAAGTAGAGGGGAAGGGAAAGTAGAGGGGAAGGAAAGGGAAAGGGAAGGGAAAGGGAAGGGGAAGGGAAGGGAAAGGGAAGGGAAGAGAAGAAAAAAGGAAGGAGAAGGAAAGGACAAAAAAGGGAAGGGGAAGGGAAAGGGAAGGGGAAGAAGAAGGGAAGATAAAGGAAAGAGAAAGGGAAAATAAAAGGGAAGTGAAGGAAAAGGGAAAGAGAAGGAAAGGGAAAAAAGGGGGAAGGGAAGGGGAAAGAGAAGGGGAAAGGGAAGGGAAAGGGAAGGGGAAGGGAATGGAAAGTGGAGGGGAAGGGGAGAGGAAGGGAAAAGGAAGGAAAAAGGAAGGGGAAGGGAAGGGGAAGAGAAGGGAAGGGAAGGGGAGGGAAGGGAAAGTGGAGGGGAAGGGAAGAGGAAGGGAAGGAAAGGGAAGGGAAGAGAATAGGAAGGGAAGGAAAGGGAAGGGAATGGGAAGTGGAGGGGAAGGGAAAGGGAAGAAAAAAGGGGAAGGGAAAGAAAGGGGAAGGTAAAGTGAAGGGGAAGGGAATGGGAAGTGGAAGGGAAGGGGAGGAGAAAGGAAGGGGAAGGGAAAGGGAAAAGAAGGGGAAGTGAATGGAAGGGAAAGGGAAGGGGAACAGAGGAGAAGGGGAAGGAAGGGAAGGGAAAGGGAAAGGGAACAGAAGGGAAGGGGAAGGGAAGGGAAGGGGAAGGAAAGGAGAGGGGAAGGGGAGGGAAGGGAAGGGGAAGGGAAGGGGAGGGAAAGGGGAAAGGAAGGGAAGGGGAAGGGGAAGGGAAGGAAAAGGAAAGATAGATTTGGGGAGATTGACATTCTCCATAGGGCTAAACCTTGATCCTGTTATACAGAAAACAAAATTTGAGCTCTGTGTTCTGCTTTTCTTTCTGTGATTCCACAGCAGGCTCTGCCTCTAGGAAAACAGCAGCTCTCCTCCATCTTCAAGGGGCATGTGCCTGTGTCTCACCTCCCCTACTCATGTTCTGTGTCCCTCTCTCTGAGGAACAGCCACGGAATCACTAATTCTGATATGATCACCGATATTTTGCATATGTCAAAAGTGAAACTCATAAAGATCACCAATTTTCCCGAGACCACATAACTAATCAGGGCAGTGCACACGTTAGCAAGCATGGAGGCAGAATGGAGGCATGGCAGAGATTCGAGAATCTCTCTGCCTGGGTTCAAATCCTCACTCTGTACAAACAAGCTGTGTGATCTTGGTGAGTTTTTCACCTCTGTGCTTCTGTTTCTGCATCCATAAACAGAGTTAATCATAGTGCCTACCTCATAAAGTTGTGACGATTAAATGAGTTAATGTATAAATGGCTAGCACATAGAATACGCTTACAGGATGTTTGCTGTTTTTATCCATCTTTTTCCCTGTTCATATCCAGTCACCTCCAGCAGCCTCATCCCCAGACCCAGACTCTGACACCCACAGGCTCTCCACCTCACCTTCTGATCTTACCTTCCTTCTGCCCCATCTCCTAGCACCCTGCCACTTACCTCTAGAACTCAAGACCGATCATCAGCAAGACTCGCATGTCTTCACTTCTTGCAAGATCCCCATATTACCACCCTCTTCTATGCATGCCCCTCCACCTTGTGCCTCTGACTGAAACCGGGCTCTCCCCTGGAAACTGGTTTCCTGGGCAGTCCTCCCTCAAAGGCCACCTTGGCCCCAGGCCCACCTGGGACTCATGTCCTTGCTCCTCGTGGCTGCTCCCTCTTCCCCATCCCCGCATGAGAGTACTGTGCTTAGTATCTCCAGTTAGTGACTAAACCACACACTTCCCACCCTTGGCACAAGTTATCCAGGGACCCTTTCACCTTGAAGAGTTCAGCTCCTGACTCTCTTTCTCCTGACACTTTTTTCCTACTTTGGTGATTTAATATACAAGTCATCATGTTTCAAATGCCATGCCCTGGCTTCCATTCTTCCAAGGGACTTCTCCCTCTTCCTAATTTATCCAGTCACTCTCAGGGTCATACCTCAATCCTGTCATTGCCAAGAACTGCTGTCTCCCCATAAGCATGACTTCAAACATCCCAGATTCTGAACAACACTTTCTATATTTCAAGTCCAGCTCCTCAAGGAGCCAACCACAGTACCAAGCTCCCTGCCCCTCTCCCCTCCCCACCTTCAGTGGAGATTCCACAATCTACCTCTGCCCTTTGAGTCCCCAACTTCCCCGGCTTGCATTCCCTGCCAATCATTAGGTCGCACCCTTCACCCTCACCCTCAGCATGCCTGCCCTCGCCCTCTGCTGCCACGGACTTTCCTGCAAGCAGCTAAATCACAATCTGCTTTAGTCTAACCAGCTTGCACGTTCACAAGTGAACATGTTTACAAAAAGAACACACTCATGCTGGTTATTTTTAAATTTATAATCAATCAACTCAGGGGTCCCGTGGTGCTGTCCAGCGTTCACACGTAAGCGCTCTTGCACACTTACTTGGCTGCTCTGCTAGACGGCTAGGACATGCTATCTCATCCTTTATGTGGAATACCTGCCCATGAATCCTCACTCTCAACTGATAACCATCTTTCTATGATTGAGGAAGCTGAAACAACATAAGAAGAATATCCGCAGACTCCCACCACCTTTATCTGCCTTCCATCAATTGGTACATAGAACGCTTCCTTCTCCTCCCTTGCTGTGAGTGACGGTGCTCCTGTCCAAAGCCTGCTCTTCCTCCTGTCTGCTAGACCCATTCGTCCTCCTCTACTCAAGGACAATGCTCTAGCAATTTTCCTGCCTTTCTCTTGCAATGTCAATTTTTCTCACCCTACTGGATCTTTCCCATCAACACACACACATACTGCTGTTTTTTTCTATCAAGAAAATTGTCACTCACTTTCTCCTATAGCAATCCCCCATTTCTCTCTTTCCTTAGAGCAAAGTTCCTTGAAACCATGTCTATACATATTGTCTTAGATGCATCTCCTCCCATACACTCTTGAAATCTGCTTTGGCTTTCCCTCCCACATCTTCACCAACACTACCCTAATGAAGGTCACAGATGTCATACACATGGCTAAAGCCAATGTCAATTTTTGGTCCTCATTTTCTTAGTGATCCACAATATTTTTGAGCATTGATCATGTTTTTCTGCTTAAAGGTTTTCTTAGCATGGTTTATACACTTACACAGCCACCTGGTTTTTCCCATCCCTTCTCAGTTTCTTCCTGTGGTTCCATCTTGCCTGGCCTTCAAGCACTAGAGGGCCCAGGCTCAGATTTTAGACCACTTCTCTCTCTATTCTGACTCTCTGTGTTGGGTCATCCAGTCTCTGGCTTTTAACATCATTCTTATGCTAATGACTCCCAGATTTGTATCTCTAGCCCAGGCCTTTGCTCCAAACTCAACTCCTATCACCCTGTTGCCAAACATTCCTGAAGGATGGCGAACGCATACCCAAAACCTAATATGCTCAAAGTTGCGCTCTCACTGTACCCCTACCCTGTCCTTCCCACTTTCTTCCCAACATCTTTAATGCAACTTCATCCTTTCAATTGTGAAGCTAAAAACAGGAGTGTTACCCTTGACATTTCTCTTTTCCACATCCCCACACCCAATCCATTAGCAAATGCCGTCATACCTTTAACACACATAGAGACCCTGACCCCTTCTCAACTCCACCACCACCACTGCGCTAGTCCAAGTTCCCAAGATCCATCCAAAACTGCTTGTCCTGCTTCCTGCCCTGCTCTTGTCTCTACAGTCTATTCTTAGCATGTCTATCAGAGCAGATTATTTCAGCTCTCTGCTTGAAATCCTCCGAGTTCCCAACTCAACCAAGCAGCAGTATGAGGCCTTCTCTGACCTACCAGGCCCTCCCCTCTGTGACCTCCCTGCTCTCAGCCTCATTCCTTCTGCCTCAGTCACACTGGACACCTCCCTGCCCCTGGGCCACTGCAGGTACCCTCTTGCCTTCAAGCCCAGGCACTTGCTGTCTGCAGGGCTTTCCTCCAATATCACTCAGCCCTCTTAAGCCTTTGCCTACATGTCACCATCGAGTGATGACTTCTCTGGACATCCTAGACAAAACTTCAACTCTCTTCATATTTCCCTTCTCTGTCTCATCTTTCTCCAAGGCACTGCTCTCCTCCTAGCACTCCCTACATTCATCTCGTCTGTTGCCTGTCTCTTCTAGAATGTGTGCTCCATGAAAAAGAGGAGGTCTGTTTTGTCTCCTGCTGTATTGCCTGTGCCTAGGGCAGAGCCTGGCACATACTAGGTACACAATAATTTGTGGCTGAATAAGTAATTTATAGCCATTATTATATGTCTGGTATCAATACATCCAGACTAGAGCTCTTGAATTACATACACACACACACACACACACACACACACACACACACACCTCATTTATTGCCCAGTATTCCTCAATCAATGCTAGAAACATGAGATTCCTCTTCCCCACAGCCCCCACACTCGATCCACCACAGACCTAGCTACTCTGCCTTCAACACCCTGACTCCAGCTTTCTAATCCATCCCCCATCCTCCCTGCTCTTAGCACTCCTCCAGTGCAAACCACTCTCCAAAGGTTGCAGTTGCTTCCAGTGCCCTCCTCAGAACCTCCTACAGGCTCCCTGGCTCACTGGGCTCTCCTCCCTTTGGCCTCCATCCATTCCTAGGCATGTTCCTCCAGCATCTGCCGCAGGGGCCAGTCTGCGCTTTCCCAGCTCTCTACCTGGAAGGCTGTTCCCTCGATTTCATTTTAATCTCCAAACAGCTTCCCTGACCACTCAGTCTACAGCAGCCCCCACCTACACCCTCCCCTCCACTCTTCCCACCACCACTTCTGTTCCCTAGAGCAATTATCACCCTGCAATTACCTCATTTATGTATGTATATGTTTTCTTTTCTAGGACCCCACTGAAATTCTGACATCAAAGGCAGGAACTTAGCTGGGAATAAGTAAACAGTAGGCCTCCAAATGCACAGGGAGTGGATGGATGAAAGCCAGTTTAAAAGGGCTGCAGTCTCCAAAGTCTTCAGCTGTCCCTGTGCCCTGGGAGCAGCTGTACAGAGGCAGGAGGAGGATGAAGCAGGAGCTCCAAGAACATCTGGCCGTCAAAACTAAGGGGTCTTACTTCCCGCACTTCTCAGCCCATCCTTGGTTTTCTTCTGTAGCAATTTATTTGCCTCTATTTTGTGGGAGGAAGGAGAGCCTTCTCCAGCAAGAAGCACCGTCCCAGACAATATTATTTGAAAGGGCTTAAGAAGCAAGAAATAACTCATCCCAAAATAACCCTTACTTGGCTTCCAGCTGCTCTGAACAGCTGGATGCTTTTTCCTAGCCAGATAGCTACTGTCTCTATGCTAATAACATAGGGAGAAACCAAACACAGTGAGATATGCTAAATGGGGTCGCTGTTGTTCATTCCCTTAGGAGGAGAAATGCCATTAGCATTCTCCATGCAGATTTTCAGCAAAAAAGTTTTAAACCCTGTGCTTAGCATCCTTGGGTTGGGCACCATCAAAGAATTATGAAGCAACCGTCCTCGTAGAATTTACAAACTAGCTGTGCTGAGAAAAAATGGCACATATCAAACAATTAGCAAACAATATGATAGAACATAATTAAGCACTAAGCAGTGTCGTTCAGGTTCAGAGAGGATTGAGGCGAAGAGTAATTGGGAGAGACTTCTTAGAGGAGTTTCAAGCTCCATTTGGAAGGATCTGGAAAGTTGAAGAAAAGTAAGGCAGTCCAGAGAGGGGAAATATTAAAAGAGTCTTAGAGGCATGAAGGAACCTGGACCAATTGTCCTAATTGGAGTTTAAGAAGGGAAAGAGAGGAGGTTGTAGAGCTGGGATACCTGGGTGTGAGTCTTTAATTGCCCACTGAGTGAGTGTGAGTACAAAAATCACTTAATCTTCTTAAGCTCTTTCCCCCATCTGTCAAATAAAAAAATATGATCTGTAATACCTCCCTTTGCTCCTTCCAGAGCCCTGTGGGAGTCAGAGGATACAGTGGTGTGGAGGGGCCTGACACACAGGATACTGGTGCCCTCCATGCCCCCAGAGGCATGAAGGCGGCTGGTAGGATGCAGCCAGCCTGAGATTGGAAGCACTTGCCTTGGAAGACCAATGAAGGCTTCTCAGCTTGGATGTAGCAGGAGTATGCTTTGTGGAAACACATTTCCTTTCTCACATTGAATACAAGATGGCTGGTAAGCCAAGGCCACATGCTTGCAAGCAACATTGGCTCTTTCTTGACAAGTAAAAGATTTTATAAAGGGTATCATCCCAGGACTGAAAGGGCATCGGGGGCTCTTTCAGGAAAGCTGTTGTGCCCCAGAGTCACTCTCCCTCAGCTCCATAGATATCTTGCAGCATTGTCTCCAGAAACAAGACTTTGGCAACTTTCTGTGGTAAGGCTTTGCTCCCTCGTAAATGCCGCCATCTGTATTTAGAGTCTGAGAAACCCATCAGTCCATTTGGCATTTTGCTAGCTGCCCAGTAGGAAAACAAGACCTTCCAGGAATAAGGCAAGCTGCCATCTGGAGCAGGTGGGGTTAGCAAGGACATAGGTAGACAGAGCAAGCAGGAAGCAATGGAAACTTGCTGACCACTCCACTTCCCCCGTTTCTGTGTATGCTTTCTGAGCCCCATAAGACTTTGCCCTAATATAGAATGCTATGTGCTGTGTGGCCCCATAGCTTGTTTCTTAGTGCCTTCCCTGCTGCATGAGACAGGGTGTGTGACCTCCGTGGTGGAGACAGCACTGAATTTGGCAATGAGCAACGCTGACCTCAGGTCCCAGCACTGCACTTACCAGCCACTTGTCTTGAATCAGCCACTGCACGCCCAATCTTTCAGCCTAACTTCCCTCCTCTATAAAAAGAGAGATTGGTTTCCTTCCATCTACCTTGAGTTTTGCTGACTGCCGGAATCACCTGGGATGCTTGTCCGAACACCGATTCTCAAGCCCCCAAACATTTTCCCTGAGTCGGTCTCAGGGCCAGGCCGGTCATGCGTATTTTAACACACACCTGAAGGAGTCCCAAAGCTAGAGAACCACCAGGTCTCTGAGACCCCCCGATGGTTTGGTAGAGAGGCCTATGCTGGATAAAGAAAGTAAAAAGGCTGCTTCTGTTGCAAAGACCCCCTGAGCCCTTTCCTATCCCTTAGCAGGGCAGAATTTGTCGATTCCTCCAGCACAGGTGTCCATCATTGGCCACATAACTAGCGCTGCCATTGGTTGCACACTCATCTCTCCTGCAGTGCAGGAGCATCTCAAGGCAGTGGACGTGCCTTACTCATGGCTCCACCACAGCACCCAGCACAGACCTGGCAAGGGGTAGGCTCACAGCTGAATTTTGAATGCCGATGCCTTTCGTCTCATGGCTTTGTATTCCTTCTGTTCTTTCCATTTCTTCCTGTGACCAGAACTGGCAAGCCCAAAGTCTGCAATTTCAAACGTGGGCATCTGTCCCAGACCCATGCCACCCTTGTATCACCAAGTAGAGCAAGGCCATGAAAGGGTTAGCTGCCTTCTCCCGTCCCCTGTCAACCCTGGCACAGCCTGGACCATCCGTGTGGGTTGGACAGACAGATCTGTGGAGTTATGGTGCAGCCCAGCACTCTCAGGCATGGCCTGGGAAGAAAACTGGCCACTCCCTGGCAGAGAGCTCAGCCCCTGCCTGCAGCCCTGCCTGTCTTGTCTAGCTCAGCCCGGTGCCTTCCTCCCCAGCCAGTGCCCCTCCTAAGAAAGGAGTGTATTTAAGATTCCCGGCACGGGGTCTAAGAGGCGATTCCAAGCATCTTGCTGCAGAGTGAACTAATCCTACCAGGTTAATTCTCCCCCTCAGTTTATTCCATCTTATTAGAGCCAGCAGGCACCCCGCAATGCTTCATTACCTGTGCCACTTGAAGGCAAGGCTTTCTTTTAATGAGCTGAGCAATGTAGGGAGCCCCCTGCTAAGCACCTCAGATGATGCATTTGTCCTGAAAAGGGGGAAGCCCTGAAGTCCCAAGCCTGTCCGTGGAGCAGAGCTGTTAAGAAGGGGAATGAAGGGGCTGGAGAGCTGAGGGTGCTTCTGCGCCCAGTGAGGTCAGAGGGGACACCGGAGGAGGCTGAGTGAGAGGAACCACCCTTCCCCGCTCCCAGCCTGATCTCTCTCGCTTCGCTCTCACTTGACAGCTTATAGGAAGTACTTGTCTACGTCAAAGGCCCCAGGGCTGGAAAGATCCCACCCTCTGCCCACTTAATCCAACCTCAATCATCACACCCTGTTTTCCAACAAATAAAGCACCATTTCATCCAAAAAGTCTCATTTCCAGGGCTTATACAATTACCCCAGGAAAGAAAGAAATGGAGTTTTGCACCAGGACTGGGGAAAAGAAGCTGCATGAGTGAGTGCATTTGTAGGCACCTGAGCATGGGGTCTGTGGGCAGGGGAGGAAGGGCCAGCCCTGGACACTGGGCGTCCTCACCCTTGAAGAGCTCAGCCCTCACCAGCAGCTGGCTGTCCGTGTGAAAGAGATCTCCCCCAAATAATCAAATCCTCTCCACTTCCATGAGTGAGGGCTCCGGCCAGAAGAGAAAGCGCTGTGGCAGCCCTCGGAGGATGGCCGGCTTGGTACAGAGGACCCATCAGGAGGGCACAGTGACTTCAGCAGCAGGCTCGGCCTCTATCCCCAGAAGTCCAGCTGCAGGCTCACTCTCTCCCGCCCCTTGCTCTAGTGCCCTGCTCTGTGTGATCTGCCTCTTACTCCCTGCCATCTTTCCACACTCAGGCTCCCTACCCTTGCTGGGTGGCATTTAATTTATTACCTTCCATGTGCTCCTTTTCATGAGCTTGTATCTCTGCATATTTCTGCCTTTTGCTACATTTCTTATTGTCTGTTGTCCAAAGGGAGGAGGAAAGAAAGGGACTGAGGGAGAGGGAATGCATGCTGGGGGGCCGTTGCAGGTGGGGGCTGGTCCAGATGAAAGGGCTTTTGCATGCATTCCATGAAGAAAAAACTCAGAGTGAGTGGAAAGAGGAAAGAAAATTGTTCACTGAACACACTGTGGTTTCCAGCATAAAAGGGCAGACAGAACTGCCCTGTGAGGTTTTACTCATGGGGGAACCACAGATAACTTTCTAGAAGGAAACTAAGTGAAAATATTCCTGGAAAACAAAAGCAAATGGGCTCTAAGCACTGAGCAGGAAATCAAAAAAATGATGAGACTCTAAGACACATTTACCAACTCTAGTCCCCCATCCTGTCCCCAGTTCCAACCGCACGTCCAACTTCGCCACAGGTTCTTAAACTTTCTCTCTTCACTCTTTGACTTATCAGAACAGGACCAGTCACGGGCAAGCCATGTAACTGCCCAGTGCCTCAGTTTCTCGTCTTCTAAAAGGGGTACTCTGATAGCTTCCCTCACCCGCATCAAGGGAATGGTGAAGGTAGGGTTTAGGTGCAGAAGTACTTTGAACTCTCTGGATGTAGAGCACTACTCCAGCAAAGAGAGCTGAGTGGGTTTTTACTGCCTTTGAGAGGAGCGAGGTAAGGAGTATGGAAGGTGGTGGTAAAGTAGTTGAAATCGTAGGTTTTGAACTTGCACTGCTTTCCACAAAAATATCCCTCCACCACCATGCGTGCATGACTGTGTGTGTCATTCCCGGTGTCCACCCAAGCCCCAGCTGGTCTGTGCTGCTCACTGCTCTTACCGCTTCTGACTCTGACATGCTGCTTAAGACATCAGACTCTCAGCCCTCTTCTCTGTTGCCCTCTGAGCCTCCCTCTCCAAGAGGCTGTGGTGAAAGGGGTGATTAATGAAAAGGCCACACTGGCACTGCATTACTAGATTAAATGCTATAAAGAGCAGCACCTGCGAGATTGAAGAATCCTGCGTCAGCATCTGGGTCACACGTGGGCCATGGCAGCATTTCGGCTGGGATGAAGAATGGCCCAGGCAGAGGGCAAGGGATGGTTCTCGGAGTCATCAAATCACAGAAGGTTTGAGCCAGACGGGGTTCCAAAGGCCACCAGGTCCATTTCTCTAACTCACTCCCATCTTCCCCAAGCATATTGGACTGAGTGGCCACCTGAATTCCTCCAGTGACTCCTGTAACACAGGAGCCCTTGCTTCCCCACAGCAGTCTGCTCTAAGGTTGTAATATGCTAGAAAGGTGAGCTCCGGCTTCGGCTGCTGTCTCCACCATTCACCACTCATTCATTCATTCACTTATTCCGCAAGTAGGTGCAGATGGCCTGCTATGTGCCAGGCATTGGTCTGCAATGGCAGAAATGCTGCAGTGAGTGAGACAGAGTGGTCCCTGTCCTTGCAGATGATAGAGTCATCTGCAGGCCCACAGACACCGACAGCCCAAGCCTACAATAAGAGAAGTTCAGGGACCTGAGGGAACACTCAGAGGAGATACTCCCCGAGATTTGGGGGAAGGATTATCGGGGTGCAGGTCAGAAAAGGCTTTTGGGAGAAGCAACATCGAAGCTGAAACCTAACCTAAGACCTAGCAAGTCAAATGGAGAAATCAGGGGTAGGAATGAGGTGGGCAGGGAACCGTGAGGATGCTGACCAGAAGCGGAAGAGGACAGGGACCGCGGTGGGGAGCAGGGACGTACCCTGGAAGCTTCATGAGCCACTCAGCCCTTACAACAAGCCTGGGTCCTCAGTCCCATCTTAGCCCACTCCCACCACTGTAACAAAATGCCACAAACTGGGTGGCTTACACAACAATAGTGATTTATCTTTCACAGCCGGGAGGCTGGGAAGTCTGGGGTAACGGTGCTGGCCGATTCGGTGTCTGGTGGGGACCCACTTCCTGGTTCACAGACAGCCCCTTCTGTGTCCTCAGAGGTAGAAGGGGGAGCTCTGGTCTCCTGAGCACCCTGGAAGGGCACCCATCCCATTCATCAGGCCACCCTCATATCCTATTCACCTCCCAGAGGCTCTGCTCCCATCACCATCACCTCGAGGGTTAGGTTTCAACACACGAGTTTGGGAGGACACAGATGTTCAGACCTCAGCAGCCCTTTCCTCTTCTGCCTCGAGCCCAGCCTGTCCACAAATTAATGGTCCCCCCACTCCCTCCACTTTGACCCGGCCCCACCCGCCTCCCAGTCAGCAGTCCCAGCTGCCCCTCAGTTCTGCCTCAACAGCCTCTGGGTGACGCTTACTCTCACCTTCAGATCCCTGCCCACCCCCCGGCTCCACACCCCTCAGAAGCCCTCCCTAGGGCCGGCCTGGGAGGAGGATTCCCACCAGGCTTTCTCAAGCCCAGCAGAAGTGAGTCAGAAGTCATCTCCCTTTGGTCCTGGTCTTTCCACCTGGGGTCCAGACGATATAGTCACTCAGGCCCACAGCCTGAGTCACTCAGACACAGACAGCCCAGGGCTATAATAAGAGAAGTTCAGGGACCTGAGGGAACGCTCAGAAGAGACACTCATCAAGATTTGAGGGAAGGGTTATCGGGGCCAGGTCAGAAAAGGCTTTTGGCAGAAGCAACATCAAAGCTGAAACCTAATCTAACCTAACCAAACCGCCTTGAGGTTTGAAGGCTGGTCTCATGTCCACCCTCTGCCCCACCTTCTGTCTCCACACTAGGCACCTCTGTTCCCATCATTTCCAGGATGATTTCTCATCCCAGGGTGAGATTTTAAACTAAAACAACCATTTCTATAAGCAAAATGTTGCATAGCCACAAAATGGAATAATAAGCCTCTGATAAAAATGGCTGAATAATAAGCCTTTTGAGAGAATGAAATTGGCACATGTGGAAACATGGATAAGCTTTGAAAACATGACGCTAAGTGAAAAAGCCAGACACAAAAGGCCCCAGTCTGTAAGATCCTACTTATATGGAATATCCAGAGTAGGCGAGTTCACAGACAAGAAGCAGATGAGCAGCTGCCAGGGTCTGGGGGAGCGGGGATGGGGAGTGGCCGCTAACAGAGTACTGGTTTCCATCTGGGGTGATGGGAAAGTTCTGGAACAGGACTGTGGTGATGGTTGCACAACATTGTGAATGTACTTAATGCCACTGAATTATACACTTTAATATGGTCAAAATGGTAAATTTTGGCTGGATGCGGTGGCTTACACCTGCAATCCCAGTACTTTGGGTGGCTGAGGCAGGGCTTGGGACCAGGAGTTGGAGACCAGTCCAGGCAACATAGCAAGACAGCATCTCTAATTTTTTAAAAAATTAGCTGGGCATAGTGGCACACACCTGTAGTTCTAGCTACTCAGGAGACTGAGGTGGGCATATGGCTTAAGCCCAGGAGTTTGAGGCTGCAGTGAGCTAGGATAGCAATACTGCCCTTCAGCCTGGGCAACAGAGCAAGACTCTGTCTCTTTAAAAAGGTAAATTTTATGTGACATATATTTTATCATATGTATGGTGAAAATCCCTACCATTTGTAAAATACTCTGGATCTGATGAGGCATTCTCCTGTAAGGTACTTTACACGGCCTAATCCCCCTCCCACCTGTTTTCATTCCCCTTTTTCAGATGAAGGAGCCGAGGCTCTCTTGGTCTGGGGTTGCGGCAGGAGCTGGGGTAGTAGGCTCAGTTCATCCGATCCAGCGACCTCGTTCTGGTCACGGTGCATCCACTGAGGAGCAACACTGCCGACCTGATGCTCCTGCTCACAGGGGCGACGTGGGGTGACAATGGTGTGCTGCAGAACAACGTCATTTCCCCCACTTTGCAGTGACAATGCACGAGTGGGACGCTTGGGGCAGGAAAGGGTACAACCTTCTTACTCAAGAAACAGAACAAAAGAAAATGTGTGGCATTACCTCCTCCCCACATTAATGCCTGGGGCCTAGAGCCATCACAGGCGATGATGGAGGGGAGGTGTGGATGGGCTGTTTCCTGCAGCCAGGAGCATCCCCTGGAGAATGCCCTCCCTCGGGCCGGCCTGGGAGGAGGGTTCCCACCAGGCTTTCTCAAGCCCAGCACAAGTGAGTCAGGAACCATCTCCCATTGGTCCTGGTAAGGAGGAGATTTGGAGGAAGGACTGGGAAGCCTGTGGAGCGGGAGGGTACTGGGGGTGGAAGTGGAAGAAGGTGGCACAGTAACAGACTCCCTTCTCCTGAGATTCCCAGCATGGAGTGGAGGGGCTGCCCTGCAGCAGCCCTTACCCCTTGTTACCTGGCAGCCTGCAAGTAGCTCTCAGGGCCAGCCAGGTGGTCACCTGCATCTGTTGGGGGAGAGAAGGAAAACAGATGCCCCGAGTCCTAGAGACTTGCATTATCAGCCCCTGGGTCCAACAGCAAGTGAGCTAAGCACTTGCAAATGTTATCTGATGTATTCTTTATAAGAAGGGGTCACAAAACTGAGGCTTAGAACATGTAAGAGGGAGACAGGGATTTGAGCCTGGGTCAGCTATGTGAGGATCTCCTGTCTGTCCCCGCTGGTTCCAATTCAGGTCTTTGAGTAAAAGGGTTGGGGATGAGCTTCAGGCAGGCTTGTGCCCTCCGGAGCCCCAGGCACAGGACCTGCAGGCACAGGGCAGGCAGGACTACAGTCAGCATAGCCTGGCTTTGCCTGGGTCACTAGGGCCTCCACCAGGCTTGGTTGCATACATACTCAGGCCTGGAGGCCTGCAAAGAAGCCAGCTCTCCCAGCATTATTTGTCAGGACTACTGACAAGAACTGGCGGACAGACCACTCTCCTCCTGACCTGCAGAACCCTGTCTTCAGTGAAGGGGCCTTTTCCAAAACTGTGCCCTGGTCTCAGTCTAAGGACATCTGCCCCCTTCCTAAGAAAGCCCGCCCTACAGGTCCTGTCTCACAGACGGGGAAATGGCCACAGAGGGGTTACATGAGACACCCGAGGCCACATAGCTGATTTGACAGCCACAGAGCCCACAGGAGCTCACTCTGACTCCTTCGATTGTGCTTCTCCACTATGCATAAAAATTTCTCACTGAGCCCATTCTTGGAAACTGGTCTCTCAGCATGTCAGCTTTTTCCCAAGGACCAAATGCAAAGCCCCGCGCGGCGCTGCACTCTGTGTTGTGGAGTCCAGGCTGGTCCACCCACCAACCAGCTTGCTGCCTGGAACTCACAGCCAAAGTCCCCACTTCCCTGGCCTGCAGCCACCACCCAGCACCATGTTTTAAAAACCAACTTGTAAAAGAAGCCACCCAACAGGAACCACTTGTGTCTCTCTCTAACTGTTCCAAATTCAAAGACCATGTGGGTGTTCAAGCAGAAGCTGCGGTTCAAAGCCCAAGTTGCAGGTTTTGATAGAGGATGCAATGCAGAGCCATCCAGAATTTTTTACCTAGTTTGGCGTCCCTGAAAGAGTGGAGATGTCTGTTTCAGGACGTCTTTGTCAGTGGCCGCTCTGAGGAAAGCTCTGCCCTGAATCCTGCAATGACCCCTTTTATCTAGATGAATCAAACAAGGCACTTACGCAGTCGGTGCCTCTCTCTTCCTGTCTGTAACACTGATGAGAAGAAGAAGACACACCTGATGCAAACCCTGCTCTGCTGGTCTCCAGGTCCATGGTCCAAGACAAAGCCCTTAGACGCTCAGAACCTGTTTCTCGTCCATAAAGTGGAGAAATTCACTCCTGCGGACTTTGCTGTGGTTGTCTCCACAGACTCCATGCTCCTTTATCCTAGAAACATCCTCTTCACTTTCTTCTGGGTCTGATGGACCGACTCCTTCCAGGAGTTACAGGGCTGGCCTTGTGACCCGGTTCCCACAAATCGACATATCCCATCCCTCTGGCCACAATGATCAGTTCACAGGCAGGCCATATGCACCGAACTCATTTCCAGGACATTTATTGGAAACGCTGATCATTTGCAGTAAGGATGACCTTAGCTTGGAGCTCTTGGGGTCACCCTAAGGAAAGAACTTGTCTCAGAGTTAAGCCAACAGGGAGGAGAGTAGGGCTGAGTGAGGAAGGGAGATGGACAGAGGGGGAGAGAGCGAGAGGGAGACAGCGTGTACCCAGCGGCATTATTTGACTCCCTAGAACCAGCTGTGTTTGAAGCCAATTCTGACTCCCCCATTTATTATTTACATGAACGAGTTGAACTGAATTTTTGACACTAACACTGAAATGATGCTCATATAATAGGTTTTCTGTTTCATGTTGTTTTCTGTGAGGCTTGGTTGAGATAATATAAGCAAAAGCACTTAGCACAGTGCCTGGCACACAGTAAGCCTTCAATAAATAATGACAGCTATTATGGAAAGCAGATGAGACGATGAATGCAGACACACTCAGAAAGGCATAAAGTGTTGTATAAAAGTAAGGGGCTCGTCATATGTTCCCCTAAGATCTATATACCTCATGTGGCGGCTTTATTGCCCATTCTCTCCTTCTCTAAATATTTCATGTGCCCAATTAGACCGTGAGAACCGCCTGGTGGGAACAATGGTCTCTATTCCACTTTAACTTTAACATATTGTATTCTATAGCATGGTTGTCAAGCACACAGTGGCGGAGCAGGGGAGTTAGGATCACAATGCCTAGACATCTGCCTGCATTTGCTGGCTCTGCCCCTGACTAGTGGAGTGGCCTCGGAGGGGTGACCTCACTAGCCAGGTCCCAGTCTTCTGCTCAGTAAAGTGGGGCTGATGCTAGTACCTACCTCCTTTAATGTTTATGAAGATTAAATTAGTGAACTTAATGAGTTGATTGAATTACCTGCAGCTATTATTAAAATACTTGTAAAGCATAGATAACAGTGCTTGGCACATAGCAATCCCTATGTAAGTGTTTGCTACATAAACAACTTCCAATTGTTTTATTACTATAATACACTTATTCAATATTCAAAGGATATACCAGCCCTTCTTTAATGTTGTGATGAAGAAGACAAGTCCCTGCATTTAAATAATAACTACCACTTATTTATTAAAGTGCATACTAGGTCTCTTCAGTTTTTAATTCTCACACTCCAACTATGCACTTTAAAGCTGCAAGTAAGCAAAGCAAATGTATTACTTTGCAGTTGAGAAAGGAGAGGCCCAGAAAGGCTACAAGGTTTATTCAAGGGACAGAGCTTGCTTGAAACAGTGTGGAGGAGAATCCAGGCCTCTGAAGTCCAGACCCAGCAGCCCCTACCCACCACACAACACGGCCTACAGAGATGAGACATAAGCAGATGGCCAAAACCCATAAACATACACAACTGCAGCTGCACAGATTCCTTCCTTCCTTTAACAAATATTTATTTAGCACTGAAATATGTGCAACTGCCAAGAAATTATGAAATGGACTGCAGTGAAGCAGAACCACTTTCCAACCTGTTGCTTTGTTAAACAGGTAGTGTAGCTGCCTTTCATTCATTCATTTGGTAAATATTTAAATATTTATGGTTGCCAAATACTGAGGATAGATATGGTGTCAACAGAGATTAAAATATTGTGGGTTTAGGTATGTAATAAGTTTTCAATTTTGAACCAACAAATGAATCATTGTAAGTACCAATGGGTGGAAATGGATGGATAAATGGAAGGATGATTAAATAGATGGATGGAAGGATGGACGGATGGATAATTGGGTGGATGGGTGGGTGGATGGATGGATGGTTGGATGGATTGATGGATGGATGGATAAATGAGTGAACGGATGGATGCATGGATGGGTGGGTAGACAGAGAGGTTTTTGCAGAGACATATATGTCTTTGAACTTTGTGCAAAGAAGATTGTACAATTGTCTTCCTTTGATGTTTTTCTCCAAAGGATTTGATATGTAATGTGAGAGATTGAATCTGGTAATTTAGGAAATGGAAGGAACCTAAGAGGTCAGGAAATCCAACTCCCTAACTTTATAGATGAGGAAAGTGGCGATGGAGATCACGTATATGAATGTTTGGTTCTGTGACCTACATTGTGAACATAGCCATTTAGTAACATAGATTCCAATCCCTTGAATGGAATCCCTCCTAGGGAAATTGTTTCATCCCCAGAAGCACTTCCTGACCCACAGAAGCCATGCTTCAAGAGGGCCACCCTCAGAATGTGCTTGTCCGGGATGGTTGATCAGGCCTTTTTCCCTGAGGACAGGAGAGGGTGACTGAATCCTGGCTAAGGACTAAAAGATCATCGGATGAGTCTCAGAGCATCAATTTATAAGGCTGCTAATAAAGTCCATCTGCTTGCAACAGGAGCCCGCCTCTGCGTGTGATTACTGCTCAATAATTGTTCTCGAGGGAAAACATCTGCTGCTCCCATCCCATTGCTGTTGTCGTCTCCTATTTGTCTCACTCCCATGCGTGTCCCATCATGGCTGGGCCGGTATGCTGTGGCCAGGCAAGATGCTGCAGGAGCTCTGGTTCCCTCTTTTTTCATGATGGTCCCCTGTCCTTTTGTCCCTTTGTCCTTTCCCTCTCTGACCCAGCTGTGTTCTCTGTTGCTTCTTTTTTTTATTATTATTATACTTTAAGTTTTAGGGTACATGTGCACAACGTGCAGGTTTGTTACATATGTATACATGTGCCATGTTGGTGTGCTGCACCCATTAACTCGTCATTTACATTAGGTATATCTCCTAATGCTATCCCTCCCCCCGCCCCCCACCCCACAACAGGCCCTGGTGTGTGATGTTCCCCTTCCTGTGTCCATGTGTTCTCATTGTTCAATTCCCACCTATGAGTGAGAACATCCGGTGTTTGGTTTTTTGTCCTTGCGATAGTTTGTCCAACAATGATGGACTGGATTAAGAAAATGTGGCACATATACACCATGGAATACTATGCAGCCATAAAAAAGAGTGAGTTCATGTCCTTTGTAGGGACACGGATGAAGCTGGAAACCATCATTCTCAGCAAACTATCGCAAGGACAAAAAATCTCTGTTGTTTCTTGCCCATTTTGTTCCATAGCTCAGGAAGCATCTATCCTGATGCCTGGGTTGGGTTGGGTTTCCTGAACTCTTAGGTTCCTTCCATTTCCTAAATTACCCGACTCAATCTCTCACATTACCTGTCAAATCCCTTGGGGAAATACATCAAGGGAAAATAATTGTATGGTCTTCTTTGCACAAAGCTCAAAGACTTAGGTGTTCCGGGAAAAACCTGTCTGTTCGTCCATCCAAAAGTATCGGACCATCTCTCCTAATTTTCTAGTATATATTGAAACCTCAATATTTCTGGCTCCCATGCTGACATATACCACTAAAGCATACCTTGCTGCATTTAGAAACTATTCTAGTTTTTTTTTTATTTTCAATGAGATAATATTATGATCAAAAGAATTCCACTGAGACTCATAGGTGATAGTGGTAATCACAACAGCTTACCAGACAGGAGATAGAGCATCTAATCCCTGAAATGTCGTTGCAGACCACCAAGGCTACTGTAGAATTCTTGAATGCAATTTAATTGCTGGAAGGCAGTGAAATTCCTCATGCTTCCCTGTGGAAGCAAAACATCAAATGAACACAGGTTAAGAAATGCAAACCGATCCACCTGCTGTCCTCTTCAAATATTTCTAATGATTTTTCTGATGCTTTGAACTGATTTAACCCAAAGTGCATTTGGCTCCTAAACAGTTATTCCTTTGATTTTTAAACTGAGGTGTAATTTAATTCAGATTCCCAACTGTCTTCTGCTTCTAAATACAAAGCTGGAAGCCAAAAGCCTTCAAATCCAGTGGTACTACTTTTTTCCTTAGGACAAAATATTATGTTTTACTTCTGTCCAAAGAACAAGACCTAACTCAGGGAGGAAAATGAGCAAAACTGCAAAGCCTCAGGGACAGAAAGAAATTAGGTTGAACCTGAAGAAACCAGGCATGGGACACGAAGGGACTTAACTGGCAAACGGGAGATGGAGGCTATTCTAGACCCCTGGTCTGGCCTTCCTTCAGGGTATTCCTGTTCCTTGACAGCTGATGGACGGTCTTCAGAACACTGAGAAACATAAGAAAGACTGAGGATCATTAAGGAAGATGATTAAAAACTTAGCCCATTCTCCTGCACTTGTTTTCGTCTCTGGACCAGAAGATAAGCACCACAGCCAGTCTGAGGTACACTACATCTCACCCAGGCAATGCCCCAAAATAATCATCGCTTCACTGGCAAGGCAGGCAGAGGAGAGGAAACACACGTGTAAAATGGATGAAAGCAAATACTAAAAAAGGAAGGGGATGCCAACCTGAGTTTGCAATGTCCAGCTTCTGGTGTGATCCCCATTCTACTAACTCCACTGATTTGTATTGACAAGCCAGAGTATTTGTTCTCAGTGCAAGAGCTGCCCTGCAACCACATTCAGAACTGTTTTCAGAGCCTGTGTCCTTAAATGTTCACAGTATTTTTATCGAACATTAGGAAAGCCCTTGGTAATTTGCAGCAATTTAGTATGCTTGCTTTGCTTTTAGAAAATCCACAGCAATTCAATAAACACCCAGTCACTGTGGCTGTTAACACACACACACTGTCTCTCTACAGCTGCCTGCCAGCTGTCACTCCAGGAAAGCGAGCCATCAGAGCCTCCCCTAACTCTGTGACCCTCACTGTATCCTCTCTTCTATCTAATGTGAAGAGCATCCCCAGAAAGCCATGTCTCCACACACACAGTCCCCATTCCCCTCATCTCCAAGGTGCTGGGAAACCCAGGTCACAGAGATGACTGGGGTGGGCCCATTGTGTGCCCCAGCTTGGCCTCACTTGCCTGCCAGGTGCCATCTGTTGCATTGCGAGGGTTGAGCAGGACCTGAGGAGAAGGATCCACCTCTCCATCTGCTCTCCTTGGTACAAGCTCATTTGTTCACTGAGCCTGATCCCACACACACTCAAACAAAGGCAATAATCTGGACTACCACCAAAGCCTGCTTCTTTCTGCTGGTCCCTAAGTTTAATTACTGGCTTCAAATTCCGAATAATGTTGTCTTTACCTATTTTCCCCACTTGTCCTGATGTTCTGGGGATAACCACAGAGATTCTCCCTGAATAAATGTTCTACTATTTACCCCTTTACCCTTTAGATAGTGTCTAAACTATCTAATAATATCCACAGTCATCACCATGTCAATGAAATCTGAGCTCTGATAGAGGCCTACCGCTTCTGAGGCCAAGACCATGTCTTTCATGCCCCATCCACACATCCTCAGCACAGGGCCTGATATATAATAAACACTTAACAAATATGTATTGACTCTGATAAATGATGTAATTTATTATCAAGCAACATTTTCTACATGACTTAGGCAGTAGAGCATAAAAGGCTGTGTGACTTTTGCATCTTGTCCCTTCACTGAATCCAAACCAAACATCTTCCTGGAGATCTCTATGGGTGGCCTTTAGTACCTCTGAACTCAGTTAATCTTAGTACTGTCTCTGAAGAAGACTGAAAGTCTAAACACACCCCAAGTAAAGGAGGTCATGCCCATTCGATGCCATGTGTCCCCCAGCCAGCCACCCATTCACTGGTTTTCACCTGGCCATTGTTACTAATTTGCAGTGACCAAGAGACTAGAGAGAGGCATCTGGTGATGGTAGCCCTAGAGGTGCATCCTCTTTGCAGCTTCTACCTGCATTCCTATCTCTGAGCAAACATGGTATAAAAACTAAGGCCTGTGCAAATCCAGTCACCTGCTCCACGCATCTTCAGCAGTCCCTTGGCACAGACGCAACTGCTTGTCTCCCAAGAAGCAGTCACCTCTCACCCAGCTGGTGCCCTCTAATACTAAAGCTAGAGTAGCATCCTCTAACTGGGCCCCCACCTCCCGACCAGCGTTCTGGGAACTCCAGAGTCTGTTCAGGCTCGCTGCCCTACACAGCCAGGATCCTCTCCAGGCCAGAAACCTTCCCAGCCACAACAGCCTTCAGCAAGGAGCCAGCTCCTTTACTGAGCTGCATCATGTTTTGTGTTCAACGTACTGCTTCTCAGCTGCAGGTGCACATTGTGATTGACACCTGTGACGTACGCCAGTGTCCCAGATGGTCCCCACCCCAACACCATCCTCCAAAACAGCACATCCTCCTGATGGCTGCATGTCATCGCAGCCTCTGACGAGCCTTGTGCCAAGAAAGGGATGGGACAAGAATTTTAAATTGTGCTTCCTGAATCTGTGGCCTGGATCAGAAGTCCCTAAAAAGGCACTTTCGATAAATTTATCCAAAAATCACAGGCAACAAGGAGCAGGGTGAGGACACATCCTCCATATGTGTAATGATTTATTAAATATTTAAAGTTGCTGCATAGAATTAAAAGGCCAGGTTATTTATTTTTGCTGGGTTGATCAATCATTTGTTTCCCTAAAGAATGCCAGACCTTTAACTACTCATCTGATCATGTCTGTAACAACCACATTGCTGCTACCCCAGTACTTAATACTTCATCCACACGGCTCCCGAGCAGACCAGGGGCTGCATGAGGCTGATTCTCCAACGGGACTCCTATTTGCTTTGAGGAGTCATTTTTCCTACCCCCATTGCACTTAGCTCCCCCTCCCCAAAATTAAAAGGTAAAGAAGAGAAATGGAATAATAACTGTTTATTTCTTTTTCTTCTCACTTCAAATGGGAGATTTACTTTCAAAAACCCCATTAAGGGTTTGATGTGTTTGCTGAAAAACTGCTGCTGAGTTAAAAAGCACCAGCAAATTACATTGGCCTGCAGCTTCCAGTGGCTGTGAGGCTTCAAGATAAGGCAGAGTTCTTGTCTCCGCTGCAGTGGTATGGTTTGAATTGATACCAGCCAAGCAGCAATTACCTTTCCCATGTTGGGTGGCAGGAGGGATTCTATTATTTGTTAGTCTCAATGATAACGATAAACAGGTGTTAAGTGCCTGCAGGTAAACTAGACATGGTACAAGGACAACTGCCCTCAAGTTGCTTCAGCCTAGAAGGGACAAGGCAATGAATCTGTCACAGATTTGGACTCCCAGGCTCATCTGAGATTTGGCGTCCACTCAGCAGTGGTTATTTCCTGCGCTGTCACACACGTTTGTTATTGCTGATTATTTGGTCTACGCTGAAGCCTACCTCTATATTGATGTGGTAAAAAATGGGGGAGGAAAAATTCTGGTCAAATAAATGCTATAAATAAGATAAATCGTACAACCATAGGGGAGCCCACATGATTTAAATATTGGGCAGCAGGCACTGGCATTCCTGTAGTCCACTCAGGCTGCTGCACCAAAATACTGTAGGCTGGGGGCTCTAAACAGCAGCCATTGATTTCTCCCAGGTCTGGAGGCTGGGAAGTCCTAGATCAAGGCGCTGGTAGATTTGGCATCTGGTGAGGGACCATTTCATGGTTCTTAGATAATGCATGCTTGCTGTTCCTCACATGGCAGAAGGGACAAGGGGTCTCTCTTGGGCCTCATTTTTTTTTTTTTTTTTTTTTGAGATGGAGTTTAGCTCATTACCCAGGCTGGAGTGCAATGGCAGACCTTGGCTCACTGCAACCTCCGCCTCACAGGTTCAAACGATTCTCCTGCCTCAGCCTCCCGAGTAGCTGGGATTACAGGCACCCACCACCATGCCCGGCTAATTTTTGTATTTTTAGTAGAGGCAGGATTTCGCCATGTTGGACAGGCTGCTCTCGAACTCCTGACCTCAGGTGATCCACCTGCCTTGGCCTTCCAAAGTGCTGGGATTACAGGTGTGAGCCATTGCACCCGGCCTTGGGCCTCTTTTAGAAAGGCACTAATGCCATTTATTCAGCTCCACCCTCATGCCCTAATTACCTCCCAAAGACCCCACCTCCTAAACCACATTGGCAGTGAGGATTTCAACATATGAATTCTGGGGTAGATAAATACATTCAGACCATAGCATGCATAATCTAATTCTATGGGTCAAGGGAAATTTTATCAAAGGCTATTAGACACTGTTCACAGCCATGTCTAGAAGCAGAGGTCTTTGATTATATTGAAGCTGGAAGGGGCATTTTAGATTTAACATGTTCGTGTTACAGATCTAGAAATTGAAGCCCAGTAAGACTTAAGAGTATCTGAGTGTTTCCATAATGCTCATGACCCATGTGTAACCTTCCAGCTGTAGGAATAAAGGAGACTGAACCTTTGTAAGACAGTTTGAGATCTTCATTCAGAAACACACATGAACACACACATAATCCACAGCTTTCTCTCTTCTTTTAACTTAAGCAAGCTTTCCCAGAAGTCAGCATAATCATCTGCCTTGGACATACTCTCAATCTAATTAAGATGATTGGCTTAGGAAAAAATATTACAGGACAAAAATCCACTGACCTATCTGTTAAAGGGGATAGCATGGGCTCTAAGGGACACGCATAACACAAGGTGTGCAGGCCCAGTGAGGGTGATCCGGAAGGCAGATGGTGGGGAAACCACACACTGCTGACCAGGATGTGGCCAGACATCCTGACCACCATCAACAACACGGCAAGCTCTCCCTGGCTGCCGAGGGGGCTTTGAACTGATCTCTCCGCTCCTACTCTGACCCTGCACCCCCCTCCCCTTCTAATCCATTCTCGATAAAGAAGCCAGAGAACTTCCTAAAACGTAAATGAGATCACATCATTCTCCCACTTAAAACTCTCCATGGCTTCCCATTGCACTTGAAGTAACTCCTTACTACAGCCTCCAGGGCTGTTCATGACCTGGCCCCAGAAACCCTGCCAAGCACAACACCAACCTTGCTTCTCCACACTCACCTTGGTCCACTCTGTCCCTTAAGCACCCAGGGAGGCCCATGCAAGAGGCTTTGCCATTTCTTCTGCCTACAGCACTGATTTCCAAGAACATTTCTCTGACCACCTCCTGTTCCTGTTCCCTCCGCCACAGCACCCTGGCTCATTTTCCTTTACATCACACTGACTGTCTAAATCATCTCCTTCACTTACTTGAATGTTTATTGTCCTTTTCTTGTAAAGTGCTTCTGGTGGCCAATGGATCAGCAGGGAAGGAACCTACACGCACAGGAGAGTTCGGGAGAGCTCCAAGTGCAGTCTTCTCACAGGAGGAAGGGCCACACAGAGGGCAGCCGATGCCCGGCCCGCAGCGTTCAGGGATGAACGCCACACAAGGTCGCGCCAGCACGGGGAAGTCCAATGCTTGCTGCTCTCCCACTCTGTCATACTCAGAGCTTCTCTCACCCTTCAGGAGGGATTTGTGTAAACAATGCATTGCACTTCAAGGAACTGTTTACAAAATCAAGCTCTCCCAGTCCCTAAGGTTTGGCCCATTTTTGGCAGGACCACTTCCCCGTTGGGGTACAGAGAGTAAACTCAGTGCCCACGAGTTTCTAGGCAACAGCTCTATCTCCATCACCCCCAGCCTCTGGAAAGGCATTCCTCACCTCCTCCACCTGAAGGGTGAGGTCCAGGAGGGACATGGACCCTGTCTAGCTTGTCATTCTTGTTATCTCCAGAAGAATATCCCTAAACCTGGGTCATGCACTAAATAGGTGTGCAGCCAGTCCTCACTAGGTGAGCTGAAAATAGGTATGGATATTCACAAATGATGTCCACTAAATCAGACAATTAATTCTGACTCTTGCTTCAGGTAGGTCAATTTAGGAAGATTTACAGTAAGTGGTTCCTCTCATCCTCTGAGTAAATCCCATAATAATTTCTAACTCATTGACTGATTTACTTTGTGCCTCAAGTCACAAAAGATTTGCTGGAACTTTGAAATAGTTGAGGAACTGGAGGTGAAGAGAAAAGAGAGACGAGAAAATAATAAAGCCCAGTGAAGACTAGAAATCCACATGAAAGGGCCCCACCCAGTTGCTAGAGGTCGGCGGCAAACTTGGCTCCATATGTCTCAATCGCCAAGGCAAATATTATGCAGCCAAGCAATGTGAGCCTGGGGGCCCCAAGGTGAGCCCTGCTATTTTAATGGGTGTCTCTATGTGTATTTCTCTTAGCCATCAATTGTAATGCTTTTCTTCTTTTTCAAGGAAATGGAGGGCTTTATTGTTTTCTCACTCATCTTTTCTCTTCACTCTAAATTCCTCACTGTGAAGCCTTTTCTCATTTATGTATCTTTGGAAGGCCGAGCAAATCATTGCTGACACGAGGCACAGCGCAAACAAAGCTGTCAATAATTTCGTCATGTTTGTTTTGTCTTTTTTAAATAGCAAGTCTGATTTTCTTGCCAAAGATTAAGGCCTAACTTTTTAAACAGAATTTTTTTCAATAAATTGATTCACTCACGTATTCTTTTGGTCATTCATTTACTGTGATTCACTGTGCAGTTACACAGTGGACCTGCCTTCTGTGGGGCGTATAAGCTGTGTAGACAGCTCTGGATGGGACAAACATGCACCCTAGGGGTGACAGAGCAGCAAGGTCCGTGGACTCTGAAAGCGGTGGCAGCATTAAGTAAGAACGGTGAGTCGCAGCTTAATTGCGAAGTGATGGCCTTGCTAAGTGGGCCCAGGTCTGAAACGGCTCAGTGCAATCTGGAAATCATGTAATTTTTCGCCTCAATGAGCATGCAAATGTATTAGGAGGGAAAGAAAGGAGAAAGGGGTCTTGAATCAAAGACTTCTGAAAATGATAAAGAGGAACGATAAAGGGGTTTAGGTCACAGACACAGGAGATGACACCATCCCCCTGCCCCTTGTCCAGCACAGTGAAGAGGGTAAGACCCAAGGCAGGGCAGCTGGGGCCTGGCCTCAGGAAGCAAGAGTGCCCAGGACTCAGGACTCAGTAGAGTGCTGCCCATGAAAGCCACTAGTCACCCTCCTGCTGCTCTGAGCCCTGCTCCAGGATGATGGCCCAGGGTGAAGACAAGGAGGGACAAGGGGGCATGACGGGAGGATGTAGACAAGCCCCTGCCATGAAGGAGACTCGGTGAAAGGGAAGATGAGACATCGGGAGCTGCGCATGCCCAGCTGCACCTCCCAGTCTCATCATCTCCTGGAACAAACAGGCTGCATCTCCACCTTGGGATTTTCCAGAGCCATGAGCTTCTCTAGATGCATCAGACACGTCCCAGTCAGACAGCTAGACGGGACAGTGAGCCGAAAGAACCAGTCTAAACCAGAGGGGAAGCAATACTTAAAGAATTTTCTAGAAATGTCAGAGGAGGTGCCCCACAAACATTTGTACCTTTAATTCCAGAAAGCCAGTTCATGCATAACTCCTGGAACTTGAAATGCCATCTCTGGGTCTCTACCACGACGACACGAAGGAAAATTAACATTCTCAGACCATAGGCGTCTCTAAGTGACAAGTGCACAATGCATACACCCTCCATAATCCTGTGGGATGTAGACACCCTGGATTTCAACCTGGGAAAGAGAGGCAATGAAGGGTGGGGTCAGATGTGATGAGGATCTCTCTGCCCTTCTGGCATGGAAGACCCTAGCTCACTGTTCTACAGAAGTTAAGACGTGGGTGACTACATACTCATCAAGAATTTAGATTATAGGAAGGGAAAAAGCAGCATATCCCCAAGAAAGAACATGTATTTTTTCTTTCACATATTCTTTAATTCCAAAGTCATCTCATTTTCATTACATTTATAAATTTAAAATGGTGAATGTTGTGCCATGTAAGACACTCACACCCACCTTAAAACTGCACTTTAATTTCCAACTCAATTGCACATATAAATTTGAAAACTGAAGACTGGACAGATGAGAACAATTTCACAGCCTCCCTCACATAAACCGCTTTGAAAACCACAGTTGCACTTTAATTCCTTCAATTGCATGTATAAATTTTTAAAAAGTTAATGCCATACTGTAGAGAAGAGCTTTAATTGAGTGTTAACGAGCTGCCAGATCAGCTTCTAGCCAGCCCCATTACGCAGCGGGGAGCCTCTGAGGGGTCCCTGTGACACAGAAATAAAAGCATCTAAATAAACCACACGCACCAGCCACCTTCTCATGCAACATGCATTAGGACTGGGCCCTAGCTTTCAGGTGCTCACCCTTGGTCCTGATCTGTTCTTTGAAAGGAAATGGAATCAGGTGCACGCAAAAGCACATCAGCCTCAGAGAGGAGGGTGACTCTGGGTGATTCGAGAATCTGAGACCATTCTGTTTAAGGTGACTGTGCACTGGTGCCCTTTAGAATTCTAGAAGGTAAGGGTCAGAAAGACCCTATGAAGGCTTCTAAGTGTATTGCCTTATTTTGCAAATGAAGAAACAAGAAATTATTTACAGGAGAGGTGGAATGACTTGATCAAGATCACACAGTCAGTAATCAGAAATCAATCTTGTGGTTTTTTTTTTAAATTTATAATTCACTGCCACATAGAAACACTTTTAAATTGGGGGTTTTCTTTAACTAAATAAAATACACGCATCGTTTAAAAAGACACAAAGGCCAGTGGTGTCAATAGGCAGCTCTCTGCCCTACTCACTGCTCCTTCTTGCTAATTTTCACTTTCCAGAAGCAGCCACTCTCTGCCCTGGAAGCCCCCATTCTTGTGGTCCAAGTAGGGCTGCTGGCTTTCCAGGCCTGCTGCATGGCTGAAATCCTTGTCCACTTTCTTCCTGGAAATTTCTTTCACCTCTATCCTGTAGTTTCCGGGACCCCAGGTCTTTAGCTTCTGATATTGTTCTGGCTTCCAAATTGCTGCTGGAATACCATTCTGAACCCCAGCACTTTGTCACCACGTCTGCCACAACTGCAGAGACGTTTTTAGGCACTTCTACTTACCAGCATCCTGAACGTTGACAGGCATGGGCCTTGGGGTAGATCTCTTTGATTTCATTGTATTGAGCACTTGTTCAGTCCCTCCAACACGGAATACAACCGCCTTCAGTTCTGCAATATTTCTGAAAATATTCCTTTGGATGGTATCTTCTCTTTGTTTGACTTATCTTCTTTCTTTGTAACTCTTATTAATTGACGGATGAGCTTTCTTGATTGATTCACATATTTTTCCTTCTGTGTCTAACCAACTGGATGTTTTGTTCTGCTTTATCAACTTTTTCTTCAAATTCTCCAGTAAATTTTAAAATTTCTTTTTTCATGTGGTCAATGGTTAAGAGCTGTTCCTTATCTTTTGCTTGTTCCCTTTCATAGCATTCTGTTCTTCTTTCAGGAATGCAATATTTCATTCTGAGACCAATCAGAGGATTGTTTTATAAGTTTTCTTCTGTTTCCTGCATTGTCTGTATTCTCTCATTCCTTTTGTAAACTTTGGTTTGTGTTGGTCTCTGGTTTTCGTATTAGGGCTTTCATCAAGTATCAGGCTGTCTTGTCTGTTCTGTGCTGCTATAACAGAATACTACAGACTAGATAGTTCATAATAAACAGAAATTTATTTAGCTCTTGGTTCTGCAAGCTAGGAAATGTGAGATCATGGGGGCGGCATCTGGCAAGGGCTTTCTTGCTATATCATCCCATGAGGAAAGGCAGAAAAGGAAGACAGTGCATGAGAGAGAGACAAAACAGAGTCAAACTCATCCTTTTATAAGGAACCCACTCCTGCAATAACAAACTCACTCCCACGATAATAGCACTAATACATTTATGAGAGCAGAGCTCTCATGACCTAGTTACTCTCATTAGACCCCATCTCCTAATACTGTTGCACTGGGGATTTTCACACACATGCCTTTTGGTGGACATATTTGAGCCGTAGCACTGATGATGCTTGGATCTCCATTCACATTTAGGAGAAAGCCACTAAAAAGCTGATGAGAAGCTTTGTGTGCATGATCTAGATTGCATGGGGATCATCCGGGCTGTGCACACGTGTTTTGGTTCTCCTCCTTCCAGGCACATGATAGGATTCATGGCAACCAAAGTTAGTTGCAGCCATATGACTCCTTCTGACCAGTGTCATGTGAGCAGAAGGGATGTAGGTTCTCTATTACTCTGTGGTGGCAGTAGCAGACCTCCAGATGGGAACTACATCAGTTTTTGTCTTGATGCAAAAATGACTTAGAGAAGAAAGGGACAGTTGATATGAGTGAGAAATAAACCTCTGTTACTATAAGTCACTGAGATTTTAGAATTGTTTGTCACTATAGCACAACGTATACAATACTGAAGGATAGAGAAACTCATACACAGAAGTGCCACGTCAAACATCTGAAATATGTGGCACTGGCTCCATGGTCTGGCAGTGAGCAATAAGAAAACCTACCAGGGGCTAGCACAATGGCGATTCACGTTAGGCAATGGGGAACATTTGGTTAAACTTTCACTGAAGACACCTTGTGTTTTGTGTAGCTATAAAGGAATAACTGAGGCTGGATAATTTGTAAAGAAAAGAGGTTTATTTGGCTCACAGTTCTGCAGCCTGTACAGGAAGCAGAGTGAGGGAAAAGCAGAGAGAGAGAGGTGGGGTACTACACTCTTTTAAACAATGAGCTCTCACATAAACTAATGGAGCAAGAACTCACTCATCACCACAGGGACGGTACCAAGCCATTCACAAGGGAGTCACTCCCATGACCCAAACACCTCCCATCAGGCCCCATCTCTAACTTTGGGGACCACATTTCGATGAGATTAGGAGGAGACAAATATACAAACTCTTACCTTTGGAAACAAATATATGTGACAGTTAATATTATGTGTCAACTTTACTAGGCCATGAGGTACCCAGATTTTTGGCTAAACATTATTCTGGGTGTATCTGGGAAAGTGTCAACAGATGAGATGAACATCTGAATCTCTAGACTGAGTAAAGTAGATGGCCCTCCCCACTATGGGTGGCTTCATCCAATCTGAAATAGAATCAGGTGCTGACTAAGAAAGAATTCTTTTTCTCTGCCTGGCTGGGTTTGACATTAGTCTTCTCCAGCCTTCAGACTTAAACATGGACTGGAATTTACATCACCAGCTCTCCTGCTTCCCAGGCCTGAATTTGGGCTGGATCTGTAACTTCAGCTCTCCTGTATCTGGGCTTCTCAGCCTCCATAATTGTGTGAATCAACTCGTAAAAGTAAATAAATTAAATAAATAAATAAATGTGGTTTCTGTTCCTCTGGAGAACCCTAACTAATACAAAACCCAAATAAACTTGTAGGTCTAGAAAACCAGAGTATGAGAAGTGTGCTTTTGTTCACGATAGTTGCATTTGACATAAAGCCAAATGCAAAAGATCATGATGAGCTTAGAAAAGAATTTGCAGGGATCCAAGCAGGGATGCAAAGGAATGGAGATCAATAATTTGGTTATTTTCATGGCTGGAAAAATCATCTACCTCTCAAAGCTACATAGTAATAGAAAAAACTGAGAAAGCCCTAAGAGGAAAAAAAATTACAGGATGATTATAAATTGATCTTTAAGAATCACAAAAGTACGGCCATCATACCCAATACTGAAATTTCTAAATAGACTAAGATGTCCATTTAAAAAAACAAACAGACATGTCATCCAGAAAATTCCTTCAAATGAAAAAATGTTTCAGGGAAGAGGTAGAAGGGGTGGCTGTCCCACCAAAGCCTGATTGGGTTTTTCCAAGGTACCCATAATTAAATTAAGAGGGGAAGAGGCCAGCCATCCCATTACAGGGTATAGACCCAAAGGATTATAAATCATGCTGCTACAAAGACACATGAACACGTATGTTTATTGCGGCACTATTCACAATAGCAAAGACTTGGAACCAACCCAAATGTCCAACAATGATAGACTAGATTGAAAAAATGTGACACATATACACCATGGAATACTATGCAGCCATAAAAAATGATGAGTTCATGTCCTTTGTAGGGACATGGGTGAAGCTGGAAACCATCATTCTCAGCAAACTATAGCAAGGACAAAAAACCAAACACCGCATGTTCTCACTCATAGATGGGAATTGAACAATGAGAACACTTGGATGCAGGAAGGGGAACATCACACACCTGTTGTGGGGTAGGGGAGCGGGGAGGCATAGCGTTAGGAAATATACCTAATGTAAATGACGAGTTAATGGGTACAGCACACCAACATGGCACATGTATACGTATGTAACAAACCTGCATGTTGTGCACATGTACCCTAGAACTTAAAGGATAATACAAATACATATTTTAAAAAAAGAGGGGAAGAGTCTCAGAAGCAGAAAAGTAAATGTGTGTGTGTGTATATATACATATATATATATCAAATTTAAGAAGTTTTTCTATAGAAGAACTGCATGTAGCTATGGGACTGACTACCATCAAATAGATAATAAGTTAATTACATTTTTGAGAGGTTCGTGTTGAAATAAACTATCCACCTGGACTGTGATTCTTTAAAACTTAAAATGACCACTGGGCTCCCAACATCTAGGGACAGGAGGTGGGCTAGAGAGTGTGCTCAGTTCCAAAGGAAGGCGTGTTTCCCAGCGTCACCTCAGATGAGGAAAGGAGGATAATGGGAACGAGAGAACATGGGAAAAGGCGGACCAAGGGACCACAGAAAACATCAGACAAGGAAACAGGTTCAGGAAAAGGTGTCAAGGCTCAACTGAAGGACATTTTCCTCTCTTGGACCAGGGGGCCCTAAATGTGGCTGCCCTGTGAAACTCACCACTCGCTGCCGCGGGACTCCCTTCCCGTGCCTTTCTGAACAAGAAGTTTTCCGAGTTGTTCTCTCCTTCTTTCATGATCGTGTATTAGGGATGTGGAGGGAGGAAATCACTTGCCTATTTTGTTAGTTGGCTTTTTGCTTCTGTGTGTGTGTGTATGTGGGGGTGTGTGTGTGTATGTGGGTGTGTGTGTATGTGGGTGTGTGTATGTGGGGACATGTGGGGGGTGTGGGTGAGTGTGAGGGTGTGTGTATGTGGGTGTGTGTGGGTGTGTGTATGTGGGTGCATGTGGGTGTGGGTGTGTATGTGGGTGTGTGTATGTGGGGGTGTATGTATGTGGGTGTGTGTGGGTGTGTGTGGGTGTAATGTGGGTGTGGGTACGTGTGTATGTGGGTGTGTGTATATGTGGGGGGTGTATGTGGGTGTGTGGGTGTGTGTATGTGGGTGTGTGGGTGTGTATATGTGGGTGTGTGTGGGTGGGGGTGTGTGTATGGGGGTGTGTGTGGGTGGGGGTGTGTATGTGGGTGTGTGTATGTGGGTGTGTGTGGGGTGTGTGTATGTGGGTGTGTATGTGGGTGTGCATGTGGGTATAGGTGTGTGTGTGGGTGTGTGTATGTGGGTGGGTGTGGGTGTGGGTGTGGGGGGTGTGTATGTGGGTGTTTGGGGGGTGTGTGGGTATATGTGTGTGGGTGTGTATGGGGGGGTGTGGGGGTGTGTGGGTGTGTGTATGTGGGTGTGTGGGTGTGTGTGGGTGTGTGTAGGTGTGTATATGGGTGTGTGTGGTTGTGTGTGGTTGTGGGTGTGTGTGCATGTGGGTGGGGGTGTGTGTACATGGGGGATGGGGGTGTGTGTGTGTGTATGTGAGTGTGGGTGTGGGTGGGTGTGTACGTGTGGGGGGGCGTGTGTTTGTGTATGTGTGTGGGGGGTGTGTGTGTGGAGGGTTTGTGTTCTTAGATCACCAGATTGCTAGCAGCCACAGGTCGACCTAAAAATTGGTATCATGTAACTCCAGAAGTTGAGTTTGATGCCAACTAGATGAGACAGTAGAGTAATCCACCTCAGGAAGAGATAAGCATACTTTGCATGTGGAAAGGAGGGTAAACAGAATATTTGGTGACCAGATGGGAAGACTGTTGTCCAAGTTCACAAATATCTCAGTTTTTCTCCTTCCAGGCACATGGTGAATTTTCACTCCCTTACCACCTTCAAAGTTAGTCATGGCCATATGACTTGCTTTGGCCAATGAGAAGTGGGTGGGAATGATATATGTCACTTCCATGGGGAACTGTAAGAATCAGTGCAAACACTGTTGTTGGGGATGTAAATTAGTACAGTCATTATGGAAAACAGGATGGAGGTTCCTCAGAAAATTAAAAATAGAACTACCATATGATCCAGCAATCCCACTTCTGGGTATATATCCAAAGGAAATGAAATCAGTGTGTCAAAGAGATATCTGCCCTCCCATGCTCATTGCAGCACTGTTCACAATTGCCAAGATAATATGGGAACAACCTGAGTGTCCATTGCATATGAATGGATAAAGACATGTGGCATATAAACACAATGGAGTATTATTTAGCCTTAAAAAAAAAGAGAGATCCTGTCATTTGTGACAACATGGATAAACTTGGAGGACATTATGTCAAGCAAAATAAGCCAGGCACAGAAAAACAAATACTGCATGATCTCACTCATATGTGGAATCTAAAAAAGTTGAACTCATAGAAGCAGAGAGTAGGATGGTGGTTACCAGCGATGGGGGAGAGGGGGAAGTGGAGAGGTGTTGGTCAAAGGATACAAACTTTAGTTAGGAGGAATAAATTCAAGAGGCCTATTGTACTGTTGGTAACTATGGATAATCACAACGTATTGTATACTTGAAAATCACCAAGAGTAGATTTTGTGTTCTCACCACAAAAAAAATAAGTTTAAGAGGGAATGGACATATTAATTAGCTATCTTCAGCCATTCCACAATGTGTATATATTTCAAAACATCATGTCGGACACCATAAATAAATGCAATTTTTATTTGGCAATTTCAACAAAATTGATAAGTAAATTCAAAAGTTGCTTAGGCAATTACTGTGCAATCCATCACACACTATTTCCTTCTGCCATGATGCTGGCCTATGTGCCTGATAATGACTGCTCCATTCACTTAAGCCTCTGGATGAGGAATACTTGGAGCAGAAGTCCGGCAAACCAGTGATGGCAGGCAGCTCGAATGAGAAATAAATGTTCTTTGGTGCAAGTCAGGACCATTGATGGCTTGTTTGTTACTGTAGCATAGCCTAGCCCATGCTGCCTGCTAAGCTTATCAATGGTGGGCTTCACCACAGATTGGAAAACCAGTGGATTTAATTTTGGTTGGGCTATGCTCAGTATCTAAAAATCTTTTTTTAAATGTCAGTCTGTTTTTTCAAATAAGTGACACAACCTCCGACATGGAAGGATTGCTTGCCAGGTTTAGAGAGCAGGATAGGAAAAGACGGTTGGAAGTGTCACTCTTTCATATACAAACTTTCCCTTAGGCCTTCTTTATTTTCAGAACAATGGCTCTCCTCTCCTCCTCTGTGCAGATCTCCCAGTTTCTGCCGGGTAGGGGCAGAACAGTCACACAGCTACACAGGCTTGGGGAGGCGATCTGGGGTCTAGCGCTTTCTAGCAATCAAGCTTTCTCTCTTCAGCCACAGGGGTAGCTAGTACAGCCAAATGCAAGGCCAGAGACGTTTCAGTTTGCTTTTTGCTCGCTTCATCACTCACACACACACACACACGCACGCACGCACATTCACACCTACGCACACACTCACACGCATGCACAGACAGGCACACACATAAGCTTAGGTTTTAGCTCGCCTATTTTAATGCAGTTACCTGTCTTTCATCTGTTTCCTACCTCCTAATATTTATGGTCATTTCTCAAATGCTGTTCCCTCTTTTCTTAATATTTTTGTGTATTTATTGATATTTCTTTTTATTTTATCCTTTATTGTCATTTTAGTGGGCCTTGGGGGAGGAGCCAAGATAAAACCATGTGTTCACACCCCTGAGTTTAGCCAGAAATCCCCTACTTGTTACTAATTCCACTTAAAATTCATAACATTACTTGCTGCCATGAGGGAATTAGGCTTATTTATCAGTCAATTCATAAGTATTTACTGAGAAATTCACATACCATATGGAAGATACTGTCATAGGAACATGAAAAAATAGAAGCCAATTTTTTCTATTTAGTAGTCTCAGTCTCTCAGAGACAGTCTCTTTCTCTCTCTCTCATCTCTGTCTCTCTCTCTGCCCCCCACCCAAGTTCCTAAAGTGTAGCAATAATGTATCATTCATTTTTGTAGCCACAAAACAAGCTCAATAATGATTATTTAATAATCAATAAATGTGGAATATCTATAACACAGTTTCAAACTTCAAAGAACCTCAAGTTTATCTAAAGAATGGATATGTTGGTAGACACAGATAAATAACACAAGGTAGTAGATATTAAGGGAACAAATACTGATGGCATCAAGCTGACTTTTTAAACAGTATAAGTTTTTTAATACAAAAATTCATGCCAGACACAGTGGCTCACGTTTATAACCCCAACACTTTGGGAGGCTGAGACATGAGGATTGCTTGAGTTTGGGAGTTCAAGACAAGCCTGGGCAAGATGGGGAAAGACCCCCATCTTTGCGAAAAAAAATTTTTTTAATTAGCCGGCATGCACCTGTAGTCCCAGCTACTTGGAAGGCTGAGGTGGGAAGATCCCTTGAGCCTGGGAGGTCAAGGCTATAGTGAGCTACAGTCACACAACTGCACTCCAGCCTGGACAACAGAGTGAAACTCTATCTCTAAAAACAAAGCAAAATAAATCAGAGGCTCAGAGAAATTAAGCAAATTGTTTAGCATCACAAAGTGTTATAATTAGGATTTATTTATGTATTTATACACAAACTTGATCTAAAAAGGGTTTAATCAGCCAGAGGCATAAACAGGGTGCTTGGCACTCAGGTCATGTCTTTACTCTTACACAGAATTACTCAAGATTAGCCTTGACTAAGGAGCTTTACAAAAGCTTTAGAGAGGAGGCGGGGTCTTAACAGGAGCCTGAGTGATCAAGAGGATGCATCACTACCCACAAAACAAGCTCTCAATATTAAGTAATTCCGAGAAAGAGTGTGAGCATTCATAGGACTGGAGTCATTCTGCCCACCAACCCCCTCGTCTTAGTGCACTTTGTGCCACTATAACAGAATACCACAGACTGGGTAATTTATAAAAAGTACTTTTGTAAAAAACTGTTTCTACAAAACAGTTCGGGAGGCTGGGAAGTCCAAGATCAAAGCACTGACATCTGTGAGGACCTTCTCACTGTGTCATAATACGGTGGAAGGCATCATGTGGGAGAGAGAGAGTGGGAGGGGGGTGGGGGATGAACTCACATTTTTGTTACGAACCCACTACGCTGATAACAAACCCACTCCCTCAATAATGGCATTAATCCATTCATGAGAGCAGAGCCCTCATGACCTAATCACCCCTTAAATTCTCCCAATATTGTTTCACTGAGGATCAATTTTCCAACACATAAACTTTAGTGGACACATTCAAACCATAGCATTCTGCCTCTGGCCCTAAAAATGTATGTGTTAGAAACTTAATCCTCAATGCAACCATGTTGAGAGATGAGACTTTTAAGAGGTGATTAAGTCATGAAGGCTCTCCCCTCATAAATAAATGAATGCTGTTATTGAAGGAGTGGATTCATTATAAAAGTATGAGTTCCATCCCCTTCTTTCTCTCTCTCACCTGTGTGATACCTTCTGCCATATTATGGCATAGCAAAAAAGCCCTTACCAGATACCAGAACCTATATCTTAAACTTCCCAGCCTCCAGAATGGTGAGAAAATAAATTATATTTTTTATAAATTACCCAGTCTGTGGTATTCTGGTATAGTAGCACAAAATGCATTACAATAGAAAATTGGTACTGGAAGCGGGGTGTTGCAATAACAAATACCTGAAAATGTAGAAACAGTTTTGGAATTGGGTAATGAGTAGAAGCTAGAAAAGTTTTGAAGTGAATGCCAGAAAAAGTATGTATTTTTATAAACAGAGCATTAAGGGTGATTCTGGTGAGGGCTCAGAGGAAGAGAATAGCTGTAGGAAAAATCTAAATTTTCTTAAAGATTATTTATGTGGTTGTGATCAGAATGTTGGTAAAAATATAGACAGTAAAAGTCATTCTGATGAGGTTTCAGATGGAAATGAAAAACAAGGTATTGGAAACTGGAGGAAAGGTCATCATTCTCATAAATTAGCAGAGAACTTGGCTGAATTGTGTTCATGCCCCAGAGCTTTATGGAAGGCAGATATTTTTCGCTCTGTTGACCAGGCTGGAGTACAGTGGCACGATCACAGCTCACTGCAGCCTTGACCTCCTGGGCTTAGGTGATCCTCCCACCTCAACCTCCCAGGTAGCTGGGACTACAGATGCATGCCACCATGCCCAGCTAATTTTTTGTATTTTTTGTAGAGATGGGGTTTTGCCATGTTGTTCAGGCTGGTCTTGAACTCCTGGGCTCAAGTGATCCTCCCACCTTGGCCTCCCAAAGTACTGGGCTTACAGGCATGAGCACCCAGCCTGGGAGTAAGAATTTAAGAGCAATGAACTAAGATATCTGGCAGAATAAATATCTAAGCAAAATATTGAAGGAGCTTTGTGGCTACTTTTAACTATATATAGTAATATTCAAGAGAAATAAAAGATTGAAAGATAACATTTATAATTAAAAGAGACACACAGAGGAAAGATTTGGAAAATTTATACCCTGGCATGTAAAGAGTGAAAGGCATCTTTAGGAGTGCAAACCAAGGGTATGGCCAAGTGACCGTTTGCAAAAAGAGATTACTACAGACAGAAAGAAGCAAAAGTTATTATCAAGACACTGGGAGAAACACCCCAAAGGCATTTCAGAGGTCTCTGGGGCTTCCCTTCACATCCAGGACCTTAAGGGCAAAGTCTCCAGAGAGACATCTGCAAGACATCAGCATTTGCTGCCTGGGGTTTCCTCAAGTGTCTGCGCTCACATTCTGGCACAGTGCTCCTGGGGCTCCCCAGCCATGGCTTGAGTGGGCCCGGCCACGGCTCTGGCCACTACTCTGGATGATACAGACCATGGACTTGGGCAGTGTCCACTTGGTGCTAATTCTGCAGACCAAGTATAGCTGAGATAATTCCTTAGAGCCCATTGGAGAAAAGATTTGCACAGAGGCTAGCTCCTTCTAAATGCCTGTCTGCAAACTTCTCTCCTGTTAAAATCTGGTCTGTGAACTCCCACCCAGATGGCTCCAGCCTCATGAGGACAGGACGCACCCTTTCAAACCCGCCTGAACCCCCAGATGGGAGTGGGAAGCTTGAGTCAGAAGCTGGTGAGAAGCTGAAGTGCCCGGAAATAAGAGAGTCTTCAAATCGGGTTGAAAATCCTCACTCCAATGGTCTGATTACCAAGACTTTGATGGCTCATCTACTAGCTGTTAAGGTCCCAAGAGTTTCAGGCTTCCACTCCTAATCTGGGTTGAAATTAGCAATCAAGAGCAGATGTGTGAATCAGGCAGGAAAATCACAATCAACCTGCACAAAATGAGGAGTCCAGGGCAGGAGCAGGCAAGAATACAATTGCCCTAGCATCTCCATTTTGGTTCACACTTTTTACACTTTAATTGTTAAAGTCCCTAACCAAATGAATAGCCAAGATTTTTTGAGTCTTGAATACCCTGGTTCTCCTAAATCAATGGGTGAGATCGGATAGGTTCAGCCAGTGCAAGAAATAAAGTATGGAAGATGTGAGATAAAGCCAGTGGGAAAGGGGTAGAGGACCCTTCAGAGACAGGAGGAGACCCACACTGGCTGAAGACGTTCTCTATTCCAGACAGCAGTGGAAGACACTTTATAGACGTTATCCTAGTCATTCCCCATGAGAACACCTGAAGGTGGGATTCACAGAAGAGAAAACGGAGGTTTGGAATAGCTAAGTGACCAAACAAGATAATACTTGCAGCAAAACGAACATTTGACTCCAGGTGTCTCTGATTCAAAAACTTGTATTATTTCCCCCACATCACACAAGAAGAAAAGCACCAAGAGCTATAACTTCAAACCATATCCATGACAAACAAGCCACTTCATCTCACTGTCTCCCATGATAAGGTTCAAATTGGAGAAAGCCTTAAAATACAGTACTCCTGGGTTGCTACTCCATGTCAATCTTTTTGCTATTTTATAGTTAAAAATTTGAATGGGCAAAGAGTTGGGGGAGATCTCTCTTACTCTCCCTGTCCCTTCCCCCTCCTTTTCTCTCCTCCCCATGGTAGTGAAGTCACTCCTTTTTTGCCAACTCATTTCCCCACCCCCACCCCAGCTCTGACAGTCTTTCTTGCCTTCTGATCTTCAGCAATGTATTCATGTATTCACTTAAAAGTTCTGTCTGTGCTGAAGCCGGTGCTGCTTGTAATTGCTGGCGGCCAAAAGCTGTTCTGTTTTTTCTGGCTGAGTGTACCAGGCAATCATCATCTGTAATTATTTCGAGTCTTGTTACAGATGGAACTTCGAGGTTTTCAGTCTTAAACAGAATTCATTATTCAAATGTCTCTAGCACTGACAGTAAGGGGTATGGGGCAAACTTCCCTGTGAGCCCAGACAACTACAGAAGGTTCAGGAGCAGAGGACTGGCCAGGCCATCGAACACCCCAGTGGCTAAATGTAGCTTTTAGCTCCAAATCTAGAAGCCTGGTCCTCAGTGCTCATGCCATCATCTCACACTTGGGACTCTAGTTCCTTCCTGTTACTCTTCAGTTTCTTCTTCTCAACGTTTAGCAGAGATACAAATGTGACCTCACACATCTCCCTTCTCCCCAGGAGACCACACCAGGTGTATCCTTAGCTCATCGACGTATTAGGTTGGTGCAAAAGTAATTGCAGGTTTTGCCATTGAAAGTAACGACAATTACTTTTGCACCAACCTAATAGAATCACAGAGTCTTTCTCAGTCAGAACCCACCTCAGATTAGTAGTGAGTTTCCTGGAAACAGAACTCTGTTGAGAAATAGTAACCTCAAAGCTCTGAGGAAGATAAGCAGTTCTCAGTGACATCAGCTCCCCTGATCCCAGCTTCAGTCCAGCTTTAGAAATTTGCAGGAGCAGGCACCTGCCTCCCAAGGAGCCTCATGAGGAGGCCAGTGAAGTGCCGCCCCAGCCATCCAATCGGCTCCTCCATCTTAGAGGGACAGAGCCTTCCCAAGGGAGAAGCAGCAGGCAGGAAACCTCTGAGCAAGGTTCCACCTCTTAGGACCACCCCCCACACCCCGCGCCGGCCAGAGTTGCAGAGACAGCAGCTGTAGGAACACGCTCTGCAGGAAAAGGTGGGGGCGGCAGTTCTTTATAGACTGGGCCCTTTGTCATAAAAGTAACCCTGCTCCGAGGAGACTCCATCAGCACATCCCTCCACCCCCGTTCCAAAATGGCAGAGAACGGCATGCAGATGGTATCTGCCCATCTCCTGTTCAAGAAGAAAGAACCACGTGCCCAATGTGGGCCGAGAAAGGAAGACGCCCTGTGCACTCAGAGGGAAATGCATCTCTGCTTCTAGAGATAACTGCATCCCAGACGCTTCCGCTTCCTCCGCGGCTCTGGGAATTTCAGACTCATCATCAGTGCAGCTCCTGCCGCACCCCAGGTTCAGTCTCAGCCTTGGCCCTGTAATTCCAAGTGCTGGAGGCAGATTCTTGCTTGTACAGTTAAAGTTCTCCCTCTGTCTCCCCCCCTCCTCCCTTTCTCTCCCTCTCTCTCCCTCTCTCTTTTCTCTCTCATATACACAGACTTTCTCCACCCCCATCCTTCTCACCCAGCCCCCCTTATTCCATCTCTGTCTCCCTCTTTTCCCCTCCTGCCTTTCCCACCCTCTCTGCCTCGCTTCCTTTCTCCCTCCCATTTCTCACTTACTCTCCCTACTCCACACACTCCTTACCCTCCTTCCACACACACGTGTCCACACTCTCCTATCAGCCCCTTCCCTCCCTATCCACGTCATGCAGGGACCTGGGCTGAAGGAGGCCTCAGGGATGGAGCTAGAGCAGCGAGGCAGGCAGGATGGGGCGAAGACAGGAGGAAGCAGCAGCAGGGAGAGGCAAAAACAGATGGCGCAGCAGCTCCGGCTGTACAGACGCGGGCAGCCCCCAGGCCTCTCCCGCTGGGCGACGTCTGCACCAGCCCATCACACGCAGATCCCTGGGTGGCTTCAGTCCACCACAATGCCAAGCCTCCAGTCAACCTGGAGGTGTCAGTGATGGCCCTACTGTGTGCACAGCACTCGCTATGTGAGCAAGCAGACAAGAAAGTAATGAGGAGGCCAGACACACTTCCAAGCGACCGCACTGCAACCTGAATGGGGCCTCCAGGATGCCACAGATGGCTGACGGGCAGATTTCATGCTCCATGTGGACCAGCCCTGGAGGACTGTGCTCCCTGTTCTAAGTAGAAGTGAAAGACGGGAAGCAGTGATTTTCTGTGCTTCTCTATTTATCAGATGATACTGTGTAGATGGTAAGTAGGGAATATTTGATAGTAGAAGCCACCTATGAAAATAGCTGTTGTCATCAGAAGGGAAATGAACAAATGATTTGTCAGAAGGCAAATGATTTATTAACCTTCTGTGTGTCAAGCACCATGCTCAGAACATAATACATATGATCTATTTAATCTTTGTAAAAATCATGTTATATAAATATCTCCAATTTTACTGCTGAAGAAACTGAGTCTGAAAGGTATGTAACTTGCTGCTAAGAAGCAGAGGAGAGCTTGACTTTAAGTCTTGCTGAGGTCAAAATCTAGGCACTAGATGAGCTGTGGCTCAAGCTGCGTGCTCACTCGCCCCTGCGCCCAGCACTTAACATATCTCCCAGCAAGGGAGCTGGACAGTGCAGCTAGATCCCTGCTCACAAAAGCTGTAGAATTACATTGGGATGATAAGGATACACCTGAAATAATCAAACACCTATATGTGAAAATATATGATCAAATCCCAACGTGAACAATATGTATCCCAGAGATCAGAGGGTTCCGTGGCCTGGAATGACTGACCAGGTATCTTTAGTTCATGTGAGCTGCTCCAAAAAAATATGATAAACTGGGTAGTAGTTCACAAACCACAGACATTTATATCACAGTTCTGGAGGCTGGGAAGTCCAAAATCAAGTTGCCAGCAGATTCAGCACCTGATGAGGGCGAGATTCCTGGTTCATAGACAGCACCTTCTTGACACATCCTCACATGGTAGAAGAGGCTAGCAGCTCTCTGGGATTCCTTTTGTTAGGGCACTAAATCCATTCATGAGGGCTCTGCCCCACATGACCTCATCACCTCCCAACGGCCCCACCTCCTAACATTGGTGATTAGACTTCAACATAGAAATTTTGGGTGATTAGATTTCAACATAGGAATTTCAGGAGGATACACACATGCAGACCACAGCACTAGGCTTCTTGATGGAAGGGCATTCGCTGAGCCCTGAGTGTGGAGAGGTGGAATCCACAGCAACAAAGGCCAGGGCAGGGAAGGCAGCAGCACAAGCCCAGGCTGGCTGGGAACAGCACTGTGTGCTGTGGGGAGAGGGAGCCCCACCTAGCTAGAGAAGACGGGGAACATACCCAGCAAGTGGGAGACGCCATGCCGCAGACATCAGGGAAGACCCTCCTGCAAAGCCACACCAGCGACAGACTGAACTCACCTGGTGAGCAACAAGGGACCACTTCTAGGTAGAGGAGCCCGTAAGACAGTCAACTTCTTTTCAAGAAGACTAAACAGGCAGTGGTAGGAGAGTAGCAGAATAGAGAACAGCAAGGAGACCGTTGCAATAATCCAGGTATGAATTGAAAGCTGGAGGTAAGGTGGTAGAGGCAGAAACAATAAGAATGTAACAGATATGAAACATGTTAAAAAACAATAGGACTTGAGGACCTCAGGTGATGAAGGAGCGAGAGAAGAAGGTTGGGAAAATAGGACTTGGGAAGTAGGATAAACACAGGGAGTCGCTGAGGGTCAGAGAGGATAAAGCTGGTAAGCGGGAGGTGAGCTGTGAACCCGGACACTGAATTGCCAAGCATTTGTTGAACACTTCATTGGACACAAAGGACAGTACTTGGCACCTAGTTGGGAAGATAAAATATATACATATGAAAACAACTGGAACACAAACTACATATGGAACAGATGAACAAATGGAAAATGCCGTGGTGTAAATGCTATATAAAAATACCAGAATTGCGTTTGTAAAGGGAGGAAAGTAAGGTTCAGCAACTTTTCCTGCATTTAAGAATAAAAGAATCAATTGGAAAAAATTTGAACACTGTTCTTTTCTTCTCTCATTCTTTCTCTTAATCCCTCCCTCTTCTCCCTCTCCTCCCCCCTGCCTCTGCCTCATGAATTTTCATGCTCACACTACCAGGAAATCAGACAGCAGGCTTCAATGACCTTTGAGGGTCTCCACATCTTTCTTTTCTTACCACACCCAATTTTCACATAATTTGTTTTTATTTAGTGGGTGGTAGTTCTGAGTTGGGGTTTGCAAACAGATGTTTCTCCCTTCTGAGGCTTGAGAGGCTTCAGGGGTGCAGGCCGGACAGGGAAAAGGGTAGACATGGATAATAGTGAATATCACTAAAGCAATTTGGGTCTGTGAGCTTTTCCACTATCTTTCCTTGAGAATCTTGAGAAGTCAAAGCAGCACATTCCCAGCTGGGCAGTGGGAGGCCCTCATGCCTGCCTTTGGGGAGGGAGCTGGCCCAGGAGAGGTGTCCAGGGAAAGGCCAAGATCAGTCCAAGTTCAGACGAGCAGTCACAGGGAAGAATTGAAGACCAGAGGCAGGAAGGCTTTTTTTTTTCTTTTTCTTTTTCCTTTTTTTTTTTTCCCCACCATTAATTAGAAGTACTTTTTTTTCTACTTTTCACTTCTTTTATTTTCTACTTTTTTTTTTTTTGTAGAGTTTTTTGGTGGTTTTGTTGTTGGTGGTGGTGGGTTTTTTTGCTTGTTTGTCTGTTTTTGGTATGTTGCCCTAGCTGGTCTCAAACTTCTAGGCTCAAGAAATCCTCCCGCCTCAGCCTCCTAAAGTGCTGGGATTACAGGCGTGAGCCACTGCATTCAGCCTAAGGGAGGCTTGAAAGCTGAATTACACAATGTTCGGGAAATCAGAGCTGGCAATACTAGAGAGCCCACAGAGGCAATATCACAGGCATCAGGGAGCTTTATCCAGTAAGATCAAGGCCCTACACTTAGACTGGAAACCGGAACAGAGTTCCAGCTCAGCTCCAGGGAGGAGAGTGGCAGGAAGGTGTAGGGCCACACTCCTAAGAAGGGCCAAGGGAATGATAAAAATCATTTCCACAGTGCATTCAGCACTTCCCTCTGGACAATGCCAGGCTCTTTATCGTGGCAACTAACCTTAAATGACAGCAATCACAATAGTGCAATGAAGGAGCAGCAATATCCTCACATTGCAAAGGAGGAAACAGACTCATAGCAACTGATGTCTTGCCTAGGTGCAAAGTTGAGACTCCCATCTGGGAAAGAGAGAAGGGCCAGAGAGAAAACTACAAGAGCTAGAAAAAGACCTTGCTCCTAGAAGTGGAGGTAACACACAAAGTCCAGACAAAGACCCAGATGGCTCCATGTCAAACCACAAGCACCTTATCAGCAGGCCTGAGCATCTCTCCAGCCTAGATCAGGATTAGATTTGGCTCTTGGAGATAGCTGCGCCTGCACATGGGGACCAAACTCACCTCGCTGGGAATGAAGGGAAGAACCTGGTGGCTGGGAAACAAGCTGGGCTTGACTTCACTTGCCTAAGATTTTGGAGCTACTTCAAAGCTACTGGGCTTCCAGTGAAACACAAAAAGTAAAACATATTGTCCCTTCCAGCAATATGGCCTTAGAATCCAATGGTCCATAGTTTGACCTAGAATACAAGAAAAGATCCCTCTGAATCTAGGGGTGGCTCTAGTTAGCTCTAGAGGAGTGAAGAGAGGAGGAATTTCTTTATTCAGTGTGACTTCTGGAGAAAAACTCAATGGCCAGCCACAGCTAAAGGATCCTGGAGGCAATTGTACAACTATGGTGGCTCCAAGCCAGTTTGTAGTACAAGAGATGAGGCAGGATCTCCCAGGGAGAATATAGATATTTTATATCCTTATTACTTTCCATCTGTAGGTATCACTGAATTCTCTGGGCCCCTTCCATCTCTGGTATTTTTTGAGCCATGAAATGTGTAAGATGATTCTGCCAACATATTAGCAAACGATTCCCACTAAAAAGTATTTATTAAACTCCCTACTAAGTGGCCTTCACTATGCTAGTGAGTGAGCAACTAGGCAATTGAGTTAGTGACAAAATGCTCCAGAACCAAAGAGGAGCTGTGACTTTCTCTGTACACAGGACTCTGACACCCGAGCCATATCCTTAGCATTTCTGCAATTCAGAGGTAAGTAAACTACACGTGCACCTTCTTTCCTCATGTAGTTCAAGAAAACCAATTGGTTCTACCAGAATCTTTGCCACTTAGTAACACTGACTTTGTCTTATATATGTTTATTTTAAAAAAATTGTTAGAGCCCTGAAGAAATGCAATTAAAATATTATACTTATTTGTGTTGGCTTATTTGTTTCCATCAGCCTCTATTAAAAATCTATATATGCAAATTTGAAGAAGTTTCAGCATTCTCATGAGCCTGCTGCCTCCAACTAGGTCCAACATATTTGCTTTATGGAAATGTGTCAGTTGGCTTCCTTTAAAAATTATTGTTATTTGATTTTAAAGGGCTTTTTCCCCACTTCTCTCTCAAATTGGCAAAATAATTAATTAGTTGCAGAGCGTTTTTGTCTTTGTGTGTTTTCCTTCCTTTCTAGACCAGATTGGGAAATCAGTATGGAAGAGTGTGACAGAATCAGAAATGCAAAGAAGTTGCCATTCTCCTATGAGTCGCTGTCGGATATTTTGAGATCCCTAGGCCTGGCTAAAGGGGCGAGGCCCAGCTTTTCATACTATCTGGAGTTAATTTTCAGTCATTTTTCCAAAATCATCAAAGCACTTCTTTGCTCTAGAAATATCCCTAGAAGACAGACGGAGAGTCTGTACTGCAAACTAGAAACTAGGGGGCAGACGGCACAGCCTGCACTCCGGGTCTTGCCAGGGGCCACATTCCTAAACAGGGGCTTGGAGAACTGCTGTGCACCCCACTCACTGGCGGCAAGTGCTGCCCCTGCTCAGCAACAAACAATAGAGTGGTTCTACGTCTCTGCCTGAAGCTTTCTGTCTGCCTCTCCCCTGATATTGGATAGCCTTCTTTAGTTAAAAACAACAAACCAAACAACGAAACAAACTTAAGAGGAAGAAATGTATTTATAGGACGAACACTGGCAATCCTCACAAAACTACTGAAAGCCATCAACATCTAAGCCTCAGGAAGGCCAGGATGAATCACGGCATTTCTCAGATGTGGGCCTGGGCAGCTCAACTCTGACCTTCTTTGTCACCTCATCGTCCCTTCAGTCTAAGACAGATTGTTTCAGGCTGGCCTGGCTTGGGTTACATACAGGTTTATCCCTATACTCAGCAAGACAGGGTTCTCCGATCGGCAGCCCCACCAAAAGCCCAAGGAATGGGGAAGGGTCGGCTCCCAAAGGAGGTGTTGGTTCATGCTGTTACCACAGGGAAGAGGAATAGGAAATGGGTCAGGTATCCAGTATGCCTGTGTTCCAGCAGACGCGGATGCCCTGGCGTCTTGCCTGAAGATCACAGCATGAGGGAGAAGCCTGGGTTCCCGCCTGTCCCCTGAGACCTTCCTCATCAGGTGCCGTCCTCCACACCTGCTAGTGCGGCCCTGAGAGTTGGATTCAACAAGCCTCCCTCCCAGGGAGACAATAATCTCCCAGAATTCCCTCATCACTGAATGGCCTATCAGACAGAGAGGGGAATGAGGCAGAGAGAAACGAAACAAGCCAGCTCTCCATCCATTCAGATTCTCTATGTCTCACTTTCCCAAACGCCACCTCATTTTTGTCGGCTGCTAGTCCCGCCAGGTCTTCATTATTTCCTAATTGTCCACATAGCTTTGTTTTCTTGCTGGGAACTGATTTGCCAAGTGTGCTGGGAGTCCCAGGCAGTGGAGAGTCAGCATTAATTCATCCTCTCATTTATTAGTGGGTCAATTTTTCTCCCTCAAATCTCTTTTTTCCTTAATATAATTTGCAACTGCAAAAAGACTGCCTGAGCCTCCCCACAGGCAGCTTTTCTAGCACTGTGGGGTGAAGCCTTTCTTCTGTTGTGATCTTGATCTTTCCCTCCCAGCTTTCACTGAGGAAGTACATTCTGTGACTCGGCTGTCCTGCATGTTTCCAAAAAGACGTGTTCTTTTGCCTGGAGATCTTGCCGTAAGTCATCTTTTATGAGGCAAAGCTGAAGGGATCTTATCCCTGAATTATTTGTTCTTCAAAAGGAATAGTAATCTTTTGCACTTGCAAAGACAAAAAAAGTCCCTCAGAAGACCTCTGCTTTGCCCCCACATAAAACTTCACTCTTCCTGAAGTTTCTCAGTAGTTTTCCCCAGTTTCCAACTCTTGCTTTAGAGTGTCGAGCCACAGAGTAGCAGCTCGAGACAACTGGATTCTATGGTTCCCACCAGGGTCCAGGGCTCTCTCCTGATCTGCCCAACAATTTTTATTCAGTTCTCGCATAAAGGTACACAAAAGTGTGGTTATTTAAATTGTAAATGACCTACAGGTGAGAGACGCAGGAGAAACACTAGATGTTAGAACTGGTGACTGACTAGCTCAAATTTCCAACAAAACCTAATCATATAAAATGTAATTGATAGAAAGGGGAAGTACTTCACATGAGTCCAAAAAAAAATAGAAAAGAAAAAAAGAGGCCCACTGTATAAGAGACAGGTGGCTTTGAAGCAGCTCATGGGAGGAAGACTGAGACATTGGTACATGATAAAAAGGCTGTGAGTAAACGGGCTTGCTCAGCCATCCATTGCTGTGTAATAAGCCACCCCTGATGCCAGCAGCATTTTTTTTTTTTTTTTCAGAAATTAACAAGCAGATTGTAAATTTTTTTTTTTTTTTTTTGAGACAGAGTCTCACTCTGTTGCCCAGGCTGGAGTGCAGTGGCACAATCTTGGCTCACTGCAACCTCCGCCTCCTGGGTTTAAGTGATTCTCCTGCCTCAGCCTCCTGAGTAGCTGGGACTACAGGCATGCACCATCACACCCAGCTAATTTTTTTGTGTGTTTTTAGCAGAGATGGGGATTTGCCATTTTTGTCCAGGCTGGTCTTGAACTCCTGACCTCAAGTGATCTGCCCACCTCGGCCTCCCAAGTGCTGGGATTACTGGTGTGAGCCACCACGCCTGGCCCAGATTGTAAAACTTATATTTATATGGAAATACAAAATCCAAAACAAGATGTCTCTTTAAATGACAAACTTGGAGTACTCATGCTTCTGGGTTTCAAAACTTATGGTAAAGCCACAGTTATGAAGGCAGCATGGTACTGGGATGGGGAAAATAATATAGATCAGTGGGACAAAATTGAGAGTCCAAAAATAAATCCTTGTGCTTGCAGTCTACTGATTTTGACAAAGGTGCCAAGGCAATTCACTGGGGAAAGAATAGTCTGTTTAATAAATGGTCCTGGGACAACTGAATATGCACAAAAATGAACTCACACCCTTGCACCATATACAAACAGAACTCAACAGATTGCTCCACGTCACATGAATGGGGATGTCCTTTTCCATAGGCTCCAATGGAGTAGAATTAAAACCAACAGATGGAAACCATGGGATAAAAAAGATTGAGAGACAAGGCAAGGAAGAACTTCCTCATCAAATAAGGAGGTGTTAAAATCTTCATACATCAGAAAATTTGAGAACGGGCAGAAGTACCCTTTGGCAGTGATATAACCAAAAGTAATAAAGCGTCCCATTCAGAACTCACTAAGTGTGTTGCTGAAAGCTCTTATATATTTGCTGCTTTTGGCCCATTGGACCTATCAATTGTGAACAATGGTATGTAGAAATCTCCCACTATGAAAGTGGATTTATCGATTTCTTGCTGTAGCTCTATCAATTTTTATGTCATAGATTTTGAAGAACTTTTATTAAATGGATACACATCCTTTTAATAAACTGAACACTTTTTTACCAGGTAATGATCCTCTTCATCCTTAGAAATGCCTTAAAGTCTTAAATCCTCTCATTTTCAACCTTTGCATGTTACCTTATATACAGGCAACTTCCATTTAGGTTCAACAATTTGTTCCTGACTATCAGGCATCCTACACAAAAACAAAAATCAGAAGCACAATCTGCATTATTTTGTTTTTTCAATAATATACTACACATCAACCAAAACTAGCTGATCTATTTCCTAAAATATAAATATGCACAATAAAATGCCTATATGCCAGTAACAAACTTGTTAGATTAAAAAATATTTAAAACATCCCTTCTCAATCATCAAAACTCAACATGGTTATTAACAAAACGTTTCCTCATTCGCAGTAATATCTCCCCTCCATTTGATCATTTTTCTTATTCATTTTGCTTCCTATTCCACGATTTCCTTCAACATTTTCTCAACTTTCCTGGGGACTTATCTTGCAACACTAAGCTAAATATGAAATACACTGGAGAAACATGTTCACTTGAAGCGTACAATGGCAGAGAATTACTCAGCTAAGTCTAACTCTGAGATGCCTTTCAGCAACATCCAAAATGAATGTTCTTCTTGCTACCACTTGTCAAGATTTTCAAAATCCCTACACATGACTCCACCAATTGTATTAAGAAAAAAACTTCTTATTTTTATTAAAATCATTTTACAAGGAATTTAGTTGAATTTGATGGGTATAAATATAAAATTTCTCCATAAAATATTGAATGAAAAATGTTGTGCTAGGAGGTATGTATGTTATATAAAGTTTGGCTAATAAGAGAACTCTCCACCAGAAATATTCGAACTGGTGAAAAAAATCTGCAACTATACCTGTATGTGGATGTTTCCTGCTCCAATCTATCAATATTTGTTTTATAAATGATGAGTTTAGTCTATTCACATTTATTGTTATATTTATATATTTGAACCTATTTCCACCACATAATTTACTTTTTTGGCTTATTCCACATTTTTCTGAATTTATCCATCTATTCTTACTTTTCTAAAAATATTATTTTCCTCTAACCAAATAGAACTTACATTCTTTGATATTCTCTCGACACCCATCATATTTCTATTACTCAACATATTTAATTCTACATCACCATGAATAAATTTCTCCTTTTTTAAAGACAATACACTTCGGTATTTTATTACCTTTGCTTTTTTTACACTGATAAAATATTCTGGATTATTCTCTTTAGTATTTAAATATTTTATCCGAAACTATTTTCAATAAGTGTCTCTCTGTGACAAACATCTGAGAATATTTTTATTATGTCCTCATATTTTAGTAGCAATTTGTCTGAATATAACTAGAATAAAAATTCAAACACTTTAAAAATATATTATTTCACACTTCTATTTTCCTATCAAAGAGATAGTGATCAGGAAAGAATGACTACCCCACTTCACAACAACAACAAATAAAGAGAAACGATCAGGTTTGTGATTTGGACCAACTGGAGTGCTGAGCTCACAGAGAAACCAACAGGTCCTAAATCTAAGGAGAGACGTGCCTACAGGAGAGATATGAGGCATAAACTAGTTTATCTTAACAAGAGGCATTCGGACAGTAGTAAGGAGAATTCAGCTAGAGGAATTGGCAAGTTGATGGAGGATAAGAGGGCACTGGTGATAGATCATTAAGCCTGTAGATGGTGCAAGAACTGGGGGAGTCCACACTCAAGTCTCTTACAAACCCTACTGGGCACACACAGAAAAGATTGAGAGACTCCTGAGAGCCTCCCTTATTCTCTTCCCCCTTTCTGGAACAAAAGCCTTAACTGGTGGGGCCACAAATATTGTCACCCTCAGGGCACTGGTGAAGACCCATTGTAACTGGAGAAAGGTAACAGGAAAAAAACATTCCTCCACCCCTAGCTGAAGAGAACCACATTGGGGAAGAGATCCAGCATGAAAAAGGCCAGTCCTTGAGGCCCAGGGACACAGTGCCTGCCAAAGATGGAAGCTCAATCAGAACAAAAGAGTGTCTCCCTCATTGCCATGGCTAGGCTAGCAAGCATGGAATAAAACTTGCAGGAGACACAGCTTCTCTTCAGTGCAAGGCACAGTGAAGACCTTAGGCTCGAGGGTGAAGCATGCATTGAAAATACTCTCATGGAAAACCAGCCTCTACCCTAAACACACGACATTGCTAGGGAAATATGAAGTCCATAACTCACTAAGCATAGCCCTAACAAAAACCTCAAATCCAGCCCAACTCCTAGTTATATTTATTCAAACAACCATTCTAAAGGCTTAGCAGAAAGAAAAATATCTCTCTTTTTCAGGCAAGAAAAATATTTACCTCAATGTCTAATGTCTTTCACAAGATGTCTGTCTTTCAACAAAAAATTACAACACATGCAAAGAGGCAAGAAAAAACAACACACTGCCCTCTCCTGAAGAAAAAATAACCATCAGAACCAGACTCTGGTATGACACATATGTGGGGACTATGCAACAGTGAATTTTAAATAAGTATAAGGACTTTAAAGAAAAAGGCAAACCAGGTGCAAGACTTAGTGGATAATATCAGCAGAGAAATAAAGCTATTAAAAAAACAAAATGAAAATGCTGGAAATGAAAAATGTAGTAACAGACATGAAAAATGCATTTAGCTGGCTTATCAACAATGTCAACAAGCTAAAGAAGCAAGGAAGTTGAGGATCTCAAAAATTACTCAAACTGAAGCACATAGACAAAATACAAAGAGAAAAACAGAACAGGAAATCCAAGAGTTGTGAAACAAATCAAATGGCCTAATAAACAGGCAATTGTAATGGCAGAAGGAAAAGAAAGCAATAATGGGGCAGTTGAAATATATGAAGAAATAATCATCAAGGATTTTCCAAGATTAATGACAGATGCCAAACCACCAATCTAAGAAACTCAGAGAATACCAAGCAGAATAAATGCCAAGACAAACAAGGAAACAAACAAAAAGTACATCTATTCATAGAGTAGTCAAATGGTGAAAGCAAAAGACAAAGAGAAAATATTGAAGGCAGCCAGAGAAAAAAAGACTCATTATATAGAAGAATAAAGATAAAAATTATATCACATTTTCCTTAAGATATTATGAAAGGTAGAAAACAATGGAGTAACATTTTCAAAGTGCTGAAAGAAATAAAAATTGTCAACCAAATGAAAATGTCTTTCAAAAATAAAAGGGAAATACTTTGCCTGACAAACAAAAACAGGAAATTCACCACCAGCAGATCTACATTGCAGGAGATATTAAAGGATGTTTTTCAATCAAAAAGAATATAACGCAGGACAGAAACTTGGATCTACACAAAGAAATAAAAGGTCAAGAAATGGAATATGTAAAAGTAAAATACTATTAAGAGAACTTAAATTTTTCCATTTTTATTTATTCTAAAAGATAACCAATGGTCTAAAGCAAAAATAGTAGCAATGTATTGAATGTTTATACCATGTGCTATATAGCATAAAAATGGGAAGAAGAAACCAGGAATACATGACTGTAAGGTTTTTAGTCTACACATGAAGTAGTATAATTTTATTTAAGGGTACACTCTGGTTATACCCCATAAGTATACAGGAAAAGTGGGAAAAAATGAAAAATAGATGGAACACATAGAAAAATACTAACAAGGTAGTAAAATTAAGGGCAAATATATCAATAATCATGTTACATGTGAATAGTACAATGGTATAACATATCAGTTAAAAGACAGACATTACCAGCTTGGATTACAGAAAGAGAGTGGGGTAGCACTAAACAATATGCTATCTGCAAGAACCCACAGCACATATAAAGACAAAGATAGATTAAAAATTAAAAGTATGAGATTTCTGCTTCAGGGAAGATGAAGTAAATATACTTTCCCCATTCCTCCAGCTAAGCACAGTCATCCCTCAGTGTCTGCGGAAGATTGACTCCATGATCCCAGAGATATCAAAGTTCTTGTATACTCAAGTCTCTTATACAAAATGGTATAATATTTGCATATAATATACTCACATACTTTAAGTTATCTCTAGGTTACTTATAATACCTGATACATTGTAAATGCTGTGTAAATAGTTGTTAACTGTATTTTTATTTTTACTAATTTATATTGTGTTGTTAATTTTTTTCTAATTTTTTTAGCTGTGGTTGTCTGAATCTATGGATGTGGAACCTGTGGATATGGGGAGCTGACTGTATAATTAAATATCCTGGAGTTATATACAAAGCAAACAGAAGAAAACTGAAAGGTGTAAAGAGAAGAAGGAAGACCTTTAGATACCTTATGTCCTAAAGAATAACACAATGATGAGTTCCCAGTGTATTCCTTTTGTCTCATACAGGCATACTTCATTTTATTGTGCTACACTTTCTGAAACTTTCTAGATATTGTTTTTTTTTTAACTGAGGGTTTATGGCAACAGTGCCTTAAGCAAGTCCATTTTTCCAACAGCATGTGCTCATTTCATGTTTCTGTGCCACATTTTGGTAATTCTCACAATAACTCAAACTTTTATTACTACTATTATTATTATTATTATTATTATTATTTTAATAATAATTCAAAGCAAAGCTCTAACTCTTCAATTCTTTGTAGGCCGAGAGAGGTGAGGAAGCTGCAGAAGAAAAGTTAGAAGGTAGCACATGTTGGTACATGAGGGTTAAGGAAAGGTGCTGTCTCTCTCTCCATAGCACAAAAGTGCAAGGTGAAGCAACAAGTGCTGACATAGAAGCTACAGCAAGTTATCCAGAAGATCTAGCTAAGACAAGTTATGAAGGTGGCTACACTAAACAACAGATTTTCAGTGGAGGTAAAACAACTTTATATTAGAAAAAGATGCCAACTAGAAATTTTATAGCTAGAGAGGAAAAGTCCATGCCTGGCTTCTAAGCTTCAAAGGACAGGCTGACTCTCTTGTTAGGGGCTAATGAGGCTGGTGACTTCAAGTTGAAGCCAATTCTCAATTACCATTCTGAAAATCCTAAATTTACTCTGTCTGTGCTCTACAAATGGAACAACAAAGCATGGATGATAACATTTTTGTTTAAAGCATGGTTTGCTGAATAATTTAAGCCCACAGTTGAGACCTACTGCTCAGGAAAAAAAAAAAAAATTCCTTCCAAGATATTTCTGCTTACTGACAATGCACCTAGTCACCTAAGAGCTCTGATGGAGATGTACAAGGAGATTAATACTGCTTTCATGTCTGCTAACACAACATCCATTTTACAGTCCATGGATCAAAGAGTAATTTCAACTTATAAGTCTTATTATTTAAGAAATATATTTTATTGGACATGGCGGTGCATGCCTGTAGTCCCAGCTATTCGAGAGGCTAAGGCAGGAGAATCACCTGAACCCAGGCAGCAGATGTTGCAGTGAGCCGAGATCACACCACTGCACTCCAGCCTGGTGACAGAGTGAGATTCTGCCTCAAAATATATATGTATATATTTTGTAAGGCTATAGCTGCCAGAGTTAGTGATTCCTCTGATGCTTCTGGACAAAATAAATTGAAATGTGAAAAGAATTCACAATTTTAGAACCATTAAGAACATTTTTGATTCATGGAAAGAGGTCAAAATATCAACATTAACACAAGTTTGGAAGAAGTTGATTCCAACCCTCACGGATGACATCCTCCAAGACTTCAGGAGAGGAAGTCACTGCAGATGTGGTAGAAATGGCAAGAGAATTAGAATTAGAAGTGGAGGTGAAGATGTGACTGAAATGCTGCAATCTCATGATAAAACTTGAAGAGATGAGGAGTTGCTTTCTGTCAATGAGCAAAGAAAGTGATTTCTTGAGATGGAATCTGCTCCTGGTGAAAATACTGTAAGCATTGTCGAAATGACAACAAAAGATTTAGAATATTGCATACATTTAGTTGATACAGTGGCAGGGTTTGAGAGGATTGACTTTAATTTTGAAAGAAGTTCTACAGGGGTCAAATGCTATTAAGCAGCATTGCATACTACAGGAAAGTCTTTCATAAAAAGAAGAATCAATTGATGAGGCAAACTTCATTGTTGTCTTACTTTTTAAATTACCACAGCCACCCCAACCTTCAGAAACCACCACCTGGGTCAGCCAGCAGCCACCAACAACAAGGCAAGGTCCTCCTCCAGCAAAAACATTATGACATGCTGAAGGCTCAGATGATCGGTTGCATTTTCTATCAACAACGTGTTTTTTAATTAAGGTTCCTACTTTGTTTTTTAGACACAATGCTATTGAACACTTAATAAACTATAATATAGCATAAAGATAATTTTTACATGCCCTCAGAAGCCAAAAAGTTGTGTAACTTGGTTTATTGAAATATTTGCTTTACCGCAATGGTGTAGAACTGAACCCACAATATCTTACAGGTATGCCTGTGTAGTTCAGACTCGGGGTTGAAGAAACTGGCAACCCAGAGACACCAAAGATAAAATAAGCCCAAACAAAAGCCCTCTCTCTATAAACAAAGGAGCAGGAAAGAGGTAGCAAGACAGAAAATTTTGAACAACAATCACTCTGTTGCAAACAAACATCACTGGGAAGCCTATAGCTGCATTCACACAAATGCTAACAAAAGTCAACTGAGGAGCCTAGACTTCCACCCTCACCAGGCTGTACAAGGGACTTCAACTTCCCTGCTGAGGTGGTATCAGGAAAGGCCAAGTAGGGAGCCAGAACTTCATTTCCATCAGCCAGTAAGAAAACCTCCCTCACCCACACACCTCCAGTGGAGACCATATAGACAGCCTGGACTTCTACTCTAACCCATCAGTAGCAAGGCATTTCTCCACCTTCCTGCTGGGGTGGTGTCAGAGGAAGCCTAGTGGAACATCAGGACCTCACTATCACTCAGAATTAACAAGACCATCTCCACTGCACTGTCAGTGGAGAGCACACTGGGAGCCAGAACTCCCAACCTCACCCAGCAGTAAAGAACAGCTCCTGCCTTGGGTGCCAATAGAGGCTGACTGGAGAACCTGGACTTCTGCTTCCCCCTGTCAGTAATAAGGTAGAAATGCTCCCTTTCCCTTTTAAAGCAGTGTCAGCAAAAGCCAGCTAAAAGAGATTTAAATATGATCCAGAGTCTCATAATATCATATGAAAAAATTTCAATTAAAAATCACTAGTCAAAAATCCTCAATAAAATACTGGCAAACCGAATCCAGAAGCACATCAAAAAGCTTATCCACCATGATCAAGTGAGCTTCATCCCTGGGATGCAAGGCTGGTTCAATATATGCAAATCAATAAATGTAATCCAGCATATAAACAGAACCAAAGACAAAAACCACATGATTATCTCAATAGATGCAGAAAAGGCCTTTGACAAAATTCAACAACACTTCATGCTAAAAACTCTCAATAAATTAGGTATTGATGGGACGTATCTCAAAATAATAAGAGCTATCTATGACAAACCCACAGCCAATATCATACCAGATGGGCAAAAACTGGAAGAATTCCCTTTGAAAACTGGCACAAGACAGGGATGCCCTCTCTCACCACTCCTATTCAACATAGTGTTGGAAGTTCTGGCCAGGGCAATTAGGCAGGAGAAGGAAATAAATGGTATTCAATTAGGAAAAGAGGAAGTCAAATTGTCCCTGTTTGCAGACGACATGATTGTATGTCTAGAAAACCCCATTGTCTCAGCCCAAAATCTCCTAAAGCTGATAAGCAACTTCAGCAAAGTCTCAGGATACAAAATCAATGTACAAAAATCACAAGCATTCTTATACACCAACAACAGACAAACAGAGAGCCAAATAATGAGTGAACTCCCATTCACAATTGCTTCAAAGAGAATAAAATACCTAGGAATCCAACTTACAAGGGATGTGAAGGACCTCTTCAAGGAGAACTACAAACCACTGCTCAAGGAAATAAAAGAGGATACAAGCAAATGGAAGAACATTCCATGCTCATGGGTAGGAATAATCAATATCGTGAAAATGGCCATACTGCCCAAGGTAATTTATAGATTCAATGCCATCCCCATCAAGCTACCAATGACTTTCTTCACAGAATTGGAAAAAACTACTTTAAAGTTCATATGGAACCAAAAAAGAACCCTCATCGCCAAGTCAATCCTAAGCCAAAAGAACAAAACTGGAGGCATCATGCTACCTGACTTCAAACTATACTACAAGGCTACAGTAACCAAAACAGCATGGTACTGGTACCAAAACAGAGATATAGATCAATGGAACAGAACAGAGCCCTCAGAAATAACGCCGCATATCTACAACTATCTGATCTTTGACAAACCTGAGAAAAACAAGCAATGGGGAAAGGATTCCCTATTTAATAAATGGTTCTGGGAAAACTGGCTAGCCATATGTGGAAAGCTGAAACTGGATCCCTTACTTACACCTTATACAAAAATCAATTCAAGATGGATTAAAGATTTAAATGTTAGACCTAAAACCATAAAAACCCTAGAAGAAAACCTAGGCAATACCATTCAGGACATAGGCATGGGCAAGGACTTCATGTCTAAAACACCAAAAGCAATGGCAACAAAAGCCAAAATTGACAAATGGGATCTAATTAAACTAAAGAGCTTCTGCACAGCAAAAGAAACTACCATCAGAGTGAACAGGCAACCTACAAAATGGGAGAAAATTTTTGCAACCTACTCATCTGACAAAGGGCTAATATCCAGAATCTACAATGAACTCAAACAAATTTACAGGAAAAAAACAAACAACCCCATCAAAAAGTGGGCGAAGGACATGAACAGACACTTCTCAAAAGAAGACATTTATGCAGCCAAAAAACACATGAAAAAATGCTCACCATCACTGGCATCAGAGAAATGCAAATCAAAACCACAATGAGATACCATCTCACACCACTTAGAATGGCTATCATTAAAAAGTCAGGAAACAACAGGTGCTGGAGAAGATGTGGAGAAATAGGAACACTTTTACACTGTTGGTGGGATTGTAAACTAGTTCAACCATTGTGGAAGTCAGCGTGTTGATTCCTCAGGGATCTAGAACTAGAAATACCATTTGACCCAGCCATCCCATTACTGGGTATATACCCAAAGGACTATTAATCATGCTGCTATAAAGACACATGCACACGTATGTTTATTGTGGCATTATTCACAATAGCAAAGACTTGGAACCAACCCAAATGTCCAACAATGATAGACTGGATTAAGAAAATGTGGCACATATGCACCATGGAATACTAGGCAGCCATAAAAAATGATGAGTTCACATCCTCTGTAGGGACATGGATGAAATTGGAAATCATCATTCTCAGTAAACTATTGCAAAAACAAAAAACCAAACACCGCATATTCTCACTCATAGGTGGGAATTGAACAATGAGAACACATGGACACAGGAAGGGGAACATCACACTCGGGGAACTGTTGTGGGGTGGGGGGAGGGGGGAGGGATAGCATTGGGAGATACACCTAATGCTAGATGACGAGTTAGTGGGTGCAGCGCACCAGCATGGCACATGTATACATGTGTAACTAACCTGCACATTGTGCACATGTACCCTAAAACTTAAAGTATAATAATAATAAATTTAAAAAAAATCACTAGTCATACCATGAACCAGGGAAATCTCCACTGAGTTTAGGAAAAAAAAAAAAGATGATCAATAGATGCCAACATTGAGATGACAGAGATGTTAGAATTATCTGACTTAGATTTTAGAGCAGAAATAATAGAAAATGCTTTGACATGCAATTACAAACATGCTTTAAATGAATTGGTCTCATAGAGATGATGAATAGAATGGTGGTTACCAAAATCTAGGAAAGGTAGTAAAGAGATGGGGATAAAGAGGGGTTGGTTAATGGATACAAAAATTCAGCTGGAAGTCATAAGATCTAGTGTTCAATATCACAATAGGGCAACTATAGTTAATAATAACTTATTACGTATTTCAAAATAGCTAGAAGAGTAGATTTGGAATATTCTCAACACAAAGAAAAAACAAATGTTTGAGGTGGTGAAAATCCCAATTGTCTAGATTTCATCATTACACATTGCATGCTTATATCAAAATATCACATGTAGTCCATAAACTGTTAGGTATCCATATAAATTAAAAATTAAAATAAATACACAAATAATTTAAAGTTTGAAAAAATTAAGGCTAAAAGTACTCAAATAAATAGTAGCTGAAAACTTCTCAAACCTGGCAAGAGACATAAACCTACAGATTCAAAAAACTGAGCAAACCAAACAGTCTAAATACAAAGTATTATAAACTAAAATATGTCATAATTAAGTTTTTTTTAAAAAGACAAAGAAAATTTTTGAAAAAATGACACCATAACTATGTGAATAACCACAACTTAAATAATAGTGGATTTATCATCAGAAACCCTGAAAGAAAAAATGAAGTGGTACTTTCATTTAACACTTAATATTTCAAGAGTTATTTAACACTTAAAATTTAACACTTAATACCCAGTAAAAATATTTTTTAGGAATGAAGATATCAAGACACCCTCAGATGTAGAAAACCTAGGAGAAACTTGTCAAACGATCTACCCTAAAAGAACAGCTAACAAAAGTTTTCTAAACCACAAAGAAATGATAAAAGAAAGAAACTTGGAAGACCAAAAAGGAAGAAAGAACATGGTAAGAAACACATGGTTAAATAAAACAGGTTTTCTTTCTCTTGAGTTTTCTTAATTATGTTTGATAGTTGAAGGAAAAATTATCACACAACTGATGTCATTCTAAATATACACAGAAGAAATACTGAGACAGTTGTACTATAAATGAGGAAGGAAAAGAGACATAAAAGGAAGTAAAGTCTCTACACTTAATTTGAATAATGAAATGGCAACACTGGTAGATTGTGATAAATTACATATATATAAAATGTGAATTTTTACTCTGAATTGATCATTCCACATTGTATATATGTATCAAAATATTACATGTACCCTCAAAAAGATGTACATCAATAATATACCAATAAGAAATACAAGTAAATAAATAATTTTTTAAAAATAAAATGTAAACCATAGAAACACCACTAAAAAGAATATACATTGAAACACACTCAAAAACAGTACAGATAATTCAAAATAAAATTCCAAAAAATGTTTAAGTAACACAAAAAAAGGTGAGAAAAGAAAACAAATAAATGAAAAATGGGAAAACAAACAGAAAACAAAAAAATAAAATATTCTTAAGCCCTAACATGTCAATAATTGCATTAAATCTAAATGGTCTAAATACACCAATTCAAAAGAAATTGGCAGAGTGAATTTTTTTTTAATGATCCAACTATCCGCAGTTTAAAGGAAACTCACTTAAATGGAGCAACATAGGCAAGTTGAGAGAAAAAGGATGGAAAAAGTTGTATAGTAAAAATGTTAATCAAAAGATATCAGGAGAGCTATATCAATATTTGGTAGTGTAGACTTAAGCAAAGAAAATTACGAGAGACAGAGAGAGACACTATATATTGATATAAGAATGAATTTACTAAAAAAAAAAAAAGCAATCTTAAATCTGTATGCACCAAACGACAGAGCTGCAAAATATGTAAAGCAAAACTGATAGAAGTAAAAAGATAAACAGACAAATTCACAATTATAGTTGGAGACTTCAACACTCCTTTCTCAACAATTGATAGAACAACTAGAGAGAAGATAAGTAACAATATAGAAGAACTCAACAACACCATCAACCAACAGAACCTAATAGAACACTCCACACAACAACAGTAGACTATGTGTTCTTTTCAAATGCCCACAGAACATATACAAACGTAGACCGTATTCTTTGCCATAAAACAAACCTCAACAAATTTAAAGAAATAAATATCATACAGATTGTGTTCTCCAGTTACAGTGAAATAAAACTAAAAATCAATAATAGAAAGAGAACAAGAATGTCTTCAGACATTTGGAAACTAAAAAACACGCTTATAAATAATCCATAGGCCAAAGAGAATGTCTCAAGGGAAATTTTAAAAACACATTTAACTAAATGAAAATGAAAATACAACCTATCAAAAATGTGGGGCATAGTTAAAGCAGAGTGAAGAGTGAAATTTATAGCACTAAATGCATTTGTCAGAGAAGAGGAAAAGTCTCAAATCAATAATCTAAATTACCACCTCATATGAAAAACAGCAAAAATACCCAAAGCAAGTGGGAGAAAGAAAATAATAAAGATAAGAGCAGGAACCAATGAAACTGAAAACAGAAAACCAATGAAGAAAATCGATGAAACTAAGAGCTGATTCTTTGAAAATCAATAAAATTGACAGAGAAGACACAGGTTACCATATCAGGAATGAAATAGTTACATCAACACTGGCCCTGCAGACATCAAAAGGAATAATAAGAATATTATCAATAACTCTACATATATAAATGTGACAACTTAGATAAAATGGACCAATTCCTCCAAAAACACAAACTACCCCAATTCACCTAATATGACACAGATAATTTGAATATCCCTATAACTATTAATGAAATTGAATTTATAATTTATAGGCTCCCGAAAAAGAAATCTCTAGGACCAGATGGTTTGGACGTTCTACCAAATGTTTAAACAAGAATTAACACCAATTCTACACTATCTCTTCCAGAAAATAGAAGATAAGAGAACATATCCCAATTCATTTTATGAAGCTAGTATTACTCTGATACCAAAATCTGGCAAAGATGGTACAAAAAATAAAACTACAGACTGATATTCCTCATGAATATGGACACAAAAAAATACTTAACAAAATATTAGCAAATAGGATTTAGCACTATATAAAAAGAACTATACACCATGTCCAAGTGGGGTTTATTCCAGGGATTCAATATTCAAAATTTCAAAATCCATGCTTTGTTCAATATCTCAAAATCAATAAATGCAACCCACCATATTAACAGGCTAAAGAGGGAAAATTATATGATCATAGCAATTGATACAGAAAAAGTGTTTATCAAAATTCAAAACTCTGAAACAACCAAGATGTGAATAAATGTGAATCAGTAAGTAAATGGCTGAATAAATTGTGTTACATCCAGACAATAGAATACTATTCAGCACCAAAAAGAAATGAACTATCAAGCCATGAAAAGGCATGGAGAAAACTAGAATGCATATTAGAAACCAATCTGAAAAGGCTACATGTTGTATGACTCTGACTATATGATATTCTAGAAAAGGCAAAACTATGGAGACAGTAAAAAGATCAGAGGTTTCCAGGGTTTGATGCAGGAAAGAGAGTGAATGAGTGAAACCAAGATGATTTTTAGGGCAATGAAAACACTCTGTATAATTCTATAATGATGAATACATGTCATCATGCATTTGTCTAAAGTCATAGAATTTACAATACCAAGAGCAAACCCTAATGTAAATTATGGGCTTCGGTTCATAGTGATATGTCAATGTAGGTGCATCAGTTGTAACAATGTATCACCCTGATGGGGAATGTTGATAGTCGGGGAGGCTGTGCATATATGGGGTAGAGGACATATGGGAAATATCTGTAACAGCCTCTCAATTTTGCCATAAAACTAAAGCTGCTCAAAAAGAAAGTCTTCCAAAAAAGATGAATAAGATTTTCAAAATTCAACAACCATTTATAACAAAAATGATGAGAAAAAATAGAAAGGGACATTCCCTTAACTCTTTAAAGAGTATCTATAAAATAGCTACAGATTGCATTGTATGTAATAGTGAAAGATTAAATGTTTTCCCCCTCATATCAGAAACAAAGCAAGGGTGCCTATTTTCCCCACTCTTATTCAAAATTGTGCTAGAAGTTTTAGCTAGTGCAGTAAGTCATGGAAAGGAAATAAAAGGCATAGAGATCACAAGAGAAAAAAATATGTTTTCCCTGCTTGCAGATGATACGACTGTGTATGTAAGAAACCCCAAAGAATCTAAAAGAAAAGCTCCTGTAACTAACATTTGAGCTCATCAAGATCTTAGGATATAAGATAATATACAGAAATCACTGTAATTCTATACATTAACAATGAACAGAGACACGGAAGTTTAAAATGCATTATCATTACAATTATTTTTTAAAAAGAGAAAGACTTAGTTATAAATGCAACAAAATATATGCAAACTTGTACCCTGAAAACTATACAGTACCAATGAAAGATATCGAAGATCTCTTAAAAATGGAGAGTTGTACCATGTTCATTGATTTTAAGACTCAGCATAGTCAACTATGTCAATTCTTCCCAAAATGATATACAGATTTAATACAATACCTATCAAAATTTTATCAAGATGTTTTGTGATGTAAACAAGACTATTCTAAAATTTAAATAGGAAAGCAAAGGAACTAGAATTGCTAAAACAACTTTTGAAAGACTAATAAAGTGGTCATTCTAATTTATGACTTATTATATAGCCACAGTACTCCACTATGAGGTATTGGTGCTAATCACTTTGATGTGACACATAGATCAGTGGAACAGAGGAAAGAATCCAGAAACTGTCCCACACAAATATGTTCAACTGCTTTTTGGCAAAAGCACAAAAGCAATTCAATGGCAGAAAGCCTTCTCAACAGCATCCACAGACAATAAAAAGATGAACCTCAACCAAAGTCTCACACTTTAACAAAAATTAACTAAAATAATCATGGACTTAAATATAAAATGTAAAACTATAAAACCTTAAGAAAGAAAGGAGAAAATTTTTGGAATCTAGAATTAGGCAAATTGTTCTCGAATTTAACACCAAAACCATTATCTATAAAAGGAAAAATTGCTAAATTGGACTTACTCAAAATCAAAAATTTGCTTTCTAAAAGATCCTGTTAACTGGTTAAAAGACAAACTATAGACTGGGAGAAAATGTCTGCAGACCACATAGTTGACAGAAGACTAGTATCTAGACTATATGTATAAAAAAACCTCTTAAAATTCAACAGTGAAGAAACAATAAAATTAGAACATGGACGCAAAAAAGTGAAAAGACATTTCATTCAGTAGACGTGCTATATTCACTGAAAAGGATATAGCAAATAAATACAAAAAAGCTATTGAGCATTGTTAACCATCAAGGAAATCCAAATTTAAACCATAATGATTTATTATCACACACCTATCAGAATGGCAAAAATAAAAAATTGGGACAAAACCAAATGCTAGTGAGGATTCAGAGAAACTAGAATATTCATATATTCATTGCTAGTGAGAATGTAAAATAGAACAGCAATTCTGGAAAAGTTTGGCAGTTCCTTGAAAAATAAGCATGCAACTATCATTTGAAACAGCATTTACTCTCCCAGGCATTTATCTCAGAGAAAAAAGTATGTTCACAAAAAGACTTGTATATGAAATTTTTTTGGTAATAGTCCAAATCTGGAAATAGATGTCCTTCTGGGTGAATGGTTAAACAAACTGTGGTACACCTATATGATGGAATACTACTCAGCAGTAAAAAAGAAAATGCTATCAATACACACAACAACTTGTATGGCTCTAAAGGGCACTATGCAGAGTGAAAAAAAGTCAAGCTCAAAACGTCAAATGCTGTATGATTCCATTTCTACAACATTTTGAAATGATAAAAATTATAGAAATGGAAACGGTGAGTACAGGAGGAAGGTGGATGTGGCTAAAAAAGAGTAACATGAGGGATTGTTGTGGTGATAGAATTGTTCTGTGTCTTGGCTGTGTCAACATCAGTATCCTGGCTGTGATATTGTGCCGTGGTTTGCAAGATGCCTGATAGGGTTTGGATCTGTGTCCCTGCCCAAATCTCATGTCGAATTGCAATCCCCAATGTTGGAGGAGGGGTGTGGTGGGAGGTGATTGGATCATGGGGGCTAATTTCTCCCTTGCTGTTCTCACGATAGTGAGTTCTCACAAGATTTGGTTGTTTAAAAATGTGTAGCACCTCCCCCTTCACTCTCTTTCTCCTACTCCAGCCACATAGGACGTACCTGCTTCCCCTTCACCTCTCGCCATGATTCCAAGTTTCCTGAGGCCTCCTCAGCCATGCTTCCTGTACAGGCTGTAGGGCCGTGACTCAATTAAATCTCTTTTCTTTATATATTAACCAGTCTCAGGTGGTTCTTTATAGCAATGTGAGAACAGACTAACACAATGTCACTATTAGGAGTAATGTGAAAGAGAGTACATGGGACCTCTCTGTATTATTTCTTACAACTGCACGTAAGTTATCTCAAAATAAAAAGTGTAATTAAAACAAAACAATGTGCAAGCAACAACAACAATAAAGGATGAAAATGATAAATGAAGTATTTGGGGGTCCTCAGATCACCACTACGTCTGGAGATTTGCTAGATGGACTCACAGGACTCAGCATATAGTTCTACTCCCAGCTAACATTTATTACGGTGAGTAGTAAAGACACACAGCCATATTACAAAGAAAAAGAGAACAGTTGGGTGTGGTGGCTCATGCCTGTAATTCTAGCATTTTGGGAGGCTGAGGTGGGTGGATCATGAGGTCAGGAGTTCAAGACCAGCCTGGCCAAGATGGTGAAACCCCATCTCTACTAAAAAAAAATACATATACATACAAAAATTAGCTATGCGTTGTGGCAGATGCCTGTAATCCCAGCTACTCAGGAGGCTGAGGCAGAGAATTGCTTGAACCCAGGAGGCAGAGGTTGCAGTGAGCCAAGATCACCCCACTGCACTCCAGCCTGGGTGACAGAGCAACACTCTGTCTCAAAAAAAAAAAGACAGAAGACATGTCTAGAGGAATCCATATGCAGGCTTCCTTATGCTTTGTCCCTCCCATAACAAAGAAAATGCAGCAACATGTGTGCAGTGTTTCTACCCAGGGAAGCCCAAGAGAGACACAGCACTCAAAGGTTTTACTGGGGGCCAGTCATGTTGGCACTCTCTGCCTAACACATTGCAAAATCCAGACTCCCCAAAGGAAATCAGATGTTCAGCACAAACCACATTGTTTGCACACTGAGCTATCCTTATCAGTGAGGGAATGGTGGGAATACACCGAAATCCAAATTTCCAGATCTTAGCCAAGAGTCAACCTTGCCATAGGCCTTTGTAAGAATGGCAACCTACGCCTAATATGATAACTCTTCACTGCACACTATGCAGACACTAACCAAAGGAGAGCTAGAGGGCTATTTTAATCAAACAAAGTAGATTTACAAATAAGAAGTATTATCAGGGATAAATAGGGCATGACATAATGATGAAGGGTTTCATTCTCAAAAATAAGAATCTTACCTGTGTATGCAATAAGTTACAGGGCTTCAAAATATATGAGTGAAAGCTTCTATGACTGAAATAGAAATAACCAACCTCACAATTATAGTTGAACTCCTCAACAGCCTTCTCCAAGTAATTAACAGAACAAGTAGGCAGAAAACCACTAAGGATATAAAAGTCCTGAACAACACTCTAGGACAAATTTGACCTAATTGACACAGAATACACATTCTTCTTAAATTTACATGGGACATTCACCAAAATGCACTACATTCTTGGACATAAAATAACCTTAACAGAATTAAAAGTATAGAAATTATACTAAGTACAGGCTCAAGCTATAAAGGAATGAAACTAGAAATCAGTAACAGATATTTGGAAAATATCTAAATATATGGACATTAAGCAATACTACTACTAAAAGAGAGAAAGTCTCAAGGAAAATTTTAGAAATATTTTAAGCTGAATGAAAATTAAAGTACAGAATATCGTGGTTTGCAGGATGCAGCTAAATCAGTGCTTAGGTGGAAACGTGTAACATTAAATGCTTACGTTGGAAAAGAATGGAGATCATACATTAGCAATCCAAGGTTCCACCTGAAGAAGAGCAAATTAGACCCAAAGCAAAAAGAAAGAAGGAAATCATACAGTTAAGAGCAGAAATCAATAAGGTTGAAAGTGGAAAAAAAAATAGAGAAAAATAAATAAAATTCCAAACTGGATTTTAGGGGGAAAAAAGCAGTAAAAGTGATACACTTCTAGTCAGACTGCCCAATTAAGAAAAAGAGAAAAAGACAAAAATTAGTGGTTTAGGGAAGTAAAAAGGAGATATCACTACTGCTCCTTTAGTTATTAAAATGGTAATGAAGAAATATTAGTAACAACTTTATGTTAATAAATTTGAAATCTTGGATGAAATGAATCAATTCTTTGAAAGACACTGGCCACCAAAACTCACTCAAGAAGATATAGCTACCCTGAATAGCCATATACCTATCAAGGAAATTAAAATTGTAGTTAAAATCCTCCAAAACAGACAACTCCAGGCTGACATGATTTACTGGCAAATTCTGTGAAACATTTAAGGAGGAAATTATACAAATTTCTACACAACCTCTACCAGAAAACAGAAAAGGAAAACATTTTCAAACTTATTTGATGAAGCCAACATTATTCTAATACGAAGACCAAGCAAAGATACTAGAAAAGTTTAATTTCAATGAAGTTCAACTTATTTTTTATTTTATGGTTTGTGCTTTCAATGCTGTTTCTGAAAACTTTTTGCCTAACCCAAGTTTACAAAGACCTTATATCCTAGATTTCCTTTAGAAGTTTGGATGTTAACCCAAAAGGTGCAAGATGATATTTGTAAATCACATAACTGACTTGTTTCCAGAATATATTAAATACTTTCAACACACAAGAAAAAAAACTTCAAATTTAAAAAATAGGCAAAAGGTCTGAACAGACACTTCATCAAGTCGATGACAAATAAGCATATGACAAGTGCCCAAAGTCACCAGTCATTAAGCAAGTGCATATCAAGACCACAGTGACATCTATATCATGTGTTGGCAAGGATGTGGAGCCACTGGAACTCCCATACAAACATTAGTTTGGTACCAGATTTTTCAACGCTAGAGATAATTGGTGTTTGTTTTTGTTTGTTTGTTTGTTTTTTACTTTTTATTTTGAAAGAAGATTTGCAACAGAAGAGTTGCAAAGATAAAGTTTCCTGTTCCCTTTCCTCCGTTTTCCCTCGTGTTTGCACCTTACATAAATACAGTAAATTGACAAAACTAATAAATTAACAATGGCATGACATTATTAACTAAATTATAGTCATTATTCACATATCACTAATTTTCCCCTCATGTCTATTTTCTATTTTGGCTCCAACCCTGAGTCCCACGTTGCACCTAGATGTCTTGTCTTCATGAGCTCCTTGAGCCTGCCACAGGTCTTCAGTCTTCCATTGTCTTGCATGATCTTGACACTTTTGAAGAACACTAGTCAGGTGTTTTGTAGAAAGTTTTCAATTGGGTTTTGTCTGATGATGTCTAATGTTTAGATTGAGAGGTGCTGTGCCCTACTCAGTGCATCCTATCAGGGATAAACGATGTTGATGTAACACTCAGGTAAGGTGGCATCTTCCAGGTTGCTTCACTATAAAATTTTTATTTCCTCTTTTGCAATTAAGAAGGTTTAAGGTTTTCCCTCATCTCTCCACTTTGGCACTATATGTCCCCTTTGGATCTGAGGTCTTTCTTTCTTTTTATTCCGGAAAATGTGTATGTAGTATTTCTCTCAAGAGTTTCTCTTTTCTACTTTTATTTCTTATATCCTTTGATCTCCTCCACATTGCTGGCTTTGTAGACTCCAGTTGAAGGATTTTCACTCTTCTACTTCTCTTTTCCAAGTCTTCTAGTTTTTTGTTTGTTTTTTCTATCATGTTCCTCAGAAATGTCTAAAAGCTGGTGTTCCAGATTATGAATTAATTCCTCAGCTATATCCATTTTATTAAATAACCCATCTTTATTCAACTGTTATACATTTCACATACAAATGTTTACTTTTTTCATTTTATGTTTTCTTGTTCTGTTTTATGATTTCTTTTCTTTCATTTAGTGTGTTTATTGGGCTTGTTTTAAACTCTTGGTCTAGACATTCTAATATTTCTGCTTCTGATGGAATCTGTAATGCACTATACCACTTTTCTTTTGAAATAGCTGTACCGCTCAAATGTCTCATTATATTTGCTAGTGACCCCCTTTTCCCTAGCACTGTCAGCTACTCTGTCAGACAATGAAAGCCAGAACCTGAGTCAATATTAGCCTAATTCGCTCAGATGAACAAACCCTAGTTGGGAGAACTTCAGGTACCAGAAAATGGCAGCCAATCACCCTCTACTCCACTAAACAACTACCTAGTTCAAGACTTTACTTTTCATCCATCCGGAAAGTACAGTAAAACAAGACACTTAGATAATTCAGGCAGGGGTAGAGAAGTGGGGGTAGAGAGTGGGTTAGATGAGAAGAGGTATGTATGTGAGTTCCCACTTACTTTTGTCAGTTCCTAACCAGCTCAGGACTTTTGTCCTGCAGAAATTTTTCCTGGGGAGCACCTGAACCAGAGCTTGAGTTGCCATAGGTATGAGGACAGACTCTGCATTTTCTAAAGTAATGATGGAGGGAAAGCAAAACCAACTCCATAGGTTCTCATCTTCAATCACTGTGCCTGACTTGGTCTGCCCCAAGTCTACTTTCCCCACCCACGAGCTCAAAAATCTTCTATAACCCCAAGAGTTTTCTCACAGTTTTCCATTTAAGCTTCTGTTTTTACTCTAGAGCAAGTGGCTCAACCTCAGCACCATGGACATTTGAAGCCAGATAATTATTTGTTGTGTGGGGGCTGTGCTGTACATTGTAGGGTACATTGTGGCCTCTACCCACTCGATGCAAGCAGCAGCACTGCCCCAGCTGGGACCACCAAAATGTCTCCATATTGTCAGATGTCCCCTGGTGAGGGATCATTTTCGGATGAGAATCACTGTGATCTTGGGGCTGTGGGCTTGCACTCATGCTAGTAATGGCATTTTGGTAAGCATCATCAAAGAGCAGTCTCTCCTATATAACTGCACATGATAGGTGCTCGATAAGTATTGCTTCTCTTCCTTCTCTGCCCCTCCCCGCCAAAGGAAAAAGGTAAAAACAAAAATTGGGCCTTAAACCAGACCTACAATGCTGCTGGAGACAACTGAGAAGAAACTACAGAGGAGGTTACTGGGCATGCCTTTGAGGGCACGTGGCCCTCCATTGAGGGCAGGGGACTTCTCTGCCTGCTGATGGCGTAGAGTCCACTAGTCACTGCCAGGCAAACTTCCCTGCCTCCTAAGACCTGTGCAGTCACCAGAGCCAAGAAATCCACGCTGGACAGCTTAAGGCATCAGCTGATGAGCTGTCTCATCTGGGCAATGCACGGGCTTTAGCTCCCCTGCATTTAACTGGTATTAAAGATTAAAAAGCAAATTACCAAAGCAATCACAGCGAATCCACTTGTCTATATCTCGCTACGGCTCCCAAGCAGTTTGATATTTACTGTCAGCTGGCATTTAATTACTCAGCCAGATTTGGAGGCCATAATTGACAGAATGCTGAAAACTAATTCTTTAAAAGGACGCGTTCCCCATGCAAAAACACTTGGGCTCAGAGGTGACACCGTCTCCCTGTTCCAAGGATCAGAGAGACAGACACCAGAACAGATTGGCTTCTTCTCCCTACACTCCTCCCTACTGTTCTCTAGTTGATTTAGGTCTGCATGCCTGCCGGAGTCAGTGGGGAAAAGCAAATGAGACATTGAGACATGAAACATTTCCCCTTTCTAGCCATAAATCCACCCTAGTCCCAATTCTACAGAAAACTCCCATAGCCTAGAGAGGGACCTGCCTCCAAGGCAGAACTATGAAGCCAACAGAGCCACCTTTGTGCCAAGTATGAAGGAAGAAATCCCAGTTAAAGGCACAGTGGGAGGAACATCCGGGTAGCGCTGACTATGTAATTACATATTTCTGAAGCGTCACTGCACATTGTAAAAATCTCCACCTCACCCTTGCTGCCCATGTCTCTTGTCACTGAACGTTGTCCTGACTTCCTAATCCTGCATCAATTATATCATGCACTATTGAATAATTTAGACACTAAAACTAGACTGGACTCAGCAGCATACGTTACAGAAAAGGGGGCGATGCCGTTCCACAGAAATACGGAAAAGGTAGTAATCGATCAGTCATTTCTCCCCCTAATCTGTCAAGGTTGCCGTCCATAACAACTGGGCTCAGTGCTACACTGAAAATACAGAGATCCTAATACAAAGAGAGGAGCTGATAGCACACTTGTCCCCAGCTGTTTTTTTGGAGGTTTATTTTTAAATAAATAATTCCAAAACTCTTAAAAAGGGCATGTTTTCAAAAAAGATTTAAAAATTTTCCCTAATATTCCTACATTTCAACTAGCAAATCATCGAGATCAGGTATCAATAAGAGGGAAAACGCCTTTGTTTTCTGGTTTGTTTCTTTTCTCAAGCATTTAGGCTCAAGGGGAGAGGGGGCATTTTTTAAAGAGGGATAGAAGGAAAAGGGCTGGAGGAAAGCCTGACTTTGATGGAATGATTGCTGGAAACCTGTGCTCCCCAGCATAGGTTTGTCCTGGTCTCAGCCTGCTGTTCACTGCCTGTCTGGTCTTTCCTCCTCCTCAGGAGGAAATGGCAGTTCTATTTGAATCTGTGCAAGGCCAAACTCTCCAAGCCTTGACGAAATCACAGTTAGGAATTTTACAAACTAGACTTCCATACACATGCACCGGGCTTTCCGTGGAGAGATCGACAGACTGGGGCTATTTTGGATGTCCCACTTAAAGCCGCGGGGGTGCCCTGTGCAGAGAGCTGGCGCTGCTGGGCTCGGGGCTGGGGCGCAGCTGCGGGCGGTTCTCTGGGCAGAACCGCGGAGAGCAGATGCTCGCGCTGCAGCGCAAGTTGGGGAGTATTAGGTGCCTGGATTTGCTCCAGCAGCCCTGTGACTGCACAAGGCCAGGGTGTTCCCTGGCTCTGGCCTCCCATATACACCTCTCCCCAAAGCGCTGTCGCCCCTGAAACTTCATGGACCATGGCCTCCCTGCCGTCAGTCCTGGGAGGATTCATGGAGCGTATATCTAGCCAGTTGATTGTCTATTTTAAGAAATTAATAAAAGAGCAAGTACCAACTATTCCTTCAAAATCTCTGTCACCACACATCTGCTCATAGGAGGTGATGGCATGAACCCCACTCCACTCCCAGCAGCCCGCTGTCTTCACCCTTAGATGTTCTAGCTTGGGGTAGGGAAGCTCTGCCATGCCCCCTTCCTTTCACACATTGTTAGCAGGTAATCTTCATTCTCTTTTCCTTGTTACCAAACTGGCAGGCTCAATGCTCAAGCCCCCATGAATTTCAGATCTCAACAGAGAATATCGACTTTAAAAAAAAAAAAAAAAAACACATCTACCTAAAAATAATGTAGAAACCAGAATTTTTATTTTTCAAAAATTAAAGCAAAAATACCTACAATCTTCATCAGTACTTACATTTTGATGCGTTTCTTTCCAACATTTTCTAAAATAAAATTTATGTTTTTGCACAACTAGGATTATGTAATTATTTATTTTTATACCCTGCACTTTTTAATTTTTCACAAGCATTTTCCCATTAAAAAGTGTTCAAAAGCTCCATTTAAAATGGAAACATAACACTCCTGTAGCAGGGAGGCACCCTCACTTATTTAACAATCCTTGAATTGTTGGGCATTTAAGTGTTTCCATTTTTTTCACGATGAATAACTTGGAATGAACATCTTTGGATATACACCTCTGACCCTCCATTGATTACATTCTCAGGTTTCTAAAAGTGGAATTACTGAGTCAAAAGATATGAACATGTTAAAGCTCTTAAAATAAATTGCAAAATTTACATCCAGAGAGGTTGCTTCGATTTATACTCCCACGAGCCTGTATTAACTTCACTTTTTAAAATCTTTAATAATCTCATAGCCCCAAAATTGTATGTAGTCAAAGTTATTGATCCAGTCTTCTGTAATTCTTTTTACTATTCCAATGCTAAGAATAACCATCCTCATTCAGAAGGCAGAAAAATAGCCATCTAAATATCTTCTAGTTTTTTACAAGATTTATTCTCTTACATTTAACTCAGTAATCTATGTGAAATTAGAGCATGTATAAAGAGAGGATCTCTTTGGGGGCACAAGCCCCCTTTTCCCATTCCTCCAAGCTTCCATGGAGAGGGCTGTCTTCCTTGCTTGTTTGTTTTTTACACAAGACAAGCAACTTACCTGATTGTGTATGAGAGAGAATGCTAGGCTCTTCCTCTTTCCTCTTTGTCTCTGCACTCCCACTGGGGGTCCCAACTAGTCTGCCCCTCTGCCCTTGGCTTTGAGAGTTGGCCCCATGGGAAGACCTGACGTGTTTAATGCTGCCAGGGACTCCACCTGGGCAAGTCTCTCTAGCCCAGGTGGAAAGCATTAGCGAGCTGGTTTGCTAACACATCTAGACCCACATTCTCTACCCAGTCTCTGCAAGTAATCAGTGTAATATATTGACCTCTCTCTTTCTGACTATCTCTCAACTCATTTTAAACATGGGCAGTGTAGAGGAAGTTATTTATCAAATCCCCTAAAATCCCAACAATTTACAATGATTATTTTAAAATAACTAGGCAATATTTCTAACTAAATAATAGATCCCTTCCTCATTAATCCGTGAGTCTTTCTTTATGGTATATCATTGAATATTTATATACTTAAGTCGAGGCTATTCAGTCTTTTCTATATTCTATTGATAATACTGATTTATTCTGTTCTATACAGTACTATACAGTGTCATACCGTATCTGTACTACTGTATAGAACAGAATAAATCACTTATGACACTGATTCATTAGCCAGTATCATAGAGATTTATACTGTGTTCTATTATTTGTGTTTTAACAGATGCAATGATGATGTTATTCATTTGAATGGTCTGAGAGTAGCCCTGATGACAGTGATTTCCAAACTTCGGTGCACATTAGAATCACCTGGGAAGCTTGTAAAAACTAGGATGCTTAGGCTGCATGCTATACCACCAATGAAATCAGAATGTCTGGAGTTTTTTTTTTAATGTCTAGGTGATTCCACTGTGCAGCAAAGTTTAGGAGTGACTGCCTTAAAAGAAGACATGTGTGTGCAGCCAGGAGACCAGGAACCAAGGGTTTTCTGCCAACTTCTCAGCCGCCCTCACTTGCAGTCTTCACTTGCAGAAGATGAATAGGTTAGCACCTGGTCACTGCCTCGCACACTGGAAAGAGTTTCCATTAATGAAAGAATGTCTTTTCAATGGTTTGCACTCCCCAAAAGAAACATGCAGAATTATCTTTAGTCATGAACTTTACTAGCAATAAAAAGTATACTCACATAGACCCAATCCCTGTTTTTCCAGGGGATTATATGGTAGAGCAGACAATGGATGTGTCAACCCACCGGAAACACAGACTGCATCACAAAAGCACGATGCTTAGACCCACAAATTAAGAAGAAACCACTAAATAATTAGAGTATGCATTCATTTTATCCATTCAAAGTATTTTGACAAGGTTGGAAAAAAATTCTTTTTGGTTTATAACATTTGCAGAGCCTTGAACTTGCGCCAGACTAGAGAAAAAATGCCTAGAATTTCTATAGCATATTTCTCCTAAGGAGTCATCATTTCCACCCCCAGCCCCAAATGTGCATCTACAGTTTTAGCTTTCTGTGCCTGTTAGTGCGTCCATGTGAGCCAGAACCACCCCAGCTTCGTCAGCCCCCAAAGCCTGGGTTACCTTCTAGTTGAATGGTGCCTGCTGGGGCAGAACTTTGACACAATACCCTAACACCTGCTGAAGGCTGCAGGAGCTTCCTCCACTCTCCAGGGCTTTGATATCCAATAAAGGGTTCCTGACCTGGCATTCTCTTCTGAATCCTGCCCTGACTGAACTCCACGCTGGGCTCCAGCTTGCAATCACCCACTGTAGTCCAGAAGACGGCCTTCGCACTTCCACCTCTGCCCTTTTCATTTCCTGGAACACCAGACTCCTACCCAATTCTCAGCTTTCAACCTGAGCCTTGCTTCCCACAACTCTGCCACCTGGCTCCCTTTCCCCAGGCTCAGTCTTCCTCTCTGTTCCTCAAAAGCCATTAAGCAATGGCAGAGGACATGTAAACCGGACCTGGGACTTTGCCCAGTGACCCCCTCCTCCTCTGGAGCTCATGCCACTCAATTATAGCATTTTCTTTCACATCTTGTATCCTCAAATAAGACACTGTTGTCAGGGGTTCTAGATCCCCATAGAGTTCCTTTCTAGCCACCCCCTGCCTAAGTGCAGGTGCACCCCAGAGTGTGGTCCACATCCTCCTCCTCACCTTATTCTCAGTCTGTCCCAAGCCAGCCGGCTTACACACATAGTTCTGCAATCGCCTTGTGACAAAGCCATCAGTCCCCAGTGTTCTCCAGAGCTTTAGGCCTGTATCTTTGCTGACTACCAGAAATCCTCTCCTGAACATTCTAAGGGCCTTAATTTCAAAGTCTCCAAAGCCAAGCACTCTCACTTGTCCAGGTCCTTCCAGGTCCTCTGGTGGCACTCTTGTCTCTTCTAATGACTCTACTTAGCTCCTTCAACCATGGCCAGAGCAAGGTATTATAGTAGTGAGAGCTGACAGCGTGCTGGCAGCCCTCACAGCCCTCGCTCGCTCTCAGCGCCTCCTCGGCCTTGGCGCCCATTCTGGCCGTGCTTGAGGAGCCCTTCAGCGCGCCGCTGCACTGTGGGAGCCCCTTCTTGGGCTGGCCGAGGCCGGAGCCAGCTCCCTCAGCTTGCAGGCAGGTGTGGAGGGAGAGGCACGGGTGGGAACCGGGGCTGCGCGCGGTGCTTGTGGGCCAGCGCCAGTTCCGGGTGCCGGCCCTGGGCAATGAGGGGCTTAGCACCTGGGCCAGCAGCTGCGGAGGGTGTGCTGGGTCCCGCCTGCCCACTGGCGCTCCGCTCGCTGGATTTCTCGCTGGGCCTTAGCTGCCTCCCAGCAGGCAGGGCTCGGGACCTGCAGCCCGCCATGCCTTAGCCTCCCCCGACCTCCCCTGGGCTCCTGTGCGGCCCAAGCCTCCCCAAGGAGCGCCGCCCCCTGCTCTACTGTGCCCAGTCCCATCGACCACCCAAGGGCTGAGGAGTGTGGGCACACGGCGCGGGACTGGCAGGCAGCTCCACCTGCGGCCCCGGTTTGGGATCCACTGGGTGAAGCCAGCTGGGCTCCTGACTGGTGGGGACTTGGAGAATCTTTACGTCTAGCTAGGGGATTGTAAATACACCAATCAGCACTCTGTATCTAGCTCAAAGTTTGTAAACACACCAATCAGCACCCTGTGTCTGGCTATGCACCAATGGACACTCTGTATCTAGCTACTCTGGTGGGGACTTGGAGACATTTATGTCTAGCTCAAGGTTTGTAAACACACCAATCAGCACCCTGTGTCTAGCTCAGGGTTTGTGAATGCACCAATCAACACTCTGTATCTAGCTACTCTGGTGGGGTCTTGGAGAACCTTTGTGTGGACACTCTGTATCTAGCTAATCTAGTGGGGACGTGGAGAACCTTTGTGTCTAGCTCAGGGATTGTAAACTCACCAATCAGCACCCTGTCAAAACAGGCCATTCAGCTCTACCAATCAGCAGGATGTGGGTGGGGCCAGATAAGAGAATAAAAGCAGGCTGCCCGAGCCAGCGGTGGCAACCCGCTCGGGTTCCCTTCCACACTGTGGAAGCTTTGTTCTTTCGCTCTTCACAATAAATCCTGCTACTGCTCACTCTTTGGGTCCACACTGCCTTTATGAGCTGTAACACTCACCTCGAAGATCTGCAGCTTCACTCCTGAAGCCATCGAGACCACAAACCCACCGGGAGGAACAAACAACTCCAGACGCGCAGCCTTAAGAGCTGTGACACTCACCGCAAAGGTCCGCAGTTTCACTCCTGAGCCAGCAAGACCACGAACCCACCAGAAGGAAGAAACTCCGAACACATCCAAACACCAGAAGGAACAAACTCCAGACACGCCACCTTAAGAGCTGTAACACTCACCGCGCGGGTCCGCGGCTTCATTCTTGAAGTCAGTGAGACCAAGAACCCACCAATTCCGGACACAGTAGTAATCGTAACAACAGCAACCAGGGACAATTCCATTTATTAAGCACTTACTCCAGGCCTGATGTCTTGCTGGGTTGGTACAGCCACCCTTCCAGGCATGTAGCGTCATCTCCATTTTGCGGCTGAAGTTTAGGGAGAGTAAGTACGCTCCTCCAAGTTACACAGCTAATATGTAGTCTCTAGTCCAGACTCTGAGAGCCTTCTCTATGCCAGGTGCTGGGCTCCTGTCACTCTCCCAGTACCTGCGAGGAGAGTGTGGGCCCTGCGAACCACTGCCCCACATGCATCCCTCTCAGATGACCTAAGCCAATCAACCAGGTCTCTCCCTCTGCAGCATGTAGTTCAGGGATGGACTGTGGTTATGGGTTGAATTGCGTCTTCCTCCAAAAAGATATGTTTAAGCCCTAACACCCAGTACCCAGAAACGTGACTTTCATTGGAGATAGGGTCTTTGCAGAGGTTAATCAAGTTAAAATGAGGTAATTAGGGTATGCCGTAATCCCATATGACTGGTTGCCAAATAAAAAGGGGAAATGTGGACAATGAGCTTCACAGGGAGAGGGTCTTGTGAAGACAGGTGTTGGGGGAGGGCAAGGGGCAGGTATGCCACACACCCCAAGGAACCGCCCGAAGCCAGGAGAGATCCTTCCCTAGCATTGCCTGAGGGAAGGGGGCCCAACCAGCACCTTGATCCCATACTTCCAGTCTCTGGAGCTGTGGGGCAATGGACGTCTCTGGTTCTGAGTTGCAGAATCTGCACGCTTTGTTAGAGCAGCAATGGGAAACTGACACAGCCATCTCCTCCAGCCTGGGGGTGACACTCCAGAGGAGCGCAGCTCAGGGATTCTGAGAACAGAAGCTGCTCCCCTTGTCCTGTTGGTTATAAAACAAGAAAAAAAGAAAAGGAGCACGTTGCCACCCGTTGATGCTGCTGACCTCCTTTTGCAAACATGAGGGGAGGCCATACATGGAAGGGGAAGGTCCAAGAGGTGGCCAGGCAGCGGGCAGTGTCTCCTGACCACCTGCCAAAGAGCCTGCCCTAGCTCAAAGGTTCTGCCTCCTTTGACTTCAGGGATCCTTGCTGCTCAGTTTCAGCTGTGCTTGCAGCAAGCGTCACACCCCCGTTTTTCAGAGGCGTAGATGGGCAAAGTGTCCCACCCAAGAGCCCACAATTCATAGGTGGCAGAGGTGGGACTGAACGAAGTCCACCCAACCTTGAATTCAGTGCTCCCGCCCACTATGGAGGTCATGACAGCGACATCCAGCATCCTAGGCTGCTTCTGGCAGTGGCGGATCTTCTTTATTTGTGTCTACCTGTTTACCATACCTCTTCCTATTTCAGTCCACTCCTAGCACCTTCCAATAACCTTGATTTAATGTAAATATATAGTTCTCATTTTTAATCCTTGGCACCTTCCTTCAGACATCGACCACTGGCCTTCTGGGCCTGCTCACCTCTGGCCACTCAGGGTCCCCAGTGGCTCTGGGCGAGCCCTGACCCGTTCCTCACCCGCAGGGTCTCACAGCAGGCTGTACTGCTCTGTCCACCTATGCCAGGCTGGCTCCCTACCACATGTACCCCTGGAAAGGAAAGAGAAACTTCCTCTGCACCCCTGCTGCCCTGGGCTCCACGTGTCATTACTCTTGTGTTTGCTCCCACAGGAGACTGTCATCACCTGGAACATAAGCACTTCATGGGTTTCGAATCTTCTCACTCTGACTTGGATGGCAGACCACTGGGAAATTAAGGCATTATCTCATGGCTTTGCCATATTATACTTTTCCCACTTATTCAACAAATATTTGAACACCTGCCACCGTGAGTAATGCACTGCATTGCTGAGAGCTATGAGATTAATTAATTAATGAGAGTCCCTGTCCACACTGAGCTGACTGCACAGAGAAGAATAGAGACCAAATAATAATACTAATAATAATGAGAGAGAGATGTGAACACAGGGCTCATTTAGGGGAAGGGAAATGATTCCATATGTTTGGTGTATGGAGCTGTAAAAGACAAAACTGGAGACGTGAGTAAACTTAGGCCCTGGATGCCTTATAAGTATGTTAACTGCTGAAGACTGATTACCTGGTACATAATAAATATTAAACCCCTTCCTGTTTTAAGGGTTACTCATTCACGCTAACATACCCATGTATAGAGTTTTGTTTCACCATTGGAAGGGGAATTAGAAGCCCAAAAGATACTGCGCGGTAGTGAAACCGGGTAACGAGCAGGTGCTGGCTGAGAAGTCAGGGTTCTGCCTCCTTCCCCACCCCAGGCCTTTTTCTGAGAGTCTGCCTGCTCTGCTGTTCCAGGAGGAAAGATAAAAATCTTATTCTGCAAAAGCTGTTTCCTATCAGTTTTGCTGGGCTCGGCCCTAGCCCTGCTGAGCTGCTGAGCTGCAGAGCTGTGCTGGAAGTGACTTCTTTGATGTTTTCAAAGGTCGGAGCACATCTCTCCCCTTTTGGAGTGTCACTCGGCTCTAGGCAGACGATGTTTCAGCTGTGGGGAGAGCCAATTAGAGCCAATTATAACCTAACTAACCTCCCATGACACCAAAACTCCTTGTAGAATTTGCCAGCTTCTTGCAAAAATAGTGTGCATACAGGCCTGACTCCCGTGTGGAATATGCCCCAACTCCAGTTATCACTGAAGGTTCAGTCATTTTCCACTGTGACGGCATATTACAGTCACCTGGGCACAGTATTCATCACTGACGCTGAGATTCCAGGCCCCGATAGTCCAATTTAGTGTCGGAGATGTGGGTCCCGGCATCAGTGAAAAAACATCCCCAGGTTTGAAAAATAGTGATGAATCTGAATTCACCCAAAAACACAGCTGGGCTTCTCTGAAACCCAACTGCTTTCTCTCCTTTCCCATTACACACGTTTTTCTGGATTAGTTGGCATCTGCATTTATTAACATTGGGTCCTTATTTCATATTTTGTGATTATTCATTCTAATTATATTAACTCTTTCAGGTATGTCCCTAATATATCTGTACTTTCATCTGATGTTATTTTTTTTCTAACCGAATATATTTCAGGAATCTTGAACTACACAAGTGAAGAGAATAAAATTTGTTGTAAACTTTTTTCCAAAATAGTTGTGAAAACTATTTTTATTCAGTCAACAGGAAACTGAATCCATAGCATCTAGAAATAAATGTGCATCTTTGACAACTATAGCCACACACTTGACATAAGTGTGTATATTTTCCTGTGTTTATCTATAAGCCTATATCCATACACATAAGCATTTATCTCACACACACACACACACACCTCCCATAGCACAAAGTCTTGTAGCCAACCTCCAATAGGGAGTAATTCTTGAAGGAAAAAAGTGAATGAATATACACATGGATAGATGCACAGATGCTGAAAGTACAAGGTAAATAACTTATATTCACTTAAATATGGATATATAGCTTATATGTAAATACAACCTTATTTCCAGTTGGCATCTGAAAATAACAGAACATCTGTTTTAAATTCCAAATTTTTATTCAATCAGTCTATGTAAATTACTGACGTATTCACAGAGCAGGATATGACTTTTTATTTTTAAATGTTAGCATATTATATTGATGCTTTTAATAATTATTAAAACAAAACTTCATTACTTTATTATTAAGGGTACGTTCAAGATGACCCTTAAAATATAAGGGGATTTATTAGACTCCATGATGAGAAATGAAAAGAAATAGTAATTTCCAGAATAAGTCAGGTTTCAGATCACGAGACTAATGCCAAATAGCAGCAGACACCATTGAGTCCAACAATTTTCAAAGCTTTCGATTTGGTTTGTAGCAGCAGAACTCCTTCCTTTCATAAAATCTTGAGCAGAAAACCGGCATCCGCTCCGAGAGCAGCAGCCCTGATTGAAGTGAGGCCTTCGAGCCCCCCGCATCAGCGGCCCCGGCTCCGGACAAGCGCAGCTTGGGAACAGTCGAGCTAGTCTGGAGACTCTCGGTTCTCGCTGCACATTAAAAAAAAAATTACCTGGGAGGCTTTTGAGAAGTCCCAGACCCCACCCTAGAGATTCCGACTTAGTTGGGCTGAGGTGGTGACCGTAACGCACAGCCAGGGTTGACAGCCACTGGCCCCGCACAGCTCCTGCAGCCCGGGAGCAAAGCCGAAGCCCGGGGAGGCAGGAAGGCGTGGAAAGGCGACACCGCAGGGCGGGCTGGGGCCGTGCCGGGGCCAGAGCTCGTGCTCCTGAATTACTCCAGCCCCGTGACGACGCTGCGCGCGCAGCAGCCGCCGGGAAGTGCCGCTCTCTGAGGGGAGCGACTGCTGCAGGACCCCCGAAGGAGTCTGTTGTCACCACAGCTGGGCCAGAGGGGAGCTTACCATGCTCCCCCAGACGCAGCCGTCCACCTGCTCCCACGAAACAGTCATGGGCAGCGCCCATTCTCATATAACGTTCTAACAGGACGGAGGGCTGAAGGAAGGGCGGCCGGCAAGCCTGGCTTCATGGGTTGTCTCTCAGAAGAAAATAAACTCGTGATTGGTGCGGCCAGCGATTTTAATAATAATGACAGCTAAGATTGATCGTTTCGTTAAGTGTTTTATACACATCCTCTCATTCAGTCCTCGGAACACACCAAGGAGAATCATAGCCCTTTGGATGAGGAAACTTAAAGTCTTAGTTCTCAAAGAAGGTTAGTGATTCGCCCAAGGTCATAGAGCTTTAATTGGCTGAGCTGAGAGTTCAACATGGGCCTGATTTGAGAGCCTGTGTTTTTAACCGCCAGAGTATAAAATATAAAATGTAAAACTACTCAATTGCCTTGATTTTAGGGGCCCTCAACTTGAGCTCGAGGTCCTGGGAGGCCATCCTCATCTTTCCTTCATAAAAGCTGGAGTCTCTTCCACATCCAGGAAGCCCATCCTCCAGCTAGAAATCCCTTCAGGCCTCCTTGAGGAAAGTATTGCTATAAATGAGGCACATTAGCTCTTTTTGTGTTGTGTATTTATTTCTTTATTATTTGCCCTCGTTATCTAGAAATCTATATTTTAACCCTAATTGTCTCCCTGCGGCAATGATGAAGGCATGACTCTGAGATTTGCATTGCAAACACCATCAGGCCTTCAACAGGAGCAGATGAATTCCGAACTTGGCGTCTAACAGCATTTATTGCTTCATTTTCATGTCTTCCCGGCTTCAGTTTGGGCCAAAGTTGTTAATATTTTTTTCAGGTTCGGAAAGGATGGGAGGAGGTGGAATTCAGGATCATGATTTCAGCCTGCGTTGACTCTACCCAGTAGATCAAAATTGAACTTTTACCACTGAAACGATATCTTTGAATAAAAAAACCTATGGATCAGTGCCTTATGTACATTTTACTAATGAATATTTATAGGACCATCCACAGGGTGTACAATCTCATACAAGCCATTCTATTTAGACAATGGTTATTTGGGAAAAACAAAAGGGGCCCTAGAAAAAGCTATGCAGTAAGTGGGATGCATTTTTATTCCTCCCAAGGGGAGGTGAGAAGCCTTCAATGGATAGCTGCACTTTTTCAGTTCTATTGTCTTAAAAGTTTTATTTATTTTAGAAATAGTTACAACCTAGCCAGGTAAATATATTGCGATAAATTCCATTTAACTTTTTCCCTCACTGGAATAGCCTCATAAAAGACAACAAAAACCTGCAGAAAATTCAATGAGGGAGTAAGATTGTCAATACAGTGTGTGTGTTTTTGAAAATAAAATGGCACAATCAGGTATAAAGAAGAGTCTTCATTCAAGTTAATAAAAATCAATCTAGAAAAAAGAAAACTGCATTTTGGTGTCTAAGTAATCTTATCTTTTAATAATAATAAAACTTTCCACTTTATAGGGCTTTTTCTTTGGAGTCTCTAAGAGTTTGTCAAGCAAGTGCTGGACTAGGGTTGATGGTACACCCAGAAGCTAAGAGTCTGTCCCTGACCTCCACCAGTAATGATGGCGAGACCTTATCCTTGAGGCACCTCTGCTACACATACACTTCCCCATCATTGCCATCCCTTAACTCACCCATCAGTAATGTTGACAAGCCAGTGTTGTTCCAACTACAAAACCAAATATAATTAAGAGGAAATGGGAATTCTGTAAAAAAGCCTGTGCATTAGGTACTATTTTGTTGCAAATAATGAAACGCACTTAATAAATGGGACCTATGCCACATGAATAGATGACTGTAAACACCCAAATGAAAAATAATAAATCTGACCTCCAGAGCCAGATAAAACTATTTTCATTTTATTGAACTACCATATTTTTATGTCTCTAAGAAGTCATTGATTGTAAGACATGCCATCAATCTAATAACTTTCCAGGGAGAAAGGAAAGAACAACCACACTGAATATACATAGCAATTATAAGAAACATATTGATTTTAGAAATGTTAAAACATGGGGGGGAATATGTCTTACAAGTGAGGAAATACAGCAAATATAAATGTATACTAAGTTTAAAGAGTACTTTTATATTTATTATCTAATTTTTACCACAATTTCATAAAGCTGCTATGATTATTCCATTTTACAGATGAAAAAAAGCCCAGCCTCTGAGATGTTGATTAACTTGCTCAGGATCACACAGCTAATAAACAAATACCCTTAACTCTTTGCTTCTGAATTCCATGTTCTTCTCACCACTCCACACTACCTTTCCGTCTTAAAGTAATAGAACACTTTTATCTAAAATGTTTTTCTGATCACTAATAAAGAAAGATACATTTTTACAAGACTGCTCCAATAAATTCTTCACAACTGCTCTTGAAATTTCTTCATGCTTAGCTAAGATGGTCTTCACACCACCTATAAATCAAGTTCTCTACTCATTCTTGGTAGTCAGGTTAATAGAGATGCAGCGATCCCAAAGGATGCACCCTCCAAGAAAAGATACGGATCACTGGCTGAAAGCTCATATGGCCCCTGCAGCTAGCTCACTGCTGTTCGCTTCCTCACTTATTCTGGACAGAGCACACCTGCTTTTGCAGATTAAAATTGTGAATTGGCTACGTTAATTACCCTTGGTGTGTTGTGAATCTTCTTTTTGAACCTTCACTAATGAATGTGCAGTGCCCGTGAAGCTTTCATTGGCTGGTTATGCAATCAGCTGTCCCCACAGCATCTCAGTGATGAGAGTGGGAACCTGCAAGTGGCTTTCTCTATTACCTAGATTGCTAGAAATCGATTCAGTGGTGGGAGTCTGGCTATACCTGGTTATGACCTGGAAGCCTCCTGGGAGGTCAGCAGATCTAGAGTCAGAGGAGCATTTGCCTAATGCGGACATGCCTCACGGTGTACCATCCAGGGCCTGGGTATGGGGTGGCACTGGGGGACATCTGACATCCCCCATGGTGCATGTGGCCAGCACAGTGGTGGCAGAATGTGTAAACAAGGAACCAGAGCAAATCCTCATCAACACAATCGGTGCCACAACCGGATGGAGGACAGACAAGCCTCGAGAGGGGAAAGGAGGCTTGCTCTTCCCTCTGGCCTGCAGTAAGGGCCCTCCAGGCTACTTCACCAACCACAAGTCCCAACTTAGACAAAGCCAGGTGCACTATGCAATCCCGCCCCCTTCTCACCCGCAGAGACACTGTGCTGGAGGCTATGGAAGTACATAGGGAGTTTCTGTTTTTGTCCCAATAAACATCAACAAGTAAGCAGAAGTATTTGTTTTGGTTTATTAGTGAAAGATTCCCCAGAACTACAAGTTTAGTGGTAATTATTTAAGAGTTTGAATTTTCCATTAGTATTCAGGGGCTTGCTTTATGCTTCAAGCCTAATGCTCTTACTAAGTCACTTCTTACCATTTAAAGAGGGGGAAGCTATAACTGAGCTTGTTGTGTAGGAAAGGCAAAAAAAAATGAGGACAAAGAGAGAAGCCCATGATAAATTTGGAATGCAGTGGGGGTTCCAACAGTAACACCAAAGTGACTTTCTACGTAATAATCAGATCCTCTGAGACCAGTGGTCCCTTTGCATGGCCCCGAGAGAAAACCACACAGAAAACAGAGACAGCTTTTTAAAGGCAAGAGAAAACTTGTTTGATTTCCTCTTTTAACATAATTTGGGGAAAAAATACAAAACAAATTAAAAAATTGAGTTTGCTCATTAAAAAGCCACAATGAGTTTGAGTGTGGTGGTTCATGCCTGTAATCCCAACACAAGACAGATGGAGGCCAGGAGATTGAGATGAGCCTGGCCAGCATGGTGAAACCTCCTCACCTCTACTAAAAATATAAAAATTAGCTGGGTGTGGCGGTGCGTGCCTGTAATCCCAGCTACTCAGGAGGCCGAGACATGAGAATTGCTGAAGCTGGGGAGGTAAGGTTGCAATGAGCTGAGACCACACCACTGTCCTCCAGCCTGGGGGACAAAGTGAGACGCTGTCCAAAAAAACAATAAAAACCCACAATGAAATATATCACCTCATACCTGTCAGAATAGCTCTTATCAAAAAGATGAAAGATCAGCAGTGGCAAGTAGGTCAAGAAAAGAAAGCTGTGGCACACTGTTGGTGGGTATGTAAATTGGTACAGCCACTATGGAACACCGCACGGATGGTCCTCAAAAAATTACAAATAGAACTACCATGTGATCCAGCAATACCACCGCTGGGTCTACACCCAAAGGAAATGAAATCAGTGTGCTGAAGGAATACCTGCCCTGCCATGTTCATTCCAGCACTGTTCACAACAACCAAGATAAAATGGGAACAACCTAAGTGTCCATCGCCATATGAATGGATAAAGAAAATGTGGTATCTATGCACAACTGAATACCATTCGGTCATAAAAAGAAGGAAATCCTGTCGTTTGCAATAACGGGGGTGAATTTAGATGACATCATGCTAAGTGAAATAAGCCAGAGACAGAAAGACTATATTATCTCATTTACATGTAGAATCTTGTGGTGTTTTGTTTTGTTTCATTTTGTTTTTTGAAACGGAGTCTCGCTCTGTCACCCAGGCTGGAATGCAGTGGCACGATCTCCGCTCACTGCAACCTCTGCCTCCTGGGTTAAAGCGATTCTCCTGCCTCAGCCTCCTGAGTAGCTGGAATTACAGGTGCCCACCATCACGCCCTGCTAATTTTCTTTTTGTATTTTTAGTAGAGATGGGGTTTCACCATGTTGGCCAGGCTGGTTTTGAACTCCTGACCTCAGGTGATCCACCCGCTTCGGCCTCCCAAAGTGCTAGGATTGCAGGCATGAGCCACCACGTCCAGCCACACATAGAATCTTAAAAAGTCAAACTCATAGAAGAAGAGAGTAGAACAGTGGTTACTAGCGGCTGCGGGCATAGGGGAAATGGGAAGATTTTGGTCAAAGGGTACAAACCTTCAGTCACGAGATAAACAGACGCTGGAAATCAGCAAGGGTGGTGATGGAAATGTTAATTAAGTTGGTTGTGGCAATCATGACACCATGTATTCATATATCAAATCATTATGTTATACACCTTGGATATATACAATCTTTATTTGTCAATTAAACATCTTTTAAATTAATTAACTAATTGTTTTAAACGCCCTAACTATAAAGAAAATTCAAAGTAGTTACTTTAAGAGAAACCCCATTTCCCAAAAGCCATGTAAAATGGGGCAGACATTTCCTCCGTAGTGTGACCCTACGTCCCATCCAGAGACCAAGGACAGCACAGGAGGTTACCTTAGCAGCCCCCGCTCCTTAGGAGATGGATTTTACTTTTCTCTCTATTGTAAAAAGGGAACAGATGTCCCCTAGGCAATTTTACTGCAAAGGACCTCAGCAAGTGGTAGCTGCTTCAGGCTTCAGCCATCCCTTCCAGGTACTTCTGAACTAAGGGAATTTCCTTCCTTTCTTGGCCGCCCCTCCTGGAGTCTCCACCCACAGAGCTGAGCCTGCCTGGTCCGCTCCACTACAGAGCGTGAGGACAGATCTGATATACATAAATCAACATATTCCTCATTTTCTAGCACTGCCTTTGACAGCTGTTACATGAGCACATTGTTGGAAACTGTCAAGCAATGATACACAGTGCCTTTTACAACATATGTTGACTTTTATCTAATGTAGCTCCATAATTAGCCCCAGGGAAAGTGAATCCAGGCATCCACCTGGCTGTGTGATCTCAGTTAACCTTTGCTTTCTTCTGAGGGAAGTTAGCGGGGTCAGGGGTGGAGATCCAGGCAATGAGGCCCCCAGGACTCAGAGAAAGGCAGTAAGTGTGCAAGCTGTGCAGGATATGGGAGACAAACTGCTTACACTTCCCTACCCTCAGCCTATGGTCAGAGATTGGGGGGTCCAGGGGTTCTGGTCAGGGTTTTCAAGTCCTTCAGGCCTGGATGAGCTCTGGGATCATTAATGGAAAAATAAAATAAATCTTCCTGGAACCTGGGCCATTCAACGTGAAAGAACCTGAGAGAAAAAGCTAAGTGTTGCTTCAAACAGTATTCTTGTTGCTCCTCTGTTTCTCTTTCAGGAAATGACAAAACTTGCAAACCACTCATGGCAAGAAAAACACATTTCCACTGACCTTCAGGGTTTGGCAGGTCTTTTAGCCATGAAAATTGATACAATAAAATATGGACTTGGGGTAAGAAGGTCTGGATTCAAGTTCCTGATCCTTCACTTACCAACAGAGTAACCATAGGAAACTTATAATTTGTCAGGGCCTTCCTGTCCTCAGCTTCAAATGGGAACAAGGGCAGCAGGTGCATTGGCAAAATCATTAAAGCCAGTGATGTGGTAGTGGTTCTCCATGGCTCCCCCAGCACCCTGGACAGTGCCTAGATCAAGAAACCTTTTTAATAAATGAATTCATACATTCAGTATTCTAATGAAGACCAAATGAGGAGATGTAGAAACATTTTGAGGACAGAAACTCAGTGTCCAAATATCAGTTATTTGATTTACGCTTCCATGTCTGGTTTTCGGAGCTAGGTCAGAGACAGAGCACTAGCTATCTTACAAGCAATAAACCAGAATAAATCTGAGGGAATTCAAAAGGTATGAACTGAACTAAAGGCAAAAGAGTTGTCTAAAAGTTTAACTATTTGAAGACAACTAGAATTCCCCATATAGACACACCCCAAGTCAAAAAATGGAAAAAGGAATTCCCAAGGGGATGTCCTCCTGAAGGAATTGTACCTCTGTCCGCATCCGTTCACCATGAGTCCCACCTCAGCCGTCCATGAGTACCACCTGCCACATGCAATGCAATGTCAGAGAGACTGTGGGAACTCACAAACCACATAAAGCAAGGTACCTGCTCTGCAAGTGTCTGGGTTGGGCCCCAGGGATGCAATAAAGACCGGACACCGTGCTTGACCTCAGGGAGTCCAGTGGGAGAGGGAGTCCAATGGGGTGGCAGTGCAGCAGGGCTATGATACAAAGAAGTAGCCAGGAAAAGGGCCACAGACAGAATCCCAAAGAACAGCCATTTAGGATATGGACAAAGAGGACTGTCCAAAGTAGGAAGAAAATTAAGAGAAAAAGATGTCCTAGAAACCAATAGAGAAGTAAATTTCCAGAATGAGTCCTCATTTCCTAGGTTAAGATGCTATGGAAAGTTCAAGTAAAATAAGGACTGAAAACCATTCAGGAGATAACCAATCAGCAATGAACAAGTGATTTTATTGAGACACGTAAAAAATTAGGTAGTATTATCAAGGCAGATCTGACCAGGTGTCAAAGGGTAAAAACTATAAATGTTATGAGAACTCATAAGATGGAGGGAAAGATCTCTGTAGGAGAGAGAGGTTAAAAGATGACTGATTCACAAGATATAAATTGAAGTGGGCCTTGAGAGATGAGTAGAATGGCGGGGGATGGGGAGGACAGCAGGGGACTAGAGCTCCCAATTAGGGGTAAAGCTTGAGTACAGCATGGGGCTGTGTATACTCTGGTGATTTCCAAGGGCCAGGGAAGCGGGTTTGGGGAAATGAGGCTGGGAAAGGAATTTGGGGTCAGACTGAGAAGGGACTTAGAGGCCAGAGTCCCAGTTTGTCCCATAAGATTTGGGTAGGGTCAGACATGTGCACTTGAAGCCTGGAGAAGATCCATGTAACAGCAGTGTGCTGGCTAGACTGGAGGGGAGAGAAGCAGCTAGCTCAGAGGCCACAGAACAAGAGGAAGAGGCAGGGCTTAACCTGGAAAATATAAAGGGTCAGGCTTTCACTCATATGAGCAATATTTTTGTCATAAAAGAAATGAGACCATTTGCCTATCATGGCAGGGAGCAAATCCCCTTATCCCTTGTATCAGCATGCTAGGTTCCCTTAGAGTTTAAGACGATGGGGTCTGAAGTCAGACTGAGCTGGTTCAAAGATCAGATCGGTGACATCCCTACCACACGCCCTTGTTAGGTTGCCTACCTCCTTGGAGCTTCAATTTCCTCATGTATGAAATGGAGAAATCAATAGAACCTACTCAGAGTGTTTTAAGTATATTAAAAGAGGTAATGAATGTAAATGGCTGACAAAGGATAAGCACTCAATAAGTGTTATCTATGATACTATTTTATTACTGAAGAATATTGCTCAATCAGGTTGGAGAAATATCTGCAAAGCATACGAAATAAACACCTCGAGAAATGCAAGTCATCAATAAACATGAAAAATTGCTTACCTTCAGATATTCAAAAATTTACATGATCTAGTAGCTGACACTTAAACAATCTGAGAATACCAAGTGTGGCTGGCAAAATTCTGAGAAGGTCTCCAAGATTCCCACCCCATGATGTACAGGTCCTGTGTAATCCCCTCCCCTTGACTGTGGGCAGAATCTGTGAATAGGATAGCAGTCCTGTGATTAGATTAACAATCCATCAACTTTTAGTTAATCAAAAAGGAGTTTATGCCGAGTGGGCCTGACCTAATCAATGGGGCCTTCAGAAGGCGGCAAAACGTCGAGAGGCGTGCTTCTCTTGGCCTTGCTGATGCAGTGTCCGTGCGTCTTACAGCTGCAAGGAATTGAATTCTGCCGACAGCCAGGGGAAAGAGAATCCTGAGACTCAGATGAGACTCCAGCCCAGGCTGATACCTTGAGTGTAGCCTGGGGAGACCCTGAAGAAAGGACCCCATTCAATTGTGCCCAGACTGTGGCCCAGGCAAACAGTAAGGTGATACACCTAAGTTGTTTAAAGCCATAAAGCTTGTGGCAATTTGCTATACAGCAAAAGAAAACGAGTATACCTGTGGCTGGCAAAAATGTACAGAATCAGAAAATTAAATCCGCTGTTTGGGGGGATGCATTTGAATTCAATTTGGAAAGCAGGTTGACATACTCCATAAGGTTGGAGATACATACACACCATACCCACCCACTGCTGTGCTCTCGCATGTGGCCTGGCTAAACCACTGCCTGTGTAAATAGGTGCATGTGTACCAGAATGTGCATGGCAGTGCAGCTTAAATAGTCAAATGCTAAAAACAACCTAAATTAAACGACCATCATGATAAGAATAAATAAATTGTGCTATATTCAGAAAATGGAATATTAGCAATGAAAATGAGCAACCTACAGTTAAGATATAACATGATAGATCTCAAAAATATAATGCTGAGAAGCAAGATGCAAAAGAGGGCACACATTCCATTTCCATAAAGTTTGTAAACAGGCATAGTAAGACTACCCCTACTTAGAGATGCATACACGGGTATCAAAAAGAGGGATTTTTTTAGAGGCAAGGAAGTAATTTTCGTGAACTTCAGGATAGTGATTATCTCTGTCTGTGAGGAGGAAGAGATTGTGTTTGGAAAGGGAAAAATGAGAGACCTTCCGAGGTGCTAACAATGTTTGTTTCATGATTACTTTTTACACATGTGTTCACTTCATAATTTAAAAAAATATACACATACACTCTATGCATGCCTCTGTGTGGAGGACAGATCTCAGGACTAACAGGTGGGATGCTGAAGACCTCTGAATGACCTATCTTATACTCTGCCAGGGAAATCTGCCTGAGAAAGTCCAGGGAACACAGATCTGGGGGCTCCTCTGACATGTGGAAGCCCTCAGTGGGAGTCAAGCTTCCCAAGAGCCTATACCGGGCTTGGAGCTGATGGCTCAATGCACCTTCCCCCGCCCCCTCCCACGCCAGAGAAGCCATCAGCTTCATGACACCTGTGCTGGCGCAGCAGCTGCGGGAGGGAGGAGGGAGCTGTCAGGAGCAGTCACTGGCATCAGACTAATAATAAGATTCATTTCTCCGAGACTCCCAGGACACAACCCAGGGAGACTGAAGAATGCTAATGCTGACTGCAAGGGCTCTGGGGGCTGGTTACTTATTTTTGTTTTTTAAGGTCAATTGTTTCAGGTTGGTACGCTTATTAGAGGGGGGATCAGTGGAAAAAGAGCATGTACCTCTATTCTAAGCCTAAAAGCAAAAGCCAGACAAAAAGAAGACATTCATTTATTAATCATGTCTCAATCCTCTTTCTTAGAGGGTACCTGAGTGGCCAGGGACAGAATCAAGACCTGTAGTTGTTAGTGGTTGTGGAGCTTGGAGCTGAAGAATCAGAGTCATAAGACAGAGATGCAAAACTTGGGGACTGCTGTTGCTCTTTCTTTCGTCCAGTCCTTCTTGAAGGTTGTTTCTCTATGCCTTCATCCTCATCACTGTATCAGTTTCCTATGGTTGTGTCACAAAAAGTGCCATACTTAGCAACTTAAAGCAACATAGATTTATTATCACAAGGTTTTAGTAGGTCAGAAGTCTGGGCATGGCATGGCTGGGTTCCCACTCAGGACCTGACCGGACTGAAATTCAGGCGTTGCCTCAGGTATGGTTTCCATCTGCGGCTGAGCAGAATCTGCTTCTGAGCTCCTGTGGTTGGGCAGAATTGAGTTTTCTGCAGTTGTATGACTGTGGTCCTCATTTCCTTGCTAGCTGTCATGTGGGGGTCACCCTCAGGGCCTAGAGGCCACCCACATCCCTTATCACGTGGTCCCCTGCATCTTCAGAGTTAGCAACAGAGAAATACTTGTGCATCCAATTCCTTAATGCTTCAAATCTCTGACTTCTTTTCTTGTGTGTGAGCAAAGAAAATTCTCTGGTTTTATAGGGCTCAAGTGGTTAGGTCCAGCCCACCTGAATAATCTCCCTAACTTAAAGTTAACTGATTCAATGCCTTAAATATATCTGCAAATCCGTTGCACAGAAGTACCTAGATTAATGTTTAAAATAATGGGGAAAACATGGTTATGCCAACGGCTCGGAATCTTGGCAGATGCTCTCTTAGAATTCCGCATACCACAATCATCAGTTGCTAGTATTGCTATTCTGAACACAGCATTCATGGGGATGTAAACAAAACAATGTGCCCAAAGGGAGGAGGAATGTCAAAAGATGGCCCAGACAATTGGGAGATTTATTCATTATTTGAGTTGAACTACACCTGGAGTTGGGAATAATAGCTTTCATTTATTCACTCATTCAACAAGCATGCTAGATGCTGTAGGAGGTTACACAGATAAACAAAATAGACCCTTCCATGACATTTACAGTGTAAAAAGATAACAAAACTATAATATTCACCCATTTAACAAATATGTATTGTGTGCCTACTATGCGGCAGGTGCTAGATACTGAGGATATAGTGAATGACTAACATTACTAGGTACAATGCTGCAAGTCACAGCCTAAAAGAGTGCAAGTCTCATGGAAATTCAGAGTAAAAAAAGGGCTTCTCCAGGCAAGGGAATGTGCAAAGGCAACCGCCTTACAGAAGAGGAGATGATGGGCTATGCGTTATTTTAAGAGGAACTGAGGATACGAGGGGAATGGCTTGCTGGTTAGAGAAACTGATGTGAACAGAATCCCAAGGTGAGAAAGAGCAGCGAGAAAGTGGAAAACAAAGCCCACTTTAGATAGATTAAAAGTGATAGGAAAGAGTGTCATGCAAGATAAGAATATAAAGAAAGTTTGGGCCAGATTTTGAAGGATCTTGAAGGACAATGAAAAGCCTTTTTTCGGATCAGACGCTCTCAAAGCTTCACTCTCAGGAGGTCAATTCAGTAACACTATCCATTTGCTCCTTCAATATCTACTAAAAACCCAGCATGTAAACCCAGGCACAGTTTAAGCTGCTGGGCATACAAGCTGAAATCTCCGACCTCATACTTTTACTCTAGGGGAAGATAAAACAATAAACAAAAAAATCAATAAACAAGATAATTTCAGACAGTGATGTATCATAAAGGAAAAACTATCAAGCAAGATAGAGTGATGGAAATTAGGGGAGAATGGTTTTAAGTTGAAGGGTCAGAGCAGGCTTCTCTGAGCAAGCCATATTAGAGCGAAGACCTGTACTCTAGAGGAGGCAAGCCATGCAGAGACCTGGGGGAGCCTTCCAGGCAAGGGCATAGGAAGGGATCCTGACATGGACATGGCGTGGCAGGTGAGAAAAGGCAAGGCTTCAGTGCGGTAGAGTGGTGTGAGCAAGAGGACCATGGAGGGAGTGAGGACCATGGAGGGAGTGATGTCAGAGAAGTTAGCAGGGGCAGATCTCTTAGGACTTCGAGAGCCAGGGAGAGTAGTTTGGATTTTATTGTAAATTCACGGAGAAGTTCCTGGAGATTTCTAAGTAAGGCAGAGTGCTGAAATTACTGATCAGTCAGGCTAAGATGAATCCTAGGGGAGCAGGAGCAGGCCCACCGCTGCTGTCCAGCCTCTGAGAGGCAAAGTCCCCGGAGGCCAGGGGCACTGGCTAGATGAGGATATCTTTAAAGGGAGCCGAAAGGTTTTGCTGATAGATTGAAAGAGGGGTGAGAGAAGGGGAAAACTGACAAGAGGAGAAGGGGGCAGGGGGACCTGGTAGGACCTATTGCTAACAGGATGGGAGAGCAGAAATGAGAGGCTAGGCCATGTCTGGCATCAAGGAGAGGGGGTGACAGGTGAGGAAGGTTGCACACAGATCAGGACTAGATCAGGCAGACGAGGTCAGAGAAGGAAGCTAAGGTGACTCTGATTCTTCCAGCCTGGACCACTGGGGGACTAGTGGTGCCCACTAACAGAAACAGGGAATTGAAGAAGAGCAGCGCAGAAGGAGGGCAATGAAACAGTTGTGGACATGAGGCCTTGCAGGGGACAGGCTCCCTGCACATAGAAAGGAGGGGCTACTGATGGGAATTAATGAGCTGCATGAAGCTGACTAAGCCAGAACTGGCTGCCTGCAAGGTGGACTCCAAGGTCTAGTGCCATTCATTCACCAGCAAGGCTGCCAGCCGCTGCTGACCATAACCCGCCTCACTGGAATGACAAGGGGCCATGTTACCCCACAGTCTGTCACCCCATCCCCTACTGCCCCCACACAATGACTAATCGATACAAGAGTGGAAAAGCTTGGCTCTGTTGCCTGAAGATGGGACAACGCTGGCTGCGCTCAGCGACCCCCATTGGGTCATGACGAGGCTGGACTCCAGCTTTTGCCTTGCAGCTAAGCGTCAGGCTCTCCCCTTGCCCTGTCTTGTGGTGACGATCATAATCCCAAAAGACACAATCCAAAATTCCATAGTCTCAAATGTTGAAATCCCAAAAGAGCAACATCCCCAAATCTAAAATCCCAAAAATCACAATCCCAAAAGATTAAAATCCCAAATGTTGAAATCCTGAAAGCCGAATTCTGGGGAAAGAGTGGAGCATTTTCAGTTGTATGCAGAATGGTTTCACCATGTTAGGTGGCACTATTGCCGTGCTATTGTCTTACTCGGAAATTAAGAAAGGTTTAAGGAGGTGTGTATCGGTGCCAGGTTGTTAAGGGGTGGACGTGTGGGCTGGATGTTAGGTGTCACTTTGACTAGAAGAAGGAATCCCTAGAGACCTGGTAAAGCCCTCCTTTGGGTGCATCTTGAGGTGTTTCCAGAGGAGACTGGAGTGTGAGTCTAGGTGGACTGGGGGATCCTCTGCCCTCAGTGCTGGCAGGTACCATCCAGTCAGCTGGGGGCCCAGAGAGAACAACCACAGAAGGTGAACTGCTCTTTTACTCTGAGAGCTGGAACAGACTTTTCTTCTGCTGCCTTGGACGTTAGAACTCCAAATGCACTGCTTTCTGGACTCCAGAACTTATGACACCAGTGGCCCCCCCAGGGTCCTAGTGCTTTTGGCCTCGAACTGAGTTACGCCATCAGCTGCCCTGGCTCTGAGGCCTTCAGACTTGGACTGAGCCAACCTAGAGTCTCCAGCCTGCAGATGATGACCTGTCATGGAACTTCTCAGCCACCATAATCATGTGAGCCAATTCCCCTAATAAGTCCACTCTCCTTTCTCCCTCTCTCTCTCTCTTTCTCTCTCTCTGAATTTCTCTCTCTCTCTCTCTCTCTCTCTCTGTCTCTTTCTCTCTCTCATCTATCTATCTGTCTATACATACACACATATCCTAATGGACCTGTCTCTGGAGAACCCTGGCTAACACAGATTTGGTACTGGGGAAGCCGAATATCATTCCTTCCTACTATATTCCCTATCTTGCTTCCTTCATTCTCTTACAGGTTTTACCCCCTCAATAAATACCTTGCATAAAAGTCAACATTTCAGGCTCTTCTACAGAACTGGACCAAAACCTATTTTTACTCAAAATAATAAATAGAATAACAGCTAACAACTATAATAATAATAAATAGAGTAATAGCTAACAAAAAATAATAAATAGAATAATAGCTAACAACTACTGAGCACTTAATGCAGGCCAGGCACTGATAACCCCTTTCTTGAATTATCTCATTTAATCCTCACGATAACCCTGTGGGATAAGAACACTATTATTGCTAGTTGTATTCATTTCCTGGGGCTGCTCTGACAAATAACCACAAACTGTGTAGCTTACAACAACAGAAGCCTATTCTCTCACATCTCTGGAGGCCAGAAGTTCGAAATCAAGGTGTTGGCAGGGTTACACTTTCTCTGGAGGCTCTAAGGGAGAACCTGTTCTTCATCTCTCCCGGCTTCCGGTGGCTGTCACCATTCCTTGACTTGGGTCTACATCATTCCAGTCTCTGCTCCACAGTCACAGTGCCACCTCCTCTTGTGTGTGCCTTCCTCGTAAAGATACACGTTATTGCATATAAGGTCCACCTAGATAATACATGGCAACCTTCTCCTCTCAAGATCCTTAATCACATTCTTTTGCCAAATAAAGCAAGATTCACAGATTCAGAAGATTAGGAAGAGGATGTATCTTTTTGAAGGCTATTTGTCCCACTACACCCATTTGTAAATGATGGGAGGAGAAAGGCAAAAGTAAAAGAATAATAAACAGAAATCACAAAATAAGACAGAAGAAATACATTAGTAAAAACAATAAATTTAAATGGAAAGAGCATCCCAGAATGGAATAAAACACTCTAACAAAATATAGCTAAATGTGGTTTACGGGAGACATGCAGAAATTGAAGGGAAACCGAAGGGAACAAGATTGAAAAGGATATACCAGGCAAATACGACTTCAAAGAAAATTGGAGCTGCTATAATACTGATAAACAAAACTGACCTTAAGGCAAAGGCATTAGTAGGAATGAATTGGAAGTATTAGTCATGATCGGTTAGGTTAGGCTGCAATAACAAACAACCCAGAGGATCTCGGTGACTTGCTTCTTACTCATGCAACACATCCATCTCAGAGTGGGGAAGCTCTGCTGTACAGTATGTTGACCCTTGCACTCGACCCGATGGACTCGTCTCTATCTAAAACAAATACTGTCTCATGGAAGAAGAAAGAAAAAGATATTATGAACCAACTTCTGGTTCTTAAATCTTTTGTTTGAAAGTGATGCTTCTCACTTCTATTCAGATGTCACTCCCCAAACCAAGTCACACAGCTAACACTTACGTCAAGGAGAAGGGAAATACAATCGTCCCTTAGCACAGGGAATAAATATTTTAACAATGATACAGTCTACCATAATGGGCCACTGAATAGTGATCAGCAAAACAATTCACCAAGATGTTATAACAATTCTGTTGTTTTGTGCAAATAATAATTTAGCCCCAAAATATTTTTTAAACCAACAAAATTTCACATAGGAAATGACAATTTTACAATTATACTTGGAGATTTTAGGATGTTTGCTTCCAAAATGAGTAAATAAAGTAAATTAAATTAATAAAGATATTAAGTATAAACATACAAAGAACTATTATTCAATCTTAAAAAAGAAGGAAATCCTACAATTTGTGACAACATGGATGAATCTAGAGGAAATTATGCTACGTAAACTGAGCCAGTCCTAGAAGGACAAATACTGCACGATTTTATTTATATGAGATCGTAAAGTAGTCAAACATAGAAGCAGAGAACAGAACGGTGTTGCCAGGGGCTGGAGGGAGGTGGAAATGAAAAGGTGTTACTCAATAGTTATAAAGTTTTGGTTATCAAAAGGAATATTAAATATGCAAGATAAGTAAGTTCTAGAAATCTTCTGTACAGCATGGCACTTATAATTAACAATATAGTATTGTGCACTTAAAAATGTGTTTAAAAAGTAGATCTGTTTTAGCTTTTTGGCTTTTTTATTTAGCTGTTTTTTTTAGCTGTTTTTAGCTTTTAAAACAAGGCGCACCCAAAGGAGGGCTTTACCAGGTCTCTAGGGATTTCTTCATCTGGTCAAACTGACTCCTAACACCCAGTCCACAACGTTAGCTGCTCTGAGTCCTGCAACTCCCACACAGGCACCCAAAGGAACACAAGGAAACTCGGGGAAGTAATTGATATATTACAACCTTGATTCAGTGATGCTATCATGCATGTATGCATAATAAGTTCAAAGTCATCAAATTGTGTAGACTAAACATGGGCAGGAGGTTTTTGCGTTTATCAACTCTGCCTAAATAAGACTGTTTTTTCAAAAAACATTACAGAAGATGCAAACAACAAAGTAAGCAAGTTTGAGCCAATAGACACAAATATAGAGCATTGTGCCAACAAAGAACATACATGAAACTTTCATAAAAATAGAACTTGAACTAGCACAGAGAATATTTCTGAAAATTTTAAAGTATAAATATCTTATAAAACAAATTTTTACCAAATTGTAATTAAACAAAAACTAGCAATAAAGAGATAAACCAAGACAGTCTAAAGATACATACGTTAGAAATTTCAGTCCGTTCTTTTTTTTTTTTTTTTTTTTTTTTTTTTGAGACAGAGTCTTGCTCCTTCTCCCAGGCTGGAGTGCAGTGGCACGATCTCGGCTCACTGCAAGCTCTGCCTCCCAGGTTCACACCATTCTCCTGCCTCAGCCTCCCGGGTAGCTGGGACTACAGGCGCCCGCCACCACGCCCGGCTAATTTTTTTATTTTTAGTAGAGACGGGGTTTCACCATGTTAGCCAGGATGGTCTCGATCTCCTGACCTCGTGATCTGCCCACCTCGGCCTCCCAAAGTGCTGGGATTACAGGCGTGAGCCACTGCACCCTGCCAATTTCAGTCCATTGCTTAATAACCCTTTGAATATAGTAAGTCACTGTTAATAAGACATTAACAACTGAACACTAAAAACGTAATATATTAAATCTTGTAAGACACAGCTAAAGTTGTATTCAGAGGTAAATGTATAGCTTTAAAATGCATTTACTAGAAAACAAAGATTGAAAAAAAATACCTAAGTATCAAGAAGATTAAAAAAAAAAAACAAGGTAACACTCAAAAAAAATTTTTAAAAAGAAAAGAATTAAACCTGGGAAAAAATTAATAAATAGAAAAGAATCAGAACCAATAAGAAAGTTCGGCAAGTTTGCCATAGATATAATCTATTTATAAAAATCAATTGTGTTTCTATATAACAGCAAGGATATTTTAAAAATATTTAATAATTCTTAAAGATAATGAAAGAGTACAAAAATGTTAATGGTGTAGAGGAATAATAACGAAAGATACATATTACATTTCTGCTTAAAATAATAAAATTTTATTGAAACATATTAAAGAAAACACAAATGAAAGAGGTATGTCATTTTCACAGGTGGGAAGATGATATTATGAAACTGTCAATTCTCAACTTAATCTATAAAGTTTTTGTAAATCGATTCATCTGTAAATATAATTTATAATACAATCAAAAGCAAACATGGGTCTTCAAGAATTACGAGTTAATTCTACAGTATAGACAGAAAATCAAAATAACAAAAATTGACTAAAATTTTTGAAGAAGTACAAAGTGAAAGTAATTATTAAATCAAATATTAAGACATCATGAAGCAATAGTCAAGATAGTGTGGCATTGCTGCAGAACAGGTAAAACAAAATGGAGTGCTGACAGATAGAACCTAAAATATAATGAAAATTGGTACATGACAGAGAGGTGACATAAGGCACTCAGTAAAGTATGGGATAATGAATAAATGGTGCTGTGACAACTAGGTGCTCCCGTGGATGAAAAACAAATTATATTCCTCACCCCATACCAAGGTATATTCCATATGGATTTTAAAGCTAAATGCAAAAGCAAATCTTTAAAATCCTTCAGACAAAAATTCAAGACACTAGATGACCTCAGGGTAAGGAAGGAAGGATTGCATCAGACACAAAAAACACAAGCCATAAAGAGGCCTTCACATTAAAATGGAAACACTATGAACATCAAAAGTTATTGTACACAAATTGAAAAGAAGAACCTCATACAAGAAAAAGGCATATGCAAGACATATAATTAACAAAATATTTATATCCAGAATATATTAAAATCCCAACTCAAGAAGCAAAAGGGAAAAAAAAAAAAACCATGGAAAAATTGGCAACTGGAATCAAGAGGCAATTCATAAGAAAAAAAGCAAAAATGAGAAATGTGTGAGAATATGGCCAACTCCACTATTAATCATAGAAATGCAATTTGCAGCAGTGATCTATTATTTCACATCCATCTTTGGCAAAGATTAAAAAGCCTGACGATACCAAATGTTGGTGAGAATATGGAGCAATTGGAATGTGCAGCTAGGCAACATCAGAACAACCACTTTGGAAAGGAATTTGGCCAAATCTAGCTATGTCGAAGATGTGCACAGCCTTAAGATCTAGCACCTGCAGTTGTAAGTGCATTCCCTAGGGAAGCCCCATGTGTGTGAACTGGGAGGCGTGCATGAGAAGATTTTCTGTAACACTTTCTGTAATTGAAAAAACTCAGAAAACAATCTGAAAGATCATCCACAGAAGAATGGATAAACTGTGATATATTCATGCAACAGAATACTCTACAGCAGTGAAAATGAAAAGGCTAAACCGGCCAGGCGTGGCGGCTCATGTCTGTAATCCCAGCACTTTGAGAGGCCGAGGTGGGCAGATCACATGAGGTCAGGAGTTCGAGACCAGCCTGGCCAACGTTGTGAAACCCCATCTCTACTAAAAATACAAAAAAAATTAGCTGGGCGTGGTAGTGTGCGCCTGTAATCTCAGCCACTCGGGAGGCTGAGGCAGGAAAATCGCTTGAACCCGGGAGGTGGAGGTTGCAGTGAGCCAAGATCGCACCACTGCATTCCAGCCTGAGCAACAGAGTGAGACTCCATCTCAAAAAAAAAAGAAAGAAAACATTAAACCTACAGTTAATAACATGGACAAATCTAAAATATATAATGTTGAGTGAGAAAAAGTTACGTCATTTTTACAGAATAAAACCAATTATATAAAGTTGAACAGCAAGAAACAACAATACTTTATAATGTCGATGGGCATGTTAAACATGGAAAATTACATTTAATAAGAAACAGATTTTGAGCAGTGGTACCTCTGAGAAAGTGAAAGAAGAGAATGTGAATGAGGAGAAGTGCATGGAACTTCAGTGAAATATGGGGATAGGGAAAATGCTAAGATTTGGTAAATCTAGTTGATGAGAATACAGGTGTTCACTCCATTATTCTCTTTATCTGTCTGTACATCTGCAACATTCCACAATTCTTTTAAAATTAAAAAACATAAATAGGTAAAGACAAAAAGTGGAAGCTTTGTCCCAAGCTTGCTGCTACAGGGAGAAGTGGTAAAATTCTCATTCTCTAAAGGTCGCAGTTGACACGTGAGGAGAAAAAGAATAAGGTCCTTCATGCCCATGAAAAGAAATATAGCTGGACCCCGTAAGAACTGGAAAGTGGTCTCCTCTCTCCCTTCCTCCAGTTGGTCTCGAATGTCTACTTTCTATAAATTGATTACCTTATTTCATCTCTCCACCATGGGTCTTATATTCTCACGGGCCCTCAAAGCACCCTAGCCCCTGGTCTATTTGGCTTTTCAACTTAAGACCCTACACTGACTACATCTCCGTGTCTCCGCTCAAATTTCTGAGAGTATCTGATTATCCCCTGCTAAGTCCATGGGTTTGCTGGCCTTGGGTAGATGCCTACTTCTAATTCAATTCGCTTTATAATAAAAAAGGATCCCTTTTAGGGGTTTGTGGGCAGGACAGGATTTCAAGAAAGGTTTGGATAAAACACATACTTCCCCACCCCATCCATCAACCTAGTTTAAGTGGGCAGGAATTAGAACAGAAGCCTGCACAGAAATGAGGAATGTGCGTGAGGCTGAATCAGTCTCCTGTGGTCTTTCCCACACTACTTCTTGAGTGACCACCTGAAGAGTTGAAAAAAAGGTAATTGCTCACATCGGATTCTTGTCATGGACAACAAACTCAACGAACATATGAGAGCCAGATGGAAAAGTAGCCTCATACAGAGGATGGGGGTGGGGACAGTTATAGAGCTTGTGAGGAGACTGCTGACGTGCAAGATGAAAGAAGCCAAATGTGACCCTGAAGCTGGCCATGGGGGCAGCTGGCCCTGATCAGAACTCACCTTCTCCACCCCCCAATCACTTAGAGGCTTCTCTTCTGGAGCTCTCCTCTCAATAAATGGCAGCATTATTCATCCACTAGCCAGAACCCCAGGCATCATCCCTCTCCCTTTCCTCTCGTCCACCCTACAGCGACATCCTGTGGCTTCTACCCCCGCTGAAGGCTTCTCCGTTTTTGCCGCATCTTTCCGTTTGTCACTGCCGCCTCTCACCTATTTCAACCTTCATTTCCCTCTCACCTGGTCTTCTGAAAGAGCTATTCCCAACTCAGGTGGAAGAATCCTTAAACACCACCAACCCAATTTGTGTTCACCCATCATCACTGCATCTCCACAGGGGTCAGCCAGTGGGAGGAGCACTGGCCAGAGACTGGCCAGGAAAGCCGCAGCGATCCTTGCATTAGCGTTGGGGAGAGACGGCCATTAAAAAAATAAACATGAAAAAGAGTTTTATTGTAAGTTGGGTAAGTGCTCTGCAGGAAAAGCTCTGTGTACTTCGAGATTGCTTAATCAGGGAAACACAATTTCAATGGAAGCAGTCAGAAAAGACCTCTCTGAAGAGTGACTTTTGACCTGATGGAGTCATGGTTTCCTCCTTAAAGCCTTTCATCACTTCCCCTTTCTGAAGATAAAGATAATCCAGGGCAAAGCCAGATGTAATTGGCTTCTGCTTCCCTTCCTGTCTAAATCCGTCTTCACTTTCTCCCCAGCTTTTCCCTCTCCAGCCACCCTGCTCTCTGTTCCCTGAAGATGTCACTGAGGAAACACCTTCTTGTCCCATTTCCCCCAGCCAATCCTCATCAGGTATGAATTAACATCACTTGCTCTAAGAAGCCATCCCGGAGCACCCTGAGGAGGATCCCCTGAGTGTGGTGTCATGTATATTGATCCTTCCTTATACCAAACGCTCTTGTAACCACCTCCTCAAAACCTGTTAAAACTCTCAACTCCGTATTTGTAGAGGAATGTCAGTCTTTTTTCTTAGTATAGCCCCAGGGCCTGGCTTATTAAAGGTACTTAACATGTAACTGCTACATAATCAAAGAAATAAATGAATTACTTCACTGACGTGGCTTTGTAAAGACCCAGAACCTCAGAATTAGAAAGGACCTCAGAAGTCATGTGCTCTTCCTCCCACCAAGTCAGACATGGCAGATATATCACAGTCTCTCCAAGCCTTGCACCTGTCTCCCTCGCTCAGCCACAAGCTCTTCACAGGCAGGGACAGCAGCTGATTCATCTTGGTATCTTCCTCCTCCACAGAATTATGAACCAGAGAGCTCCAAAAGGATCATGATCTCCACCCACAGGCTAGAAACTATGTGGGACGAAGCCAGCAAGTGACTTCCTAAAGGGATTTCAGCAGAGCTAACTGTGAATAGCCCCATCCAGACTCCTCCTGCTGAATTTCCTCATCTGCTTCGTTTCACGGACGCTCACTCCAAACTCGCGGCCGCCCTGCCCCGCCTGTCATCCCATAGTACCCAAGATTCCCACTTTACAGCATTCCATTTTCTTCCAAGAATTCCCCTCCAGGCATCACACTGTGCCCCTCCTGCTGGCCAAATGCCTAGAGACGCCCTGGCTTCTCCTCGGCACTGTGATCTGTTATAGGGAATTAACAAGGAGCCAAAGACTAGCACACGTGCACTCGCGCGCACACACTCACCTCAGGGAGCTCCAGAAACGGCGTTTTCTTCATTTCCCCGTCTTTGGGGCGGCCTCCAGCTTTAAGTCCTCCACTTTTGGCAGCAGCCTTTCCCTTTGGGAGAAAGACAAGCAACTTTAGAGTGATATGGAAATCTCCCCCTAAACATTTGCAAGCCTTGCAGGACTTGGAGCTGGTCCCAAAGCAAATTCAATCAGCCCTTTCTTCCCCCGACACTTGCTGCCTCCAGCTGAGCCCCATCTCATACAGTGAAGCCCAGTGAATGGGTGCACCTGATAAGTCCCGAGAGGCCCCAGCCCCACACCAAGAAAAAGAGCGAGAAAGCCACCACGAGAAAGGAGGAGTGGGGAGGGAAGGAAATGGGGCCAGGCCTGGGACAGCTGCCATACTGAGCCTGCTTTTGACAAAGGCCTCTTCCTGCACTGAGAAGGACCTTCAGCTAAAACATGAATTTACACGGCAAGGAAGTGATCCTGCTGGCCTGTGGGCCCAGTTCCTGAGCTTTTAAAGACTGAAAATGTTCAGCTTTTCAGTGTTTGACTCAGAAAGCCCTAAATCCCTCTGCCTTCTCAGATTAATAAATGATATTTGCAACTGGATACTGTGATACTGGTACTTCTCCCATCTCTTATCCATAAAAACCTAATTGTAAAACATTCACTGAATTCGATCCTCTAATGAGACAATGAAATTTCAAAGGATCCATAAAGACAGGCAGACGAAAGCCTTCAGTACACAGTCCTATGTGCTCTGAAAATATAACAGTACGTGTGTAATTGTGTCTTCCCGAGCAGTAGGAGAATGGGTGGGGCACTGGGAGTAGGAGAGGCAGAAGGACAGGAGACTGACCTAATGAACATAAGGTTGAATGTTGAACCCTAATTCCGCAGGGCAGCCACCCACGACAAAATCCAAGGTGTTGTCCTAATCCTTCTTCATATTGATGGTTAAGCAATATCTTTTCCAGCTGTCACATAAACTCCCTGACTGCCGTCAGTACACGCTAACCCAGGATTTCCCTAGCAAAGCTCCCACCAAATCCCATTACATCAAAATAAGTATCAACATATTCAGAGGATTTGTACACCCTTAAGTGAGGTCTCTCACCTCACACTGTCACAGTCTAGGCATCTAAAAAGAGTGAATCCAAGGGGAATTGAAAAACCGGATGATGAAACACCTCCCACGGTGCAGGGTTAGAACGCTATCTGCAGCCTTCAAGCAGCAACAAAGTGTTTTGTTGTGTTGAGTTCTGTTGTGCTTTTTGGTTGACTCAGGCCTGTGTGAGAGAAACGAAACATGAGCCTTGAAGCCAGTCATGAGTTTTACTCCAGACTCTGCTATTTTGTGACGTTAAACGTAGCACTTAACTTCTTAGCACCTTGGTTCTCTGGGATGGAAATAGGGGTAGGAGTGGAATAATACTTCTTTTGGTTTATAGGTTTTTAGGCTCGTAATTGTTATTATCAATGACATTTGTGTTTTGGGAGAGCTGCTGTATTCTCCACAACGTCCCTGTGATAGGCAGAAGATCTGAAAAGCCTGCCCTGCGCAGGTGAGGCAGTGCATCACTAGGACCTACACAGGTACAAGACCCAGAAAGCCGTATTTGCTGATCCTGACTGGTAAGTGACACAACATCCTCATGAACAATACACAATGCCTCAGGTGTAAACACAGATATCCTTTAAAGCAACCCAGTCATTTCCGAAGTGTGCTTCAGTGACTATCAACTATGGATTCCTACTCAGCTGCAACTTCTGATTTCCTAAATAAATCTTCCATCTCCCAAAAAGAAGACTGAAAACACATCTCTACCTCCCCATCAAGGACAGTCATCTCTGAGAAGGGACAGGGAGGCCCCAAGAGCACTGGTCAGTGACAATGTCCCACAGGGGGGCCTACTCCTGTTGCTGGTGCATTCTCACCATGGAGACACTCCCAAACCCCGGGCCCACACAGACAGCTCGGATCAAACTCATTTCCTGCCTGCAGTCTGTTTCACTCCTTCTAGGCCCCTTCTGCAGGAGCCCGAGGATGCAGCTGTGTTTGCACTAACATTCCTGCAAGGGGGAGAGAACATTGCTGCAAGGCAATAAGAGGACGATAATTAAAACAAACAATAAAATGAAAATTTCATCAGCATTTTCAAAATAGGAGTTTTCAACTAGCAGCATTTTGCACAGAGCTGGGACAATTCCATTCTGGCAGACATCCTAAATCCTTTGAAGCCGGGAGACTACCCGTGTCCTTTCAGGAGAAGAGCCTGGCGGGGAGCTCAGGGAGCCGGCCAGGAGAGGGTCTGTTGCTCATGGCCTGGATCTTCCTTTTGCTGTGAGTTTGCACTACGCTGCTTTTGCAATGAGATTTTGAGCACTCTGAAGTATCATGGCTCTCAGAGGCAGATAGGAAGAGAGGGGACATTCACTGGGCCAAATTGGGCCAATCATCTCTGCTTTGGGAAATCAGACGAATCCAAGCCAACTGGCTCCTGGGAAGAAGATGTATCCAAGCCAGACAGGACAAGGCTGAAACAAAAGCTAAAGAATTCAAAAGGCACAAAGGTAAAAGCCAGCCCTAAGAGCTAGCCAGCTATCCTTCAGCAGAGCCAGTTGGGCCAGAGAGCAGAACTTCCAGGGTTCAGAGCTGGCAGTGTAAAAACAGAAGGAAAATGGGAAGAGGCCAGGGAAGGGGGAGAGCTGGGGAAAGACAAAAGCAGGGGAAGTCTCCTGGATTTTCCAAAATGACCTTTGGTGACCACAGCGAGTAGCCAAGAGGCCAAGTTGCCACAGATGAAGTGAGGTCCAGTCCTAAGAAGGCAAATGTCTTTATCTTCCTAACAGCTAGAGTCTGCAGCCCAGCTGAACTGTGGTAGAATACAGGGACAGAGGGCCACTGAATGAGGCTCACAGCTGGTGCAGAATGGGAAACCCAAGGCCCCTCTACAAGGGGAGACATGCCCACGTGAAAGCCTGCCAACCAGAAATCTGCCAACTGTTTTTCAATTTGTTTTGTGTTCCTCAGTTTCCTTTTCAGGTAGGTCATATATTTAAAAACTGATTTTCATTTGGGAGGCGGAGGCTGGCGGATCATGAGGTCAGGAGTTTGAGACCAGCCTGGCGAATATAATGACATGCTGTCTCTACTAAAAATACAAAAATTAGCCAGGTGTGGTGGCCATGCCTGTAGTCCCAGCTACTCAGGAGGCTGAGGCAGAAGAATCACTTGAACCTGGGAGGCTGAGGTTGCAGTGAGCCTAGATCATGTCACTGCACTCCAGCCTGGTGACAGAGCGAGACTCCATCTAAAAAAAAAAAAAAAAAAAAAAAAAAATCCCTGACTTTCAACTCACAAAAAACATTAAAAAGTGGACAAAGGACATGAACAGACACTTCTCAAAAAAAGACATACAAGCAGCAAACATATGAAAAAACGCTCAGCATCACTGATCATCAGAGAAATGCAAATGAAAACCACGGTGAGACACCATCTCACACCAGTCACAATTACTATTATTAAAAAGTCAAAAAATAACAGATGCTGGCAAAGTTGTGGAGAAAAGAAAACGTTTGTACACTACTGGTGGGAATGCAAATTAGTTCCGCCCCTGTGGAAAGCAGTTTGGAGATTTCTCAAAGAACTAAACATAGAATTACCCTTTTACCCAGCAATCACATTACTGGGTATATACCCCCCGAAAAAAATTAAGCATTCTACCAAAAAGACACATGCACTCATATGTTCCTCACAATACTGTTCACAACAGCAAAGACAAGGAATCAACCTAAGCACCCATCAGTGGTGGATTGGATAAAGAAAATGTGGTACACATACACCATGGAATACTATGCAGCCATAACAAAGAATGAAATCATGTCCTTTGCAGCAACATGGATGCAGCTGGAGGCCGTTGTCTTAAGCAAATTAATGCAGAAACAGAAAACCAAATACCACATGTTCTCACTTGTAAGTGGGAGCTAGACACTGGGGACTCATGGACATAAAGATGGAAACAGTAGACAGTAGGAGCTACTAGAGGAGGGGGAAGGGAGAAAGGCAACGGTTGAAAAACTCCCTCTTGGGTGCTATGCTCAGTACCTGGGCGAACGGTTCTGTTGTACCCTAAACATCAGCATCACATAATATACCCTTGTAACAAACCTGCACATGTACCCCCAAATCTATAATATAAAAGAAACCTGATTTTTTTCGGATTACTAAAGCAATATAAGCAATATACATTCTCAGCAAAAAGGAAAAATTAAATACCAATTACCTATACTCTCCTCCAGCTCCTGAGATAACCCTTGTTTATATGTTGGTGTCTACTCTACATTTCTTATATATCTATATAATAATTATGGTCACAAGTTCAAAATCATAATGTACAATCTATTTGTAACCTCTTTCCACCCAAAATATCATGATCACTCTTCTTTGTTGCTTGTGTCTCAATCAACACTTATTTATGATAAATGAAACTCACTAAAACTAGATTCGGCCAGAGGGAATCCATCAGATGACTCAGGAACCTCACAGAACCCAAGAAACGACAGCTGGGACACAGGCTAGCACTGGGACGCCTCCCTGACACCCCAGGGCATGGCGTCCTCTCACTCTATCTGCTCAGCAGTGCCATCTCTGCAGCCCAGGCCCCTGCTTCTGTGTGTAGCAGCAGGCAGCGGCTGCATAGCCCACCAGATCCACTGGGCTTATCTCATCCTAAATGCAAAACACCAGCCTGCTAAACTCCCAATTCCAAATGCCCAAGGTCCGTAATCCGGCTGGCTTGGTTTGTCATCTCTACATCCTTGAAGTAATCAGCCATGGCTGGCGGGAGTGGGAGAGGCAGGGAATTGGTGTGCCAGGCCATTAGAGAAGTGGACTCACTTACAAATGTTATTTACTATTCCTTCAAAGGATATGCCAGGAAAACAGCTTGTATTAGTCAGGGTAGACTAACTGCTATTTACAGAAACCCCAAAGGCTTATTTCTTGCTCGTATCCCAGTCTACTGTGGACCAGTAGGGATGATTAGGAGCAGGTGTGGGGGTCAGGAGGGTCTGGGCTCCTTCCATCCCTGGCTCCCCTATCTTGTAGGGTCTTAGAGTCCTCTAGTGGACCTTTTGAACTCAAAAACTTAATCATGTCTGATCCATTTGCTTCCAGGCAGCTCCATTTGCAAAGCAAACACTCTCAAGATTCTTTCCTAGACATAATTCTAAGATGTGCTTGATTTCGTTGTCTCCTCCCTTACCTCCCACCTCTCTTGTTCTCAGCGGCTGTCTTGAGACTATGTGGAACAGTAGGCTTGAATGGGACAGCTGCATCCCAGTCTAACCTTCTGCTACAGGATTAAATCACTTTCTTCAATCGAAACATGTTATTGGGTCTCTGTCTCAATGCTTCTCAATCCCATCCCTTACTGTTAAGGAAGCAGCCAGCTTTTCCAACCCCTCTGGGGCAGACTGGATTTTCCCAAAACGGGCCATGGCCATAACAATCTTGCCAACGCCACGTGTTCTCCCAGAGCCTTGACACTCAGCCCACCATGAGGTGGAGCGTGATTCCCCTTGCTCTGCATATGGGCTGACCTTAGTGACTTGGTAATAACAACTGACATCAGGCAGAGGTGACACCACCTGACTGCCGAGACCAGGTGGTAAAGTGATAGAACTTCTGCCTGGCAACCCAGCCACCACGCTGTGAGGAAATTCAAATGAACCCACATGGGGAGACCAAAGGGAGAAGTCTATGTGGACAGGCACTGAGTCTCCAGGCAACAGCCAGAATCAGCTGCCAAACACACGAGTGAACCAGCCTTCTGATAATTCCAGTCACCAGCTTCAAGTCTTCCAGCAGAGCCCCAAACATTGTGCAGCGGGGACAAGATGTCCCTGCTGTGTCCTGCTGGAATTTCTGATGCACAGATGCCAGGAGTGTAAGAAATGGCTTATGCACTAAGTTTTAGGGTAATTTGTTACACAGCAATAATAGTTGGAACATGTTTGAGGCACCACACTTTTGCATTCTTCTTACTCCCTTTTTATATTACTTTTAAATCAGCTCATTATTTCCTAACTTCCTTCTTCTTGTGATACTTTGCCAAAGGCAGACAATAGAAGCCCACCACACATAAATATACACACACTGCTAATGTTCTATTTTCTAAACACTTCCCCTAGTGCTAAAATCTCAGGCACATGGTCTCCCTTCCAGATCATCACTGTGAAGTTCTACCAAACACTTTGCCACAACAACACAGGGCTTGACAGCCTTCCAGCCTCCTGGATGTGTCTCCTCACCACCCACAGCCTGACTATTAAGCCAATATCCCATGTTTTAGGCATTTCTATTATGGAAGCACCCACTTCTGGCATCAATATCTATATTATTCTGGGGAGACTAACTCCGGTAGCTAAGAATCCCATCATTCAATGGCTTAACACTATAGAGTCTTGTGGTCATTCATATTGTGATCCCACACGTGTGGGAGGGTCACAGCTCCCACACAGATGTCTTCTGTCTGGCTGATTCTCCATCACCAGCGCTCAGCAGCCTCCCCTGGGTCTTGTGCATCCTGCCAGTGTGGAGGATCACATGGTCAGTGCCTGGAAGTAGCACGCCTTACCTCAACCCACATTTCACTGGCCGCAACTCAGTCCTGTGGCCCCACACAACTATAAGGAAGGCTTATGTCAGCTGTGCCCCTGGGAAGAAGAAATGAGTTTATGAGCATCTAGCCATCACACTTCCACACTGCCCAAAGCAAGGCTGAAAGTCCAGTCACAGTAATATCACGCTATGTCTCTTCCCTAACTGTCCCCGTCCCAGAGTCCCTGCTCTGTGGGAGCCAGGCCTTCCCAGCAGCTCATTCCTAGGGTCTTGCTCAGGCTTGTCTAGATACTACTACAGTGGTATGCAGAATAGTGTACCAGCAGAGACAGCCACGTGCAAACCCCCAGACTCTGTGCATAGGTCACCTAGCATGGCAAAAGGGACTTTGAAGCTGTAAGTAAGGTTAAGCACTTTGAGTTATCCTGGGCTGTCCAGATGGGCTCTGTCTAATGACATGAGTCCTTAAAAGCAGAGAAACCCTTCCCGGCTGTGGTCACAAAGGAAGATGTGGTCAGAGAGATGCAAGGTTGCCAGCTTTGAAGACAGAAGAAGTGGGCCATGAGCTGAAGAACTCCAGAAGCTGGAAAGGGCAAGTGAATGCAGAAAGTGAATCCAGAGTGGAACACAGCCCTGCTGACACCTTGACCTTAGCTCAGCTGGACTTCCAACCTACAAAACTGTCTGATGATAGGTTTGTGTTTTAAGACCTCAGTTTGTGATCATTTGTCATGGCGGCAATAGAAAACTAATACAGCCAATGACTGCTCTTGGCGATAAATTCTGAGCCCCACACTTCAACAACAGAGAGCCCAGGGCCCCAGTAGGAATATACCTCATGTTCACAAACTAGCTTCTGCCAGACTGTGGCTGCCTTCTCCACACCCACGGCTCCACCCCTGTTCTCCTTACTCCCCTGCACCCAAAGCCCTGAGACTCAGGCCACCAGCCCTAAGGAGGCACTCTGGGCCACCCAGTCAGCACATGCTTGTCTCAGAGCCCTTCCCTGCTAAGCTTGGCCTCCGGCAGAGCAGCAAGACCGGAGGCCAGCCAGGGACAGCGTGTGCTCTGCCCAGAGGCCCTAAACCCAGAGTCGGCAGACCCAGCTGCACAAAGACAGAGGGATACACTGGTGTGTCCTACACGTGACCATGGGAGACACGGCTCTGGGCAGTGCTGGTCAAAATATGACAATGTGGCCACCATTCTCCCTACCACCCTCAACAACTCCCCTCAAGAAAGGGGTTGGAAATGATTCCCCCAGCAGATATGATGGGTGATAGCACAGCACGCCATACACCCTCCCTCACACGCCCAGGAAAGATGGGCTCTGTACGAGAACTTGCAGTTTAAGCCAAAACAAATAAATAAATGACGTGTGGAATTTTAGGCATGAGGTGAAAGGAGGATTATTTATCTTGGGGTCTTCCCAGAATGCCTTCAATAACCAATATGTTACCTGCCCATATGCAAGTGGAGTCTAGACCAGCCATGAAAATAGGCACAGTCCTTGGGGAAGGAGAGCCAGGCAGAAGGAAAGCAAGATAAGAACTGAAGACACAGGGAAAACTGCACAGTGGAGCTGGAGAACCAAAGCTAACCCTGTAGGTCAGAGACGGCTCAGGAACTGGGTAGTTCTCAGGCTAACGCAGGGGAAATGAAATCTGTGGGGTTAAACGTGTGCTCGAAAGTCTATGGGTGGGAAGAGAGCAGAGTGCAGCGGGAGGCGACATGGTGGATGAATCTGCACGGGGCAAGGCCCCTGTTTCACAGGACTCTGGTATGCAGTTAGGTTGCAGTTTCTGCCACCAGAGTAGGCCAGGAGCCACACACACAGCGCATCCAGCAGCCTACCCACCCGGGAGCCTCCGCTGCTCCTTCTGGAGTCACAAGCTCTGGCAGCCCCCACCTCTCCACTCCTGGTCCCTCCCAGATCCGTTCTCTTTGGAGGTTTTTCCCCAATTCCCAGGGCAACACCCCACCACCACCACCCACCGCCACCCAGCCATTCCACTGGATGGGACAGATGGTGGCCTGGGACCACAGAAGCTTCCCAACTCTGTAAAGTCTTGGGATGTCCTCCCAACAGCCCTCCAAGTCTTGGAGCAACCTCTCCAGATCTCTGGGGAATTCCTGACACAAGCCCATCGGGATTCCCTCTGATGAGCCATAAAAATTGATTAGCATAATTAGATCAGACATACTATGATATCATTATGATCTCCTCTGCTGTCTCGCCCTTCATTAATAAAACACACACTCAAAATGCAACTGTCTAGTCCCATCTCTGCTGGCCCTGAAAGTGGTCCTGTTGGAAGAGATGGAGAGACAGTAGGACTAGCTAGTGACTTCACCCTATCAGCATTCCCATTCCCTCATCCCTCCTCTTGCTGCACCTGTCTGCTCCAGCCTTGCTGGATGAGGGAGGAGCAGGCCTGCTGGGCACCAGGTCCCTGCAGGAGGAGAACTGCACAGTGAACCTGGAGAACCAAAGCTAACCCTGAGGATCAGAGACGGCTCAGGAAAAGACTTTCCCAAGGCCAAAGGTGCATCCAGCCTAGACGGCGTCAGAAGCCGAGTGGGTGTGGCAAGCTTGGCAGCACACGCAATCTAGAGACGGCAGCAACCGCAACGGTGAAGGAATATTCTGGGCTGACCCATAGACGGCGGTATCAGGGGAAGTGAGAACTGAAAGTGCCTTACACATCACTGGGGTCCCTCCATTTAACCAAAAATTATCAACAGGCCTTTGTTCCTCAAAGCCCCTTTTGGCTTCATCTCTATTCCAACTGTTCAATGGCCCAAATTTTGGAACTCTCTTCAAACATTCTACTGAGAAAGAAATCTCGTTATTTCATGAATAAACAGGCCGAGGCCACAAGACTCACAGGTGGGGTCGACAGAACCTGCTGCCAGGAGTCCAGTGTCCTCTCAGCTGCACACGCGCGTGACTGTCCAAGGAAACTGGTAGGAAAGAAGTGGAATAAAATGGATTGTTTTACAGCAAAAACCATCCTGTGCTTTCTTACCTACAGAGGTACCATTTCATGACCTCTGAGATGAGGGGTCAAGTTCAAAATATATCAACAGTGAAAAGACACAAGAAAAAGCAGAGAGGTTTTCTTTTGTGAGAATTGGTGTTATTAACAACGGCTCTAACAAGTAGAAGCAACGTTTACTGAGCACTTCCAGCATGCCCAGCCCCTGCCAAGTGTTCCTTCATGCGTGCTACTTGTTAATCCTCACAACAGCCCTGGGAGAGATGTACTGTTATTGCCCCATTTTCCAAGGAGGAAACTAAAGAACAGAAAGATAAACTGCCTTTCCCAGGCTGCCTAGTTGGTAGAGCATCGGGCTGGGACTCCAACAAGCCCTGAGGCCGCTAAGCCCATCTGTTTCACTGCAGCTCCAAAAGCCCAGGTGCTTGCCTTTAGCCTCAGTCTTGCAGGGAAGATCCAGACACCTCCAATCTAGTCTCCAGACAGGGATCTGCTGAATGCACCCTGAGTTTCCTGCATGGCATGGCCCTAGGCACTGAACACTTCAGCAAACAGAGCAGGCAAACTCTCTGCTGTCTTTGTGAAGCCCAGCAGTGCTGAGAGACAGACGATGAACTCAAAACTTAGAAAATCACACACTCTGTTGGAAGGTGGTGAGGATGAATGCTATGGGGGCAAGGGAAAGGGGAGACGAGAAATGCAGAGCAGTCTAATTTTAAATAGAGTGTTCAGGGAAGGCTCGCCTAGAAGCTGACATCAGAACAAAGGCTTGAAAAGGTTAGGGAGTGTGCACAGGGTGTAGAGCTTGTTCCCGGAAAAGTTCTCTCCTCCCAGGCCTGGAAGATCCATCCTCATTTCACAGAATCCCCAAATGAGAAAAGAGATACAAGCTACGTGATAGTGCCTGGCACATAGTAGGTATTCACCACATGCCCCTTTCCTTTCCTTCTAAGGGGGATGGGTTTTCCTTCTAGGAAGAATATTTGAAGCCAGTTCAGAAATGTAGGCACTGAAGAGCTGGAAGAGAGATAAAAGGGGCTTTGAGAACAAAGACCCATTGATAATTCTCAGTTAAGCAGAGGGACTCAGCCCCGTAACAAAGATCAAATTAAAGACACTTCCTTCTCTTCCATGACGGGATGAATGGTGTCCCCTAAGTAATCATATGCTAAAGTTCTCATCCCCAATAACCCGGAATGGGACCTTATTTGGAAATAGGGTCATCACAGATGTAGTTGTAAAGAGGTGGTCACACTGGAGCGGAATGGCCCCTATCCAATATGACTGGAGTCCTTATAAAAAGGAGAGATTTGGACAAAGAGGCAGACACACGAGGAGAATGTGGCATGAAGATGAACGAAGAGGCTGAGGTGACATAGAGAAGCCAAGGAACACCAAAGATGGCCAGCAAACCTCCAGAAGCTAGGAGACAGGCATGGAGCAGCGTCTCCCTCCAGGACCTTGGCCCTGGGCAGGAGCACCCCTGCTGGCACCTGGATCTTAGGCTTCCAGTCTCCAGAACTGAGAGACGGTTCATTTCTTTTGTTTAAGCCACTCAGTTTGTGGTACTTTGTTATGGCAGCCTAGCAAACTCATAACTTCCAAGCCTATTGTTTCTGATGTCTCATTAAACTGCGAGGGAGGGCGGCTCCGGGCGGAAAAGAATTTAAGTACGCTTGAGGATGAGATCTTGGAAAGAACTTTAGCTGCTGATACTAGTATTTGGAACTGACTGGAAGCAAATAGTTGAGAAACCTACCAAGTTTATGAGGGAATTGAATACCAAAGAAACTGTTTGCTGGCCTAAAAGAGCCTGTGAGTAAAAAGTGCCCATTAGTCGGAAGCAGACATATGCCCAGATGCCCTCCTTGGTGTCCAATGTGACCACGGAGGGGGTGGATAAGGAAGTGCCTCCTAGAGGGTACACAGGGGCTCTGAAGGACGATGGACAAGGACATCTCTCACAGCGAGCAGAGGCAGGTCTCACCATGCAGCAGCCCCACTGCCAGGGTGGAGCTCCTCACATTGCCCGCCAGCAAAACTCCATCGCATCCATGGATGTGGTGTATCACCCACGGACACTGGCCAGCTTTCTCATCCTTGCATCCCAGTTCTATCTTGAGGGCAGATAAATTGCCTTGCTAGCTTGGAGCTCGCCAGACCTTGAGAAGCTACACGAAACTTGAGGGAAAAGACTGCCCCCTTGAGGCCAGGGTGTGCGAGCATGTTCCGCACAGGACAGAGAGCAACACAGATATTTGACCACCTGGAGGGTGGCCAGCGGTAGAGTTTCCCAGCTGTGCCCCAGCACCCAGCTTTCTGTTTTGCTCCTTTCTGGGCACACAGCAAGACTGTCCTCCCTTGTAGTGAAGCATGGCCTCTCAGGACAGCGCTCGCCCATGGAGCGTGAGTCACAGTGATGGGTGCCTCTTCCAGATCAAGCCTTCTAAGAGGTGTCTGCAGCCCCTCAGCTCTCTTTCTCCTCCCACCATCTAGAGAAATAGGCAGCAAGGCCCTAGGAACTCACGGGACCATGCGATGAACACTCCTAAGCGCCTGAGGCATCGTGAGATGGAACCCCATCTGCTGATCAGAAATGCCACATCCAACTGTTACACGGGCAAGAAAGAAATGTCCATGCTACTGAGTCACCAAAATTTCAGAGCAGACAGTGTTACCTTACCTAACAGAGGCGGTCCTCCGAATCTGCAGGTTTCATATCTGCAGATTCAATCAACTGTGAATCAAAAATGTTTTTAAAAAGTAACAATATAACGATAAAGGTAATTCAAATCCTAAAATACAGCATAATTATTTCCATAGCATTTGCTTTGTATTGAGTATTATAAGTAATCTAGAGATGATTTAAAGTATATAGGTGGACGTGCATAGGTAATCTGCAGATACTATCACATTTTATATCACAGACTTGAGCATCTGTGGATTTTGGTATCCAAGGGGGATCCTGGAACAAATCCTCCTCAGATACCGAGGGACAACTGGATATGCAGTGACTCAAAGTTGGGGATAGCAAGAACTCCTCTGTCAAGGGGCATCATGGTGTCACAAGATAAGCCCTGGATCAGGATTCAGTTCTAGAATCAGCCCTGCCATTAACCAGCCTATGTCCAGAACAGGTCAGGGGACTTCCCTGAAGAAGGGAGGTCCAATCCAGAAGTGTGGTTTTCAAGCTTTCCCCTCCTCAGGGGTGCAGCAGTGGTGTGGGCCCAGGGCTAAGCAGACAGGCCTCCAGACAATGCCTCCCAATGGCCAGAATTGCCTGCCCCTGATTGTGAGGCATCTGTGGGCTACCCAGTGAGATTTTTATCTGAGGAAATGAGAGCGTGATGGTGTGCTGATGGGAAGGACACCAGAAGCCCCTGTGCCAAGGGCATCTCTGAGGACCTTGTGTCTGCCTTGTGCAATCAAAAATTTCACCCTCTCTTGTTCCCACTTACCCCAGGGTCCCCAGTGGGTCGTGTCACAGAGTCAGAATGCAAACCTGGCTCCCTGAAAATCGGATCTGAGCGTGCACTCAACCTGTCCTCCCAGCCCTGCCAATGAGGGTCACTGGCACTTCTCAGAGAGAGGGGAAAGATAAAAGGCACTCACAAAGCAGAGGCCCCAGGGTGGGCCGGACATCCTCCCTCCACCAAGTGCATGGCTGTACTGAATCCCCTGACCCTGCACCACAAGCAGCGTGTTCCCTCTGATGCACATGACAAAGCCGAGGCTCAGAGTGATGTATGACCTGCCCAAGGTCACACTGCTAGGCAGCACAGCCAGAAGGGCAACCCGTATCTGGCCAACTCCAAAGCCCTTCATGCCAAACCAATGCCACGTACACATGCCCTCCATCTGGTCAGTGGAAGGGCCTGGTGCTGAGTTTTCTCTCTGCCCCTTCACATGCCCTCACTGCACTGTCCTTGACCACCAGGATGGAAAGGAGCCCCCTCCTCCACAACCACCAGGAGCTGCTCTGGAAGGTGGTGCCTATGGCTGGGCACAGGGATGGTCCCGGGGTCCAGGGGAGGTCGTTCCTTGCTGCCCTGGAAGCGGTGGATGAAGCACGCAGACCCATCTGCCCTCTAAGGAGTGCTCAGCACTTTTCACATGTAAATATCTCAAATATTCACTATGCTTTAAAGTAAATGTGCATATTTTTATTTCTTGGTATGAAGCCATTTCAAACATTACCCAGGGAATCTGGGTTAACCACCCTCTCTGCTGTTTGCCTATTTGTGTTTCATTCCTTCCTTCCTTCCCTCCCTCCCTCTTCCTTCCTTCTTTCCCTCCTTCCTTCATATTTTATTTAAATTTTTTGTCACCCTATATCTCCTCTGATATCAGTGTGTTTCAGTGCTCAGACTAGGTAAGCTAATTATAATTGCAAATATCCTGGATAAAGAACATAAAAAATCATTTTAAAGTCAAATAATTATTTTATTGTCTTCTCTTCTATATTGCCCATTAGTAATTACAAATCAAGATTTAGTTGAGAACAGGAATGCCCAATCCTAACGAGGAGGATCACAGTTTACGGAACACAGTCATGTGCACAGATTGTTTTCAAGGGTCACCTCTGTGGAACAGGCCTCAGGGCAGCTGTCATTATCCCCATTTAACCAGTGAGGAACCTGAGTCTCCAAAACTATTAAGTAAATGTCTTGAAGGGATACAAAGTAGCTTCAAAACAAATAAAGTTTGCTGAAGACCCCTTTGCCCACAGCTCTGTGGCCAGGCCCCACGGCTGGTGAGGGGTAAGGGCCCGCCCCCCCCCCGGGCACAGGAGCCAGCCCTCCTTCCTGAGTCCTTCCTGCATCCTCCAGGTCTCCTCTTAACCCTGGGCTCTCCTCTCACATTTAGTTGACAGAAGGTGAAATTAGAGGTTGTTTTTCATAACGTTAACAAAGACCAACTCTTCCCAAACACCAAAAAGATGGGAGAACTGTAATACCGAAATTTTTTTTCTTAAAACTCTTCCGACAAAGTATTCCAAGGGTGGCATTGTCATCTTGAAAGGGCATTTAATGTGTCTCCGTATTCTCGGGCCCCTCACCCTTGGCCTCTAGATGGAGACACCCCGCACCCCGCTCCCACCTCCCCTGCTCTCCACACCACTCGCCCACAGGCAGGTCCAGCCCAAAGTCTGGAGGAAGAGCAAAAAAGTTTTAGCATCAGAATCCTCCAACACATGACTTATTTAGTGGCACTGAGTAACATGCGGGTGTATTTCAGTGTTTGGGGGCAAAGATTGAACTTAGAAGTGGGCTTGTCTTAGAATATTAATGTCAGAGGTGGAGATGGAAGGGATGAGGCAGAGAAAGCCAGAGAGGGAAAGAGAGCTGTCTCCTTCTGTCAGGCGCGAGCTCTGGAGCAATAGAGATATACTGGGAGTTCAATTTCTGTTTGCCTGAGCCAGGGAGAAAATCTAATTAAATATGGTGTCTGAGTTTGGAGAAGCCAGGATGGGGCTGGAATATAAAGTGTGGCAGCTACCCATAGATCAGAGGGCAATATTAATAAACCCACAGAAAGGGACAGCAGGATCCGCTGGTGGTATTGATAAAATGCAACGCAAAGACAAAGCAGGCTGGGGAATATTGCATGATAACGCCGATAAAAGCGCACCAGGGATGCCACCCCCACCGCGGTGGACCTGGGACTGCTGTTCCAGGAAGCTGGTGCATGGCGGCCGCTCCCCTTCCCTATTCCTCTTTCTCCTCCTCTTCACCCTGACTCTGGTCTCACCTCTGTTTCCCACAAACATGCGAACTCAGCATCAATGAGTTTTCCGAGAACTACTGAAGCCAGGATAGGAGATGAAGAATTAACAAGAGGGATAAATGAGTCTCCATTTCAGCAGAGAATGTTTGGAGAAGGAAGAAATCATAAAGGCTGCAGAACTCCTTTCTTTGCAAACTTCCAGAAAGAGCTGGTCGCATATCCGGCTCAAATAGAGGAGGGTCTTGCATGGAGGCTGAAATGTCTTTTGAAAGACATTTCCACAGAGGTCACTTGAAGGCAGCCCTCAGCCTCCATGGAAGACTCTTCTCTATTTCAGCCTGATATGCAACCAGCCCTTTCTGGAAGTTTGCAAAGTGCTAGACACTCGCAGAATTCCCCAGCCCTCTGACACTCCAGACCCAAAGGAGGAGCCTTGGGGACGTGCAGTTTTCAAAGAACCCTCAGAACTCCTTGAAGGTGTTGGAGCACAGTTCCAGGGTGAAATCCCTTGGAACCAGCTGGCTCTTTGTCATAGATCTTCTGCCTTCTCAAGAGCTGTTCTCGAAGGGGTTGGAGATGGGGGGCTTTTCCTCATGGGCAGAAGCACCACCACTGCAGCCCTCCCCACCATGCACCCCAATCTTTCTCAGGGCCCCCATGCAGTTGCAGTGAGGCTCTCAGATCTTAGCTGAGTTAATGTCATTCTTTTGTCATCTGTACTTAATTGCCATCAGCTGGTATGTTATGATTTCGCCTGATTTTCCTAAGCTTTCTGTGTTATAGCTAGCATCTGCCTAGAGTATTTTCAGCAATTTTTATTGTGTATTAATCTGTGCAGTCTATAATGCTGCATTATTTCCAGGGACTGTATGTGTGACCATAATAATAGTGGCTCTCGAGAAGTCCATTTCTGCTCAGATCTGATTCAGGTTTGAATCTATACCTTGACCTCCACATATCCTACCTCCACAGATAGTAGCATCCTCTTCTTTGGAAGTGAATTTGTATCAGAATGTTTCTGTTGAAGGCCAGCACTCGCTGGCTGTGTATATTCATCCCTCTAGTCTCTGAGCCTCCATTTCCTGGTCTGTTGAATGGGAATAATAAAAATTTCAACCACTCTGGATGGGCTGTGAGGATCAAGTGAGGTAATCAATGGGGAGAGTGTTCTTCAGGTTCTGAGAATGTTGTCTGATGCTTGCCTGAAGAAATGGAAATCCATTCCACAATCAAGAGAGGCCTAATTATTGTGATAGCAGCTTGCATTGGTACTGTGCACCCTAACTTCAAGTGGCCCTTATCAAACATGTCGTTTGTCCTTGACAATATCTGATGAGGTCTAGAGGCACCGTTTCATTTTACAGATAGGAAAACTGGATTACAGAGCCCAGTAAGAGATCTTTTCAGATGCAAAGATGATCCTAGCCACTGCTTTAAACTTCCACCTTGGGAAAAGGGCAACCTGGAATCCTAATCAGAGCCCACAGCCAGCATCTCCCGGCCAGACTCCTCCACAGCTCCTCCTGGGCAATCAGCCCTCACTCTCCACACAGCTGTGTTGCCTTGTCCTAGGGGCTTAACATCACTCAAGTCGCACTGCATCCCATCCCCTCTATTCCCTTGCTCCCTCTGCTGCAGCCACAAGGGTTGATTCTTTCACAGACCAGGCCCACCTGTGCCTCAGGACTTAGCACATACTGTTCCCTCTGCCTGGAACCCCCTTCCCCAGATACCTACAGCTCACTTCCTCACCTCATAGGGGCCTGTCCCCAAATGTCACCTCCTCAGCAAGGCCATCAGTGACCACGTTCCATAAAAAAGCAACTGCCAGCCATCCTCTCCACGCTCTGCTTTACCATTCTCCAAAGCATAGAGTACCACGGCTTTCTATCTATTAGATCAGCTCTCTCTAAATGTGGTGCCCCTCCCTCCACTAGAACCTGAGAGCAGGGACGTTCTCCTACTCACCACTACAACTTCAGAGCTTATAAGAGTGCATATATGTTCCTTGGCTTATTCAATAGTTCATTATATAATTTTTTTTCAATGAGTTTTAGAGAGATTAAGTCACGCATCCTTGACTTGATTACACATTTAGGAAGTAACAGAGCTGGGACCTCAAGTTCAATGTTTTCTACCATATGAAAATCTAAACTCTGAATAAATACAACTCAGGGTGACCATGATGTAGAGAAGACTCCCATGGTCAAATACATCCTGCAATGACTGAGGAAGCCATTTCCCCTACAGACACTCACTTGTGTCCCAGAACACTTCGGGGCAACTTGAGGTGGGAGAATCAGAGGAAGCCAGACCTGCCAAACTCAAGGGACCATGACCAAGTGACCCACATGTGCCAGGTCCCTCAGGAGCAGCTGGTGGGCAGGCTCTTGTTTGAAGGAATTCTTATCCCTCTTTGCCAAGCACAGCTGTATGAGTGGCAGATTTGCCCGTTCCTGCTCTTTTTGTACCCAGATCATGAAGGGCTTATTCTTAGCAACGGAGCAAGCCCACTGATGGGGATCATGATGCTGAGGGTGAGACCTGTGGATGGCAGAGAGAGCAAGAGAGAGGGAGAGGGAGAGAAAGAGAGGGAGAGAGGGAGAGAGAGAGAGAGATGGAGAGAGAGACAGAGATGGAGAGATGGCATCAAAAGAGACTGAGACATGAGAGAGAGAGAGAGACAGAGAGTACCACACGGGGAAGGAGATCTTGCAAAGCTACTCTTGCTGGTCTTCCTCTTGGTTTTCATGCCCCCTGGAAAGGCCTTTGTGTTCAGTCCTAAGCATACACCACAACTCCAAAAGCTCCATCCTGAGGCTATTGATTACTACAGGAACGGTCACCACAGTGATCTTTCAAGAGATACTTTCTATGGCCAGGGTTCACTCAGAGGACCTGTCTCACAGCCATGACAGAATTCCATCCAGGGAACGACACACACTGTTTGCGACTGGAGCAAGCCCACTCATGGGGATTATGATGCTGAGGGTGAGACCTGTGGATGGCAGACAGGTAGAGAGAGAAATAGATGGAGAGATAGCATCAAGAGAGACAGAAACAGAGAGAGACATGAAAGACAGAGAGAGGGAGGAGAGGAGGTGGAAGGGAAGGTTCATGGAAGGATGGAAGGATTAGGAATGCAGGTAGGGTGTCACATTAGCCTGGGTCTGAAAACATAACATGCAAATCGGTTGGCTTTTTAGTGGGGTGGTTCGGGCTACATTGAATCAGTTCAACCTCTATTGAGACCATGAAGATGGACAAGACCCAAATCTTGCCCTAAAGCATCTTACAATGCAGTGAGCCTGACAGGCCCATAAATGGCTGGCGGAGGAGAGTGGGGAGGCAGGGAAGAAGGGGGAACTATTTTTAAACATAATATAAAAAGAAACTATGCTAAATATATAGACAGTGAGACGTCTTAATATATAGACAGTGAGAAGAACTTAATCTTGGTGGAGAGCTGGAGGCCAGGAAAAAAGAGGACACATTTCACAGAGGATGTGGCATTTGAGTTGACTGAGAAAAGGCATGTGGAATGGCATTCCCGCCTGAACAGCTGAAGACTTGGAGCCTAGGAAGAAGAAGGAGGCCACGGGGCAGGACCCACAGACTGTTTCAGAAGCATAGGCCTCATCTGTCTGGGATGGATTAGGTGAACTCGGAGATGTCATCTCGTCATCTAAAATAACTCTATGGAGTATGGCCTGAAGAGAATTCCATGCATCCAATCCCTGCACATTGGTGGCTTACTGAGGACAGGAGTATGTTTGTATTCCAAACCCAACTTACCCGTGCAAACCCTTGAGGCTCCTGGGGTTGGAACTGGGAGGGGTCTCAGATTCAGAGGCTTGGCAGGGAGGCAGCTGCTGCCTGCACTGTCACTTTCCCTCTCCTGTTGCGGAAAGGAAATGATACATTTCTGCCCATCAGGAATTTAAGTTTGTTCATTGGCAACATTCATTCTGAGTCTTCTCCCTGCTCCTTCAAAGCTCTGGGTGGTGGATGTCTCGATGGAAACAGTTTTTCTATTTTAAAACATTCCCCCAAGAGTAGGAGTGAAGAAAGAGCTACGATCCCTCCGGTGTTGTACTGATCTCGGCAGCATTTATTGAGGCACTTAACAAACGTGCAGAACACTGTTAGAAGCTCTGTGTGCAACTGCTCTGTCCCTGCCATGCAGGTGTTATTATCATTCCCATTTCACCTGTGAGCTTAGAAACATGAATGGGCTTGTCCAAGGCCACACAGCCAATCCAAGGTTTAATGACTCAACACAATTTATTGAGTGTCTACTATATGCCAGGCACTGGGTGGTTCCCAAGGTCAGCCCATCTGGGATCCGTGGCACAAACCCAACCTGAGGATGGGAGAACAGGCAGGCCTCAGAGGACTGGACAAAGAACAGTCTAACACCATGGTCTTGGCCAGACCCCGAGGCAGGAGGCAATGAAAGTATCAAACCATAACACCCTTCCCAACTCCAGTTCCTCCCAACAATTTTGGCTCAAACCAACTCTGGGTGGTGAGGGGCTCTAACTGTCCCATTTTCTAGAGGGGTAAGCTGGACACACTGAATAACTCGCCTCTTCTCTTTGGAGAAAAGGGGTGCAGCAGGGGATGGAGGCATAGATAACATGAATGACCACCAGTTCTGCCCAGAGATGGTGCTGAGGATTTGCATGCAGTGCCTCACCTAATACCAACACTGAGAGAAGGACATTATTAACTCGCAGATGGAAAAACGCCATGTCTAGAGAAGTCAAGTGACGTAAGCATTGCCACACAGCTCAGCAAAGGCATGGCGGCACGGACACGGTCCTGTGGCCCCCATTGCTTTCTCCTCCCGTGGCCCACATGACTCCCTAGACTGTTGGCCACAGGCCCTGAGAAAGGGGGCCAAATGGTGCAAATTCAAAGAAAAGCACCCTTTTCTTTCATTTTATAAGGCATCATTTGACCTTGAGGCCCAGTGGAGTAAAGTGTGTGCACACGTGCAAAGGCACACACACCCTGCGTGCACGTTTCTGCAATATGAGTGGTGACATTGTCCTGTGAGGCTCAGGGAAAGACTACACCCATGCTGCTGGTTGGGTCTCTTCCCTGTAGAATGCAGGACCAACCCCTTCAGAAAGAAGGTTAGATTAAAGCCAAGGGATCCAGGACCAGGGGCAGGGGGTGCTTAATGGGCTCAAGTTGGGTGAGATTACCCGCTACCTGCTCAACCAAATTGTTTATAACTTGTGTCTCTCTGTTTCTCTCCTTTTTGTTAACTCTCCTGGACCAAAGCAAGGCAGAACACCTGGGGGTGGCCACAAGTATAATTAGCAAAAGATGTTCCAAAGACCAGGTGAAGGGCAGCTGAAGTAAGCAGAATGTTCTCCTGGTGCTGATCGTGGAGTTGCCAAGTTCTCTTCCACTGAGAAAAACAGCATGCTTTATCCTTGTGTATCTAGACCCTGGCCTGAGGATCTTTAATAAGTACCTCCTGGAAGGGAGTCCCATACCCAGGAAGGTTGGAGAAGCTCCACTTTGCTGCAGCCTTTGAGGAAGTAGATGCAGGACCTGGGTCCCGAAAGGGGGTTCCACAGCTCTGGGACTCTGATTCATGGTGCTGCTCCTTCTTTTGTCCACCCCTGCCCTTAGGGTCCCCTGTTCCATCCCTCCTGCAAGACATCCTAACTGACTGAAGAAGCCCCGAGGGGTGTGCAGGCACAAACTGTGGTTTTGTGGCATGGCAAGGTGAATCCACTTCCCCAGAAGTCAATACCAGTCCCCGCTGCAACACAGCCCAATCTCACTTCTTCCCTCAGAATAGAATAGAAGGTCTACTGTCCACTGCTCACTCCCAAATCCTGGAGTCAGTTCTGCCCACGGTGGGTAGAGAAACTTGTCCCCACCAGAAGAACAAGCACAGGGCTAGCTGCAGGAGCTAATGGGGGTGTTCTGGTATCTTGTGCACAGGGTACTTAGTGGAAAATGAGCAATCAGCAGCTGGGGCATGAGTGGGGGGTGGGAGGGCACCATCCAGAACCTGGCAACCTGCACCACTAGATCAACAGCATCACCTGCTGGCCACAGGATGCCACACCACTCTCCTCCCATTCTAGGCCCCAGAGAGCCCTCCCTCAGGGGGCACAAAGACGCAAAGAAGCCCCCTCCTCAGAATGCCAGGAGTCCTGGGTCCAGCAGGTCCTCAGGGGAGCCCCTCTTTGAAGCCCGTAGAGCCAGGACTCTGATTCTCCTTTGAAAATATGCAGCCCCCATGTTGACCAAACATGAATCTCTGACAGCACACCCCCTCCTACACCGGCTCCCAAATGCACACCTAATATTTTTATTTTTCCTAAATGTTTGTCTGTGGTTCCCCAACATCTTTAGAGGCCCTCATAATCTTTTCCCTTCCAGTATAAGCTCCTAGAGAGCAGTGACTATTTCCTTCTGGACTGACTAGATCACCGACTCACATTACAAAAGGCTTAGGAAAGTGTTTTATGAACGTGAAGACTAACAGCCAGCAGTCATTGGTGCTGGAAAGGGCTGTGCTATGGCTGGTGCCTCTTCCCGGGTATAGGAATCCTCATAGCTACCCTGTACTGAGGGTCTACCAAGTGGCGGGCATGTGATGCCCCCTCTACCGAGATGCTATCTCACTTGATCTTCACCAGGACTCCAGGACACAGAAGCACAGAGAGGTGAAGCCATTTGCTCAAAATCTCACAGCCGCTAAATGGTAAAGCCAGGGTCCGAGGCCTGGCAATCCGAAGGTGGAAGCCGTCTTAGCAGTTATGCTACACTGCCTCCCAGAAGCCCACATGGGCACACACGCTGCTGGTAAGCACATCTTCCTTGCTGAAAGCACGCCACAAGCAGCTGCTCACTCAGCCTTCCCGCCTCCTCCTTAAAAGGCAGAGACTGCTGTACCTGCTTATAAGGCAGAGACTGTTGTACCTGCCCTTTTCCCTGGAATCCTGCTCACGTACCAGGTTTCCCTTGCATGACCCGCTCAGCCTTCATTTTCGGGACCTCCAGGCCTGCCCACGAACAGGTGCCTATGAAGACACAGAGAACGAGGGCCCTGAAGGGCGGAGGAGGCAGAAAACTGATGCGAGCGCTAAGAAACAGCAGCGAAAGCCCACCCAGTCGTTTACTCCTTCCACGAATATTTCCTGAGCACCGATGTCACGCACCGTGTCTGGGGCAATGGGGAAACGGCAGTAAAGGAGGAGGCGCATTCTAACAGCCGCGACGGTCCGCGGAGAGAAGGGGGCGACTGACCTCGCAGAGCGGCCGTGCCCACAGGGCTGGGAGGGCAGCTGCGGGTGTGGACTTTCTGCACTCACCGCCCGCCCCGCGAAGTCCTGCCCTGTCCTCCCCACCGCGATCAAACCCACCGGTTGGGGACCTTCGGGCTGCGGACCTTGTTGTGGTCCAGAGGCCCAGAGAATAAGCTCGAAGGAGGCTGACGGGGGAGGGCAGTGGCTCCGGGAGCGAGCGGGGACGGGCGCTGGGCTGGGAGGGGGACGCGGGGCTGCGGGGGATGCGAGGCTGGGGGGAGGAGCTGGGAGAGGAGCCTGGGACTGCGGGGAGGGGCGGCGGGAGGAGCCCGGGGCCACAGTCAGGGGAGCCTCGCGGGCGAGGAGGGGGAGGGGGAGGGGGATGGAGGGTGCGGGGGTGAGGGAGGGGCGCGGGGTAGGGGGTTCAGGGGTGCGGGGGTGGGGGAAGGGGTGGGGACCCCGAGCCGCCCGGTGCCCCGCTCCGGTTCCGGCTGGTTGCGGCGAAGTTTCCCAACTCGCCGAGAGCAGCTGCTGCCTTCTCTTGCGTTTGTTTTTCCCCTCTCGGGATGGAAAATGAATTTCGAGCATCGCTGCGGAGCCTGCCAAGTAATTGGAAAACATGTCGAACACTGCGTCTGGCTGCCGGGCGGAGGCGGGGTGGCCTCCCCGGTCGAGGTTCCCGGTCCCTCAGGGCAGGGTGGTGCCGCGCCCTCCCCAGGCCGGCCCGCGAAGGGAGAAGCCGCAGAAGCCTCTGGGCGTCGGGCCGGGGGTCCCTCGGGCCCGTGGATGACGTGGGTCAGTGGCCGAGCGCTGCAAGCCGTCGCACGGTCGCCTGGTGGTGCGGGCGCCTCGCCCGCCCTGGCCGCTGAGCCCCGAGAGGGTCTGGGCTCCCGTGGGCCACCCCACTCCGCGGCCGCGCGGCGCCCTGATCGCGCGTCTCAGGCCCCGCTGGAACCCGGGGCCTCCCTGCCCGCTCCACTCCTTCCCGCGGCGCACCCCCGCCCTCCGCCTGCCCCTGCCCTGCTGGCCCCCCGCCAGGCAGCCTCTCCCGCATCGGAGACCACCCGCCCGGTTTTCATGTCCCGGTTTGGCTGGGTGTCTAAACTCCGCCTCTCGGGATGGGACAGAGCCCCACCCCACCTCGCAGTGGACACCCCAGGACAGTGGCTTGGTCTTCACAACACTGGGTGCGGTTCATGGAGCAGCACCTCGCATTGCTCCCTGCAGTGACCCACGCAGGAGGCCGCCTGCCCTGGTGGACGTGGGCACACCCTCCCTGTCTCTCTGGTGTTCCCGAGCTTGACTCTGCCTGGACGAGTCTGTCTCACATGAGACCCCCCTGTCTCTGTCCAGAATTAACAAGGTCCTATTAGGAAGTGACCTGCAAGACAGAGACAGGCCAGCACCGCACATTGCCACCCCCACCAAGCAGTCCCTTGATAGACCTCCACCTGCGGCCTCCTGGACTGGCTTCCCGCCCACCTGCCACCCCCAGCTCTCACCTCTCCCCTCAAAGGATCCATGACCACAAAGCCTTGATTAGTTCTTTCAGCTCCATTTAACTACACAAATGGCTTGGTCACAGCTGACTGGTCCCAAATTTGCCAGTGATTTTCTTTTAATTTACCGTAGCTCAGTCCCCCTGTAATACAGGTAGAGGAGGCATATTTGTTCCCAAACTCCCCTCCTGGGGTTAATCATGCACAGAACAAAACTCCATTTGAGCCACTTAATGATTTCATTTCCACCCTAGGTTTGATGGAGCTGCGGCTATAATACTAATATGGGTCCCTCTCTCCCCAAACTCCAGATGCGCGCGAGAGACAGACAGTGGGAGCCTGTGGGTGACTCAGCCATTCCTGTCCGGCTGCTGCCCTCCAGCCCCTTCTGCAAGCCGTGTGTTCCCCCTCTTTTCCTGGGCCCATCTTCTCTCCCCTGGGAAGCCAGACCTGACCAGCGTGGTGCTCTTCCATGCTTCCTCCCCCGGGTCCTCTGCCAGTTTCATGGGGTTATTTTGCACCCACCTGTCACCTCTCAGCACCTGACCCACCTCCCAGCCTCTTCTCCTGCCATTCCTCCCACCACACCCCCACCCACCATACCGGCATTCCAGACATTCAGACAGCCAGGCCCAGTTCCCTAACCCTCCTCCATCCTTGCGACATGGACTGGACTTTCCCTTTGCCTGGAGGACCTCTCCTTGGTTGTCAGAGCCTGGCGAAAGCCTCTAAAACTCTGCTTAAGCATCACTGCCTCTGGGAATCAGCTGACAATTTTTCTCTCAAGCAGAGAAAACCACTCCCTTCTGTGCTCTACCATTTATACCCTTTTGGCTTATTTTCACACAATATTTCATTATTTGTTTGCAGTCAGCCCTTCTACCCATTTGAGCTCCTTGAGAACATAACAGAACATTCACCTGGGTATCCTCACACAGCACGGGCCCAGTGCTGGGCATAAATGCTCCACAAATGTTCTTGGAAAGAATAGGTGCTATGTGGTTCAGGCAGGTGGATGTGAACTGTATTCATAACAACACGAAGACACTCAGAGGTGCTCCATCTTCAGAGGCTTCCCAAACGGTGCTAAAATCTCTACTGGCCCAGCCTGCAGGAGCTGACTCAAAGGGAAGGCCAGGTCACCGTCAGGAAATGTGGTTTTTGTGTGGAAACGTCACCATCTGGTGGTTTCTAGTGAAACAGCTTCTCAGCTGCAATAGTGGAGAGAGAGGGCTTCCTCCCTTTGCTTGCTTCCCAGGGCCACTAAGTTCAGAGAAAGGTGCTCCCTGCAGCAGCACCATGGGCTCTGGCAAGCCAAGCACCGCTCCCTGCCTTCCCAAGAAACCTGAGTGAGCGTTTGGAAGGGCACAGCCCCCTCAGGGCTCTGAGGAAGGCCGGCTTACCTCCTCTCCACCCCTCTCCTCCGCTGACATCCAGGCTGCAGCTATTCTCGAGCAGGCAGGACCCCCTTTCCAGCAGCCTGGGCTTGTGCCACTTCTCTGCCTTCAGTGTTCTCCAAGCTTCCCCTGGACCCAGGCCCTGTGTGTCCATCACCACTGGGATATCTGATGGGGACCCAGACTCAGGACCCAAGTTGAACTGATTTCCTCAACTTAGGCCCACCTACCTGAGCTAATGGCAGCACCATCCCCCAACTGTGCCCCCAGGACCTTTCTTCTCCCCCACTCCAGGAGCCATGTATCGCCAGATCGCCGCTCCCATCTCACACGAACCTGCCACTGCCCAGTGGATCCTTCCTGGGCTCTCTGCCGCCGTCCTTTGGCACAGCCTGTCTCCACGTGTAAAATCACTTCCTGCTTTAACATTCCTGCACATCCTGTTTCCTGTCTCTGCTGGGATAAGGCAGGATCCTTAACCAGGTCTCCACTTGCCACATGGCCCAACCGGCCTCTTGACAGCCTCCCCCATGCCCCCTCTCACTCCCTCTCTCCCATCTAGCCAGAATAGGTTTTTGGTGTGTCCATGAAGCCAGACTTCTCTCCCCTCTCAGAGCCCTCTCACTTGCTGCTGCCCAGGGCTGGCTGCTCTCCTGCCCCTCTGCCTGGTTACCTCCTACTCATCCTCTACTCCCTCGCCCTACCTTACTGGAGCATGCAGGCAAAGGGAGGCTGGGAGGGAAAGGTGGTGGGGAGAGAAAGTCCAGGTGTCCTGGCCCCTAGGAAGAGTGGGGCAGGGGAGGAACCTTAGCCTCTCTCCCTTCCTTGTGCAGTGTCTGGCAGGTAAAGCTCACCACCAACAACAACCGAATTGATCCTTCACCCAGCTCTGCTGGAGAGGGCAGGGGTTAAGGACACTGGCTCTGGCATGAGACCATTTGGATTCAAACTCTGGCTATGCCATTTCATGGCTGGATGACATCAGGAAAGCTATTTAGCCTCTCTGGACTGACTGTCCCTCATCTGTAAAATGGGGATGACGATTTTAAAATAGAAATCTAGGTTCTCTTCTCTGAGTAAGGCAAGTTCCCATTATATGTAAGACTTCACCTTTCAAGTAGTTATGAAAATTGTGACTCACAACTAATGAGTTTGTGTAAAATTCATCTGCCTCATCAAAATGAAAGTTCTACCAGGGCAGGGACCAGGTGGGTCTTATTTATTGCTGTATTCCCAGGGCTGGTCTGGGGTGCACACACAGCATAACAAAGTGGTCAAGAAAGCCAGGCTGGGGTTCTAGCACTCTCCAGTCACCAAAGTGACTCTGGTCAAGGTACTTAACCTACGTGTTGTGTTATCTCCTCTCTAATAATAATACTAATATCTATGCCAAAGCCTGCTTGGCTTAGTGCTTGGATACATTTCAAGTCCTTGGATAGGACCAGGCATATAGAAAGTGCTCAGCGAACATCAGTGGTCATTCTCGTGGACACTCAATAAATACTTCAATAAGACTTCCGGGTTCTAGTTTGATATTTAAAGAGCTTGGAAGTCATCACTCTCATCCTAACAATAAGAACTGAATAAATTGAAAATCAACAACTCTTCTTAAATCCCTCAGAGAACTGAGCTCAGAAGGCAAACCACTGACCTGAAGACTGGAAAGGCAGAAAGTTGGATACAGAGACTCACAACTTACTGGACAGAAGACCAGGCACACAAAATTCCACAGGAAACAGTGCTGGGCAGGAAAACCTAAACTACCTAAACTGTAACTGACAAATTGCTGGAGGCTAAGTGTGGACAATGTTGACTATTAAAAAGTCCAGGGCCCAGTCATTGGGGGGATCCCCACACTTTCATGAGTTTTGCCTTTAGGAGCTCTACTAGCTCCTCACAATGAAAAGAGAAGGGGAAAGTAGCCATTTTTAAATATGTCCAGAGCATTCTGTTCTCCTTAACAAGAGCCCACCCTCAAGGGAAACTATTTTGCCAGGGCCAAGCCAGCCTGGGAGAAGGGGAATACCCAACTCCAGACCCTCCCCTCTAGCCTTCCTGTCTTTCCTAAGGTCAATGAGGGGGGAAGCTGAGAATCACACAGAAAGGTCACAGCCCAGAGGGAAAGGCTCACTAAACACTGAGAACTAATCTTGCAAATATAGAACACTTCCCCTCCCACGCACTTATCACCACAATATAGGCTTCCCATATTGTGTTAAATTATTATATAATTATGTAATCCCTGGTTATATAATAACGGGATTACAGCAGAAATAACTGTAAACCTCAGACTCTATTTAAGAAGGAGCCTCTAGGGACACTCAAAGACAACAAGAAAGACAAAGACAAGGATGCCAGAGGAAACCTTAACCTCTGACATGCTACAAAACCATAAACACAGCCTCCCAGCCAGGTAAACATACAGCCTCACACTAATGGCCTATTTACCGCAGCTCCTTTTCCTGATAAATCATGTCCTGCTTTCCCCAAAATAATTACAAAGCTTGCTAAAAATATATATACATAGCTTTATGAGACAAAGCAAGTATAGAAACCAGTCAGATATGTTGGAATTATTAGACTGGGAATTTAAAACAGCTATGAAAAATATGCTAAGGGCTCTAATGGGGAAAGTGGACAACACGCAAGAACAGATGGGTAATGTAAACAGAGAGATGGAAACTCTAAGAAAAAAAGTCTAAAGAAAATGCCAGTAATCAAAAACACTATATAGGAATAAAGAATGTCTTTGAAGGACTCATTGGTAGACTGGACAAGGCTGAGGAAAGAATTGGAGTTTCAAGAAATGTCAGTAGACAAAAACAAGCAATGGGGAAAAGATTCCCTATTTAATAAATGGTGCTGTGAAAACTGACTAGCCATATGTAGAAAGCTGAAACTGGATCCCTTCCTTACACCTTATACAAAAATCAATTCAAGATGGATTAAAGACTTACATGTTAGATCTAAAACCATAATAACCCTAGAAGAAAACCTAGGCAATACCATTCAGGACATAGGCATGGGCAAGGACTTCATGTCTAAAACACCAAAAGCAATGGCAACAAAAGCCAAAATTGACAAATGGGATCTAATTAAACTAAAGAGCTTCTGCACAGCAAAAGAAACTACCATCAGGGTGAACAGGCAACCTACAAAATGGGAGAAAATTTTCGCAACCTACTCATCTGACAAAGGGCTAATATCCACAGTCTACAGTGAACTTAAACAAATTTACAAGAAAAAAACAAACAACCCCATCAAAAAGTGGGCAAAGGATATGAACAGACACTTCTCAAAAGAAGACATTTATGCAGCCAAAAAACACATGAAAAAATGCTCATCACCACTGGCCATCGGAGAAATGCAAATCAAAACCACAATGGGATACCATCTCACACCAGTTAGAATGGTGATCATTAAAAAGTCAGGAAACAACAGGTGCTGGAGAGGATGTGGAGAAATAGGAACACTTTTACACTGTTAGTGGGACTGTGAACTAGTTCAACCATTGTGGAAGTCAGCGTGGCGATTCCTCAGGGATCTAGAACTAGAAATACCATTTGACCCAGCCATCCCATTACTGGGTATATACCCAAAGGATTATAAATCATGCTGCTATAAAGACACATGCACACGTATGTTTATTGCGGCACTATTCACAATAGCAAAGACTTGCAACCAACCCAAATGTCCAACAATGATAGACTGGATTAAGAAAATGAGGCACATATCCACCATGGAATACTATGCAGCCATAAAAAATGATGAGTTAATGTCCTTTGTAGGGACATGGATGAAACTGGAAACCATCTTTCTCAGCAAACTATCACAAGGACAAAAAACCAAACACCGCATGTCCTCACTCATAGGTGGGAATTGAACAATGAGAACACATGGACACAGGAAGGGGAACATCACAATCCGGGGCCTGTTGTGGGGTAGGGGAGGGGGGAGGGATAGCATTAGGAGATATACTTAATGTTAAATGACGAGTTAATGGGTGCAGCACACCAACATGGCACATGTATACATATGTAACAAACCTGCAAGTTGTGCACATGTACCCTAAAACTTAAAGTGTAATAATAATTAAAAAATTTAAAAAAAAGAAATGTCAGTAGAATCTACCCAAACTGAAACACAAAGAGAAAAAGAAAAGAGTGGAAAAAAGTGAAACATTTTCCAAAAACTGTGGGACAATCTCAAAAGGTGTCACATATGTGTAACGGGAAGACAAGAAGGAGAATAAAAAGAGAGAAGAATACCCGCAAAA